>NC_000002.12:3343333-3646363 GCF_000001405.40 Homo sapiens | reverse complement strand
ACTTCTGGGTCAGAGATAAAGGACTTTGTTACTTACAGCAACAGCCATAGCTGGGGTATTGGCATTTCTGCACCAGTATCCTGGGCTCCACTCCCTTCAGGGGTTCAGGAAGAAGGCAGACAGCACCCGCACATGCAGTGGGTCCGTTACAGGGAGGACCCTTGAGCCTAGGGAACCCGGTTCTTCTCTAGCAGGTAGTACACATGCCTGCACTCTTTCCTGGAGGGAGACATCATCTTTATTATGCTGGACAGTAACCATGCCTGCCTGTTGCCACAGAACGAGACACTCTATTTTCCAAGGCTGCGGGCAAACCTGCCCTTTTCTCCGGTGGGGAGACAGGGAAGGGAGACACTATCTTTATCTTCCAAGGCATTTCACTGTACAAACACCCAGAATAGATAACTTAGAACAAAGGGCCGTCGGGGCCTCCCTCACAGGATGTGCACAAATACACCCACCCCTGGGAGCCAGCTCCACAGCTCCCTCTCGCCCCACAACACCAGCTGGGAGGGAATGTACATGTACGTGTGTTCTATTTTAAAAATGAAGATACTTGTTATTTTTATTGGGATTCTGAAATACAAAAAAAAAAAAACCATGAGGTACTGTGGCAGGCAGCTTCTGAACTGACCCCCAGTGGTCCCCACCCCCTGGTATTCACCCCCATGTATGGGCTGCACCCGGTGCCTCGCCTCAAGCTGGTAGAGCACCACAGAGGGAAGGCACGTGCTGTGGTTTGCTGTTGGGCCTCTCCAGATCTCATGTTGAAATGTGACCCTCATGGTGGAGGTGGGGCCAAATAGGTGTTTGGGTCGGGAGCGGAACCCTCATGAGTATCTTGGGTGCTGTCCTCAGTCCTTACCCTAGTGAGCAAGTTCTCACTCTGCTAGTTCCCTAAGCTGATTGATTATGCAGAACAGCCCGGCACCTCCCTCTCTTTCTTCGTGGCTTCCCTCTCCCCATGTGATCTCTGTGAGTGCCGGCTCTCCCTCCCCCTCCACTTGAGAGTGGACGCAGCCTGAGGCCTCACCAGGAGCAGATGCTGGCACCACGCTTCTGGTGCTGCCTGCAGAACCGTGAGCCAAATAAACCTCTTTGTTGATCTGTTGCCCAGCCTCGGGTTTTCCTTTGTGGCAACGCAAATGGATGCAGACAGCAGGATATGTCCAGGTGAGCTTAGGAAAGGCTGCGGCTTCTCTCTTCGGCTCTTCTCCTGGGCTGCTCTGAGGAAGGTGCTGTCATGTTGTGGGCAGCCCAGGGGAAGGGCCCCTGTGACAGGGAACTGCGGGAGCCTGTGACCCACAGCTGGTGGGAAACTGAGGCCCTCCATCCAACAACCCAGGAGGACCTGAGCTCTGCACAAACCACACGAGGAGTGACCTTGGTTCCAGCTTGGGAGAGGCCCTGAAGTAGAAGACTGAGCTAAGCCCTGTGCCGATTCCTGATCTGGGAGGTAATCAATCTTTCTTAGGCCACTGAGTTTTGGGGTAATTTGTTAGGCAGCAATAAATAACTCATACAAGCCGGGTGTGGTGGCTCCTGCCTGCAGTCCCAGCTATTCAGGAGAGGTGGGAGGATCGCTTGAGCCCAGGAGTTCAAGGCCAGCCTGGGCCACATAGCAAGACCTCACCTCTACAAAAGTTAATTAAAATAAAAGATAACTAATACAGCTATTGAAAAAATTAAGAGAACAAAATGACTCCACACATTTAGTAGTAAAGTTTGGAGAATTTTGTTGTTGTTTTCCTGAAATCTGGGTTTGAAGCAAAGCAAAATTGTTTTTACATGGATAATAGTGTGAAGGAACCTATATTGTAATGTAATTTACAGAAGTGTTGGTCAAAGTGAGTTCTTTTCCATATAGAAATTAAAAGGTAGTAATTCAAGACCCCATTGCCACTATTTGGACTTAACTACTGCACTACTTAAAGATTTTATTGTATAGCTTGGACAAAGGCACAAGCTTTATGGAAGAGCAATTCTGGGTAATAATTACATAATGACATTGGGGCTACAATACAGGTAATGAAACTCTGCTTCTTCAGAGACAGCACCCCAGGAACACTTTCATTTTCCTCTTAAGCATAGGCCATTTTCTCAGTTTAGACAACAGCCCTCTACTCAGTGAGCCTCCACCCTTCACAGAGGGACAGCTCCCTGGCTGGCACCATGGTCTGGGCTCTGTCCCTGCCAACCCTGCAGGGACATGTGGGGCCCCCAATGGGCAGCCCCAGCCTGAGGCTCACATGTTCTCCTTGTCAAACTCACACATGAAGTACATGGTGGTGTGGCAGGCCACGTCGTTCCAGCCGCCCGAGGCCACCATCTCCACGCAGTCCTCCTCGTCGTAGGCATTGTTGGGCTCACCGCTGCGCCACTTGTTGAAGGTCCGCATGGGGGAGTGGTCAGAGTACACGAAGGCGCCCTCCTTCTCCAGGTCGTTGATGCCGATGAAGACACGGGCCAGGCCGGCTTGCGCCAGGTATGCGGCCATCAGGCCATTGGCAGCCTCGTCCTTGGGCATGCTCAGCGTGCCCCCGCGGCCCTGGCAGGACAGCTGGGCGTCCGCGTAGCGCTTCTCCTCCTTCACCAGCAGGTAGATCTTGCTCTCCGTCTCGCGCACACCGGCGACAGCTGTGGGGTAAGGCAGGGTTGAAAAGTGAGCACTTGTATGTGTGCAACAAACTTAAGGCACAGCCACAGGCAGCAGGGGCCGGCAGGGCAGGCAGGGCAGGCGTGGGCACGGCAGAGCCCTTGCCGGGGGGCTCAGGACAGGGCTGGGAGGTGGGAGGGAGCGAGGGCGGCGCCGGGAGCCACATACCATTCTTGATGAACTTGAGCTCGCTGGTCAGCTGAGAGACCTGGTTGTCCATCTCCCCGATGGCCTTGCGCAGCTGGCTGCACTCACATGGGAGGCCTGCGGGGGCCAGGCCCACGCGTTACAAACGCTGGATGAGGACTCGGACTCAGAAGAGAGGCGAGGACCCCTCCCCGGAAATGCACATTTTACTCAACAAACGTGCCCCACGGGCCTTTGAGGCCGCAATAACCATCACCCACTTCATCCTAAAGGCAGGGGGAGCAGGGAAGGACCTCCACAGGAGTGGAGGGAGGGCAGACACATGTATTTCAAACCTCTCCAGCTGTAGGGGGAAGAGAAATGGAGGTGCAGGGGTGGGAAGCAGCCCAGGGCAGGGTTGGGAACCAGGGAAGCAGGTCTGGCTGAGGGCGTGCAGTGAGAAAAGCTAGAACATCTGAGGAAGATGGTGGGGATGGCCAGCAGGCCTCCATGGCTTGGGGGCACTGCAGGGCTGAGGGGAGCTGAAGGGCGCAGTGGCGTCTGTCAGGAATGGAAGAGGTGGTGGGGCCATTCCATTGCTGGCTGGGCAAAGGAGGTGGAATCTGCCAACACTCAGGTGCCTGTGACATGTCAGGTGGGGAGTGGGGGCCAGGGCAGAGCTGGGCATCGTGGGCACACACAGGGCGTGAGGGACGGCTCAGGGAGGGAGGACAGAGCAGCATCACCAGGAGCACCTGCAGGCCGTGGGTGAGGCCTGGGAGGAAGTGAGGAAGGCAGGCCGCGCCCACAGGACAGGTGCTGCCATGGTCTGGTGGGAGGATGGCTGGAGCGGCCCTCAGACCCACCACCTAGCGATCAAGGGCTGTCCCAGCTGGATGATGCGGCAGGAATGTGGAGGGAAAGACAGGGGCCCGGGGTACAGAACTCTGGGGAGCTGCACACGTGAGGCCGCTAGAGAGGAGCTCTGCGGCTTTGCAGTCGTTTTGCTTTAAGACAAGAATTGCTTGCATATATTGAAACGGTGGTGAAAGGGAGCTGATAGGGAGGGAGGGATGAAGCCGGTGTCTGTCCTGACACACAAGAGTGAGCAACACAAGTGGCCTGATGAGAGGGACATGGGTGGGACGCAGAGCCATGGTGGGAAGCCACCTCCCACACTGAAATAACAGGGAACACCTCACAGGCCTTTCTGGCAACAGATCTCATTCTCAATGAGCTCATTCCGTTCCCATACGCCTGTGACCACACGCGTGCTGCTCCTATCCCTGCATCACATCTGACATCACTGAGAGCCACGGGGCATGGAGAGCCTGAGATCTGGGCCCAGGCAGACAGTCTGGGCTCCAAAATCGAGTATCTGTGCCCCTGTGGCTAGGCGGGAAGTCCCTCTGATGCCTCGCAGACGGCACGGTGTCCAGAACACGCAGCTGTCCTAAGTCTTCTCTCGCTAATCAACTGAGCTACACTCCGCCCTCCCAGTTCTGCCAACCGATTCCCTCCGGCTGCGAGTTTGTTCCTAGTCCCTGGACGGACCCTAACCTTCTTCCTGTGAAGAGTGACACCTGGTCATCGCCTCCGTGGTGCCGGGGCTCCCCGTGGCCCAGCAGCCTCTGCCTGTCCCCAGGATCGGAGCCTGGGCCTGCCCAGCACCTCACCATCCACCCCCATCGCTGCGGTGTGCGGGTGGGCTTTACGCCTTTTCCCACAGTTTCCACTGGGCAGAGTCTCAGCCCACCCTGCAGTCTGGCATATCCTGTAGAAGTTCAATCCCTCTTTCTGGACGTCGGCAATCACGTAGAGCCCAAACCACCTTCCTCGCCCTCATACGTGAGACACCCCCCCTCCACTCACACTTGCACATTTGAAACTCGATCTTTCTTGGGGTTTGCCTTGGTTTTGGGGGTTTTCTTAATGGAAGTTTTATCTAAGATAAAATTTGTTAAATATATTTTATCTTCAAGCTGGCTGAGGTTTGAGGTAATAGAGGCTTTCTGGAGAGATCCCTGTCAGGGGAAGTGGATGGATTCCTTTCCTCATTTAACCTCCAAACTCTGACCAAGCTAGGCCTGACGATAGCAGCTCAGCCCCGGGATGGGACGTCCCCTCTCCTTGCCCCGCCGTCACCTGCCTCCAGGTCCTTCTGTCTCCCAGAGGCTTTGTCCGGGCCCCTCAGGTTGGCTGAGTGCCTGGAGGTGCCCTGAGCGGATGCTGCTCGGCCAGTCAGTGACACTGATCTCAGCGCACTCACACTCAGCCAAGTCACACCGGCAAGCACACCTTCCAAGCAGCCGTTCCTCCTCATCTCTGCGGTGCCGAAGGAGCTTTTAAAACAAGGACTTTTATTCAGAAATCCAGCCCCTCTCTTTTCTCCCTGGTATCCAAGAGTCAGATCCTTCTCGGAAAGCACCTTCCGAATGGGATCCACCGTGGGGTCTACATGGTGGGTGGGTGTCCACCGTGGGGTCTACATGGTGGGTGGGTGTCCACCGTGGGGTCTACATGGTGGGTGGGTGTCCACCGTGGGGTCTACATGGTGGGTGGGTGTCCACCGTGGGGTCTACATGGTGGGTGGGTGTCCACCGTGGGGTCTACATGGTGGGTGGGTGTCCACCGTGGGATGTGACGGGGGTGGGTGTCCGCCGTGGGATGTGACGGGGGTGGGTGTCCGCCGTGGGATGTGACGGGGGTGGGTGTCCGCCGTGGGATGTGACGGGGGTGGGTGTCCGCCGTGGGATGTGACGGGGGTGGGTGTCCGCTGTGGGATGTGACGGGGGTGGGTGTCCACTGTGGGATCTACATGGTGGGTGGGTGTCCACCGTGGGATGTGACGGGGGTGGGTGTCCACCGTGGGATGTGACGGGGGTGGGTGTCCACCGTGGGATGTGACGGGGGTGGGTGTCCGCTGTGGGATGTGACGGGGGTGGGTGTCCGCTGTGGGATGCGACGGGGGTGGGTGTCCACTGTGGGATCTACATGGTGGGTGGGTGTCCACCGTGGGATGTGACGGGGGTGGGTGTCCACCGTGGGATGTGACGGGGGTGGGTGTCCACCGTGGGATGTGACGGGGGTGGGTGTCCACTGTGGGATGTGACGGGGGTGGGTGTCCACTGTGGGATGTGACAGGGGTGGGTGTCCACTGTGGGATCTACATGGTGTAGATCTACATTGTTTTCAAAAGTGCAATTTTTAATACATTTTATTAAAAATCCTTGGACCCTTTATGCCATACCTGGTTCTCCATTAGGACCAGGGGGTCCTATGTCACCGGAATCTCCTTTCTCACCTGAAAATAAAAAACAAGGTCCAAGTCACCAGGCAGAGATGGACATGTTCTATGTGTTAAAAACATCAAGACTGAAAATGTGATTTGTCTCGCGGATTTATCCCAGGCCCTCTTGTTGCTACAAAGTACCGGAGCCCCATTCTGCAGGTAATTCCTGCTTCCGGCACTATTTATGTGATACGAACCATATACATGTCATGGGGTGACAGGGATTATCGAGTGATCATTCTTTAAATCAGTTCTGGAAAATCCAGGATATCTGATAGAACACTCTGCAGACATCGCCTCATGAATCCCTGGTGCCATGAGTGAGTGGCCACTCCTCCCAACAGCAGCACCCGACCTCTCTCATGACAGCAGGAAAATCCAGACGGAGCATGATGGGAGCGCCACGCAGGCCTGAGAGCTCATCTAATCCAAGAGTCGGTGCACTCCTTCCTGCCCTGGCTCAAGGTCCTTCCCATCCCTGCTCGTAGCAGCCTGGTGTCCTGGAGGGCCCAGATGCCAGGAGCCTGGGCTCCATCCTGGCCTGGACCCAACCTCCAGTTAGATGGGACAAGCCACCTCACCACCCTGCCCCTCAGTTCTCCTCAACGTCCAAAACAAGGGGGTTGAACAAAATGATGGCAACAGGGCTTTCTAGCTGCTCTAAAATTAAGTCATGTGACTTAATAGAAATAAGTTCTAATGCATTCTCTTTATTCTCACAGAGAGGCCCCAAATGCCTCTGAGAAAAGACTTCAGTAGATTCCAATTCCATTCGCATAAGGAGGGAAGGAGTTTCGCAGTCTCCACCCACCTGATTCCTCTGTGTTCCTTTATCAGCATCGGGAGCTTGGAAATGAAAGCACAGCTTGACCAGAACCCAGGATGACAATCTCAGACACGAAGCAAATCAAATAAGCAAAGCCAAACAAGGCCAGCCTGGACCAGCTGCCCCTTAGGAGATGCCGGAATCTGCCCAGAGCACACACCGCATGGTAAAAGTATACACATCCCCATGTGTGAGTCAATACGCAATGTGGCGTTATTCACAAAAGGCAACAGGTGGAAAGAACCCATGTGTCCATCGACAGGTGAATGGACAATAATTGTGGTCCATCCATATGGTGGAATATTATTCCCTAAAAAGGCAGGGGATTCTGACCCACGCTACCACACAGGTGAACCCTGAAAACACTACACCAAGTGAAATCAACTAGACACAGAAGGACAAACATTGTTATTCCACATATGTGAAATATCTAGAATAGGCAAATTCAGAGACAGGAAGTAGATTGGAGGTTACCGGGGCTGGGGGAGGAGGAATGGGGAGCCACTGGTTAGTGGGAAGAGTCTCTCTTTGGAGAGATGAAAAGGGTTTGGAAATAGTGGTAATGGCTGTACACCATTGCAAATGTACTCAATGTCCCTGAATTGTACACTTAAAATACTTAAAATGGCAAGTTTGGGGATATAAGTATTTTACCATGATGTTATTTGGGTTTGTGAAGCCCACGCCTCCCTCCAGATCCTGTGGTTCTCTGCGTGCTCTTCACTGCATTGGCCGTGGCAGGGAAGGTGCCTCTCACGGGTTTTCCAGGGGAGGCCCGCAGCTGAGCTAGGCCCCTCCCCATCGCTCTCCTGGCCACAGAGCCCTTTCTACCAGGTACAGGCTGGGCTAGGGGGAGGTCTGTGACCATGGATCAGAACAAACCATGAGAACCCCCTCACAGCTCAAACCCCAGACCGTAGCCTCTTGGTACCTGGGCCAACCTGCTCCGAGGCAGATGAATGAGGTAGAAGAACCTGGCCCCTGAATTGGACAGACCACAGCAGACTCCCTCCACCGCCAGTGCTCAGGGCAGCTTAGCCGCATTGCTACACTGTGCGGGACCCCAAGGAGACTTCATGAGTCCACACCTGAAGAGCTCAGGGACGGCCAGCTCCTTGCCCTCCCACCGACTTCGTCCCCCAGAGCCCAGCATAGACCTGGAACAAGCCAGGCGCTCCAAAGACGTCCACTGACCAGATGGCGGGGGGCGGGGGCGCATAGGAGCAGCACCTTCTGAGCAACCCCTTGCCTGTCCTGGCCTCAGTCTCTCATCACGGGAGGCGCAGCTGATCTGCCCGCCTTACCACGGCCGTGCAGCCAAATGCAGCAGCGGAGACGGTGCAATTAGAACCCGCAGGTGCAGACTGAGCCCAGGTGCTGGCACCATAGTTGCTGCCCACACCCGCTGCTGCCATCCCACACCCTGTTCTCACCAAGAACCATCCCATCACCTCGAAATACCTGAGACCTGAGCTGGGGGAACAGATGCCGTGCCTCCAGAGCAGGGTGCGTCCGCTCCTTACGTGAGGCTCTAAGTCTGTTACCAAACTTGTTAAGGACATTGTGGCTACACAGCCAGAGTCTTGCCCAAGCACACTAGCTGCAGCCCCTCCATCCTGGGGCGCTGTGAAAATCCTGCAGAATGGGGAGCGCTTCACCGCACCCTGTAAGCACAGAGCCAGCAACTAGCTCCAAGCACCCCAAAAATGGAAGTACTGCAGTAGATTTCTTATCTACCATGCACCGAATATAAATAAGAGCACCAGACGAGACAATTCAGGCTACAATTATTCTCAGGGTATCCAGACGCTGACCCTAGGGGCAGGGGGGAAATGAGGCAAGAATCGCATTGCAAATACCTTTAGAGCCAATGGGACCAATTTTTCCATGACGACCCACACTGCCTTTCTGTCCTTTGTCCCCCATGTCTCCTGTAGAAAACAATAAGAGCAAAGTTGGTCGATGCACAGGTGACACCGTGGCCTCCTCCATCACACACGTGCACGGATAACCCGACCGCCCTCCTTCCTACATCACAGGCACATAGAAGAGACTAAGAAAGACAGCTCTACATCTCTTCAAGGTCACGTATGTGACTGTCACAGGCAGGTCGCCTGTTGATACAGCTTCCAAAGGAAGATGCACTTCCCCCAGAAGTCATACACACTATAGAATGGAGGGGCTGAACGGGGCACCCCTAAGTTCCAAACTCAACCACGGTCCATCCCCTCCGTGCCTGTGTGAGACGAGAGCTCGTCTTTCCTCCATCCCAGCAAGGCAGTGCCTCCCAGCTCCTACTCCTGCACCCCACCAAACCACGCACCCACAACTCTGTAAGCATGGACATAACTGGCACTGTCAGGAACACGGTCTGGTGGGTGGGTGGCAGGTGGAAAAGCCCCTGGCTCCTCTCGGGTGTGTGAACTTGAGCCAGGGAGGAGGGTCCTAGGACACTTCATCAGATGCCTCCCGACCTGACCTGCTCTACAGCAGAATGCCTGATCCCCGTGACCTGCTGGCCCCTGTCCCCAGCTTAGGTGTATGCAGTGGTGGTGTGGGGTGGTGTGTGTCCCCCACCCTTCTCTCATTCATAGCAAGAGGGACACCAAGATCCCACGGGATTGTCTCTCTGATCACTGGACCAAGCCTGAAGAATGCCGCTGTCACCCAGTCCCTAGAACAAACTAAGCCAGAGGGTGGAGTTTCTCAGTACTCCCTCCCGCAAAGTGTTAAGCCCTCAGCAACTGCTCCTACCTGTCTGCTGGTTATCACCACTGACCACCAACCCAACCAGCAGACATCAAACAAGTACATAGGGAAAAACTGGGAAAAGAAACAGGCAACCTGATTTAACTCAGCAATTCTTTTTCATGGACATGTTTACACACTATTAGGACTTCATGATCAGTTATAACCCACCATTGCAGGAACTAAATGAAATTCAATGCGGGAAATTCAATGTGGGCAATCCTGCAAGACAGTGGGTGGTGGGAAGGACTTTCCTTTTTTGAGATGGAGTCTTACTCTGTCACCCAGGCTGGAGTGCAGTGGCGCAATCTCAGCTCACTGCAAGCTCCACCTCCCGGGTTCACACCATTCTTCTGCCTCAGCCTCCCGAGTAGCTGGGACTACAGGCATCCGCCACCACGCCAGGCTAATTTTTGTATTTTTAGCAGAGATGGGGTTTCACTATGTTAGCCAGGATGGTCTCGATCTCCTGACTGCGTGATCCATCCACCTCGGCCTCCCAAAGTGCTGGGATTACGGCGTGAGCCACTGCGCCCGGCGGTGGTGGCGGGAAGGACTTTCTATCGCACGCAGATAACACTCTGTCCTGCAGTGACGCCACCTGCCTCCTTAGAACCAAGGACTTCCCTGCCAGGAACTCCTAGTCTTGTTTTGCGAAGCAGATGTAACGTTCCCCCAATTCAGAATAGACAGAAACCAGAGGATGGAACACAGACTTCAGTGAGCTTTGCTAAAATGAAACCACACATGCCCCTGCAGAGAGTGGTTTACATTGCAATAAAATGCAGCCTTGATTCACAAAGCACGTTCACATGCATTCTCTTATCTGGCTATGAAAATGACATGGCCCGGCATGGCAGAGCCAGGACAACAGCCACACTCTGCTGCTCTGAGGCCCAGGCTGCTCTCCTGATGCTGGCAGCTGGGGGCCACATCCAGCCTGGGGGACGATGCAGGGACGAGGGAGGCAGAGGGAGATCCTAATGGCACCTAGGCTGGAGCTGGACAGCCAGGACGGAGGCGACTCTGCTTCGCACACCAGGCGCTGTGTGTTGCCAGCTGTGCAGGGCGCTGGCTGCAGGGATCAGAGCTCAGGGTTTGCCGGTAAGTCGGGACAGCGGCCCAGCAACTGCAGTGCGTGCGAGGGAAGGGAATAGAAAAGGGGCAACGGGGACACCACTTCCTCGTCCGTCCTCAGAGCCCAGGAAAGCATCGGAGAGGGTGTGGTGCATCTCCGTGCTGCAGGAGATGTGGAGGGTTGGCGAAGAGGGCGGCGAGATCAGACTTGTGTTCAGGAAGCATCTGGCAACACTTGCTGGAAAGACTGAAAGGCGCAAAAGGAGACCAAGGGCAGAGCAGGCTGGGGGTGAAGGGGGTCATGGCAGGCGGGTTCTGGGAGGATAAGAAAAACGCCCAGATTGGGGAGACACCCAGGAGGCAGTGTTGGCAGAACCTCGTGCGTGATGGGATGTGTGGATGAGGCACGCACAGCTGGCACTGAGTGCCAAGCCTCCCCAAGGTAGGCGCAGGGAGACACAGCTCTGGAGAGGCACAGAGGGGGATGTCACGGGGCACGTTGGGAGAGGGGGACAGGCAGGGGATGGGGGACAGGCAGGGGAGAGGGGGACAGGCAGGGGAGAGGGATCATCATGGGACGGTGACAAGGGCCAGGAGGGCACCTGAGAGAAGTGTCCAGTGGGAGGCAGGGGCCCACGTGAGGAAGAGGAGCTGGGGGAGGAACCCAAGGGCAGCGGGGCAGGCAGGGGCACAGCAAGGCGGTGAGAGGCACTATCGCTGGGGGCACCCAGTGAGGACAGGGTCCAAGACATGGGCAGGGCCGGGACCAGGTGGACAGCCAGGAGGTCTCACAGAGGGAGGGGCAGGGCCCCCACACCAGAGGGGGCCCTGCCAGAGTGCTCAGTGCGTTGCCTTCATCGTCAGGGGGCCAGCCCTGCCCTCCTCTGAATCCCTCTCCACGGCAGCCTGTGAGTCCAGCGCCTGCTGGAGCCAACTGGCCTGCTCTTCCCGATGGCAGATGCCAGGTACCCGTTCCTGCTGTTCTGAGTCATGACAATTTCAACCTGAAGATTTCTGTAACAGTAAAATGCCACAGCAGGGAGAGAGAAGGGCAACTGGAACAAACAGCTTCAATCAACTAGCCAACCCATTATACATGCCCAAAACTCGCTGCAAGGGAAGCAATTTGCAGTTCTCCCTGGAATATAACTGAGGGGCCCTGCTTTGCTGCAGGAGGAGGCACGGTACAGTCAGTTCTCATGGCTGGAGGAGCTGGGAAGTTGCTGCTCTGCTGGGTCCGCCCAGCCAGCCTGGTTTTGCGCCCATAGAAATGCAAAGCCAGCTGAATTCACCTTCTCCAAGAGTCCTCTAAACATTTAAAAACTATTATCTGTCTGAAATCTTCCCTTCACCCAGCTAGAAACCTGCAGTCCCTGCCCTATCCTGGCTGCCTTTCCCCAGGACGTACCCTGGAGTGTCTTGGTTCCTCGGAAGGATGGACACAGCCACCCACACTGAGTGCCCAGTCACGGCCTGAGCACCGTCACCTCCTGCAGTGGATGGAACTGTGTCCCCCACCAAATTCCTCTGTTGAAGCCGTGACCCCAAGGTGCTGGTATTTGGAGACAGTTCCTTTGGGAGAGAGTTAGGGCAAGATGAGTTTGTGAGGGCAGGTGTCCCTCACCGTGGTCTGAAGCTGAAAGGTGAGCCCCGTGCTTCTGCTCGGCCTCCCGCAGAGGGTCCTACAGAAAAGCTGATATTCCCTGAAAATGCACATCTGCTGTTTCGTGTTGTCCCAGGCCCTGTCTGCGCAGGAAACATGTGTCTTCCTCGGGCCTCCTGTACCCAGCTCTCCACCGCACCGGTCCTGAGGTTCTGTGCTGACCATGAGGAGGAAGGTCGGGAACACGCATCTTCCTCGGGCCTTCTGTCCAAAGACAAACTCGCCCAGCTCTCCACCGCACTATTCCAGAGGTTCTGTGCTGACCATCAGGAGGAAGGTTGGGACAGCCTCAATGTTTATGCTTCTTATTTCCCCCTCCACGTCTTCACGCCGCTCCCCCGTCGGTCAGCTGTGGTCCCCGCTCTGTCCCCTCGCGAGGAGGTCCAGGCTGCCAGATCAGGCTGGACGCGCTCACAGCACCCTCACAATCAGCAAGCAGCCAGCGCAAGGGTTTCTCAGAACCCCCTATGGCAGGGACTGGGTCCCACACTTCTCCAAGGGCAGGAGCTGAGCTCTACTCGCCGGAGACAGGTGCCAAGTGTGAGCGATGACCTTGGATTTGCTTTAACATCTGGCCGTGTGATTCAGAGATGGCTAAAGGCCAAATGCTCTCAACTCACTCTCAGGTTTTAACTTGTCTACAGCAGCAGGCCACGTGCCTCCTCCAACTGATGGACTGAACCACTAATAAGTCTTTCCCGAAGATGGGAGGAGCCTCCCCAAGTGCATCTGTGCCCAGGGGCTTCTCCTCCACTGTCTCCTGGGCCTCACCATCCCGGTCCTGGTCTACTTGTCAGCCTGGGGGCCTGGCCTCGTCCTCCAGGGAGGAGCTGTGTGGGTGGGAAGACGGGAAAGTGGGGCCTGTGGGCCGCTTCTCTCTCCCTGTCACTGTCCTTGAACAGCTTCACATCTCATCTCTCAGGGGTCTCAGGGAGAAACAGCTCCCAGGTGGGGAGGAAGCCCCTCGCGCCCTCCCCATCTTTTCCAGGTGGAAGCTTCTTAGCAAATAGTTGGCTCTTTGTTCAGGTGAAGGGCCACAATCCGCCTCTGACACGTCGCTCCTCAGCCCGTGGTGTTTGTGCTTTTTCATGGGAAGGTGACGTTCCTAGGGCTGGGACTTTGGTTTTCTTTCCCGTGCTCTGACGCTGCCCCTCTCCAAGTGGGGACTCAGTGGGGGTCCCGGGATTCTGCTCATTTTTCCATCTTTCAGAAATAAATTAGAATACTCCCAGGTAGACTGTGTGCCAGGAAACCACATCCACACGTACACGCTGATTTCAGCTTCACAACGTCCCTAGCAGCACCATCTGTTAGGGCTGAATTACATCCTCCAAAATTCTGACGATGGAGCCCTAACCCCAGTGTGAGTCCTACTAGAAGCAGGGTCTTTAAAGAGGTCACACAGGTGGGCCCTGGTCCAACAGGACTGTGGCTTTACCGAAGAGAAAGAGAGGCCGGGATTGTGCATGCATGGAGGAAAGGCCGCGTGAGACGCAGCAGGAAGACACCGCCTGTAAGCCCCGGACAGCAGCCTCAGGAGCAGCAGCCCTGCCGGCACCCGGATCCCTGACTTCCAGCCTCCACAGCCGGGAGGAAATCATCTCTGTCCTGGAAGCTGCCCGCTGTGTGGTATTGAGAGACAGAGACACTGCCCTCTGCTCCAGAAGAGGAGTTCAGAGAGTCAGGTGACCACCACAGGTCATACAGTGAGCCAGGAAAGAACACAGTGCCCCGTGATTCCGAGCACAGCCTCTGCCATCAGACAGGCCTGGCCCCAAATCTCAGTGCTCCACCCATGAAACCCTGCACAAGTTACAGCCCTCTGTAAGCCTCAGTTTCCCTGTCTGTCAAGTGGCACCTCAGGGCATTCCGTGCCTCGGGTCACAGCGAGCATCAGGAGCAGGAGCGCGAGCGCACACTGATGGCGTGGATTTCACTCAGACCAAGGCCTCCTGACTCCACGTCCAGGGCTCCAAACCCTGCACCCCCACTGTGGGTAGGCCCCAGCCTGTGAGACTTCCACCCCGGGTACAGCCAAAGCCACCCTCCACGGGCCAGGAACTGCGGGAAGCCTGCATTTCTAAGAGCCAGGGGCTGGACACATGGCGCAGGATTGTGTTCCTGTGGGAGGACAAGCAGTGCCCTACTCCCAAGCCCAGGAGGCAGGAGACAGAGACCAAGAGACCAGAGTGTGCAAAGCAGCAGGCAGAGCCCTCCGAGCAGAGCCCCCTCCGAGCAGAGTCCCCTCCGAGTAGGGGCCCCCTCCGAGCAGAGCCCCCTCCGAGCAGGGGCCCCTCCGAGCCCTCTCGCCTGTGTCAGCCGTGACCAAGCATACCCGGCTGGTGGGGAGTTAGGGTGGCTACAGGTGGCCCAAACCCTCCCGTCCCTCCTTATTCCCTTCTGCCCTAAACCCATAGCTTGGACCACCAGACCCCTTTCCACGGTCCCCTCAGCCTTGCAGGGAGGCCTTTGGGGGAAGGGCCAAGCACTGGGCACAGCTGGGCCTGGGGGTGGAGAAACACTCCCTCCACCGGATGAGCCAGTGCCAACTTTGTCTAAACACCCTGATAGTAGGCAGATGTTATTGTTCTTTGGCCCTCCACAAAGAGAACAAGCAAAATGCCTTGAGCATCCAAAAAACCTGTTGCCATGACCTTCGCTCTCGGCCAGTCTGCTTTGCTTTACTGTTAAAATTCTTTGAAGAATGCCTAAGCATCTTTTTTTTTAATTTTTTCTTTTTTTTTTGATACAGAGTCTTGCTCTGTCGTGCAGGCTGGAGTGCAGTAGTGCAATCTTGGCTCACTGCAACCTCTGCCTCCCAGGTTCAAGTGATTCTCCTGCCTCAGTCTCCTGAGTAGTTGGGATTACAGGCGTGCACCACCATGTCTGGCTAATTTTTGTATTTTTAGTAGAGATGGGGTTTCACCATGTTAGCCAGGCTGGTCTCGAACTCCTGACCACCCACCTCGGCCTCCCAAAGTGCTGAGATTATGGGCCTGTATTGTATTGCATTTCTTCAAAATTGTAACAGAAGACGAAACGTGGCTTTACCAGTACAATCTTAATGACAAAACAGTCAAAGCAATGGCTACCAAGAGTTGGAAGTGGTCCAGGAAAGCAAAGCAGACTGGCCGAGAGTGAAGGTCACGGCAACAGGCTTTTCGGATGCTCAAGGCATTTTGCTTGTTCTCTTTGTGGAGGACCAAAGAAGAATAACATGTACCTACTATCAGAGGGTTTTGAGAAAGTTGGCCAAAGCCTTAGCAGAAAAATGCCCAGGAAGCTTCACCAGAGCCCTTCTCACCCCAACAATGCTCCTGCTCATTCTCCTTATAAAACAAGGACAATTTTGCAAGAGTTTCTATTGGAAATCATTAAGCATCCAACTTTCCCAGTTTGGCTCTTTCTGACTTCTTGTTTCCTCATCTTAAAAAATCTGTAAAGGGCACTCATTTTTCTTCAGTAAACAATGTAAAAAAGACCACATGGGAATTCCTGGGAATTTCACCATGAGGAACCCTCAGTTCTTTAGGGATGGACTAAATGGCTGGTGTAATTACTTACAAAAGTGTCTTGAACTTCATGGTGCTTATATTGAGAAATAAAGTTTATATTTGTATTTTTATTTTTTAATTCCACTTTTCCACAAACTTTTTGAAGTCCCCTCACACATTATATACAGACATATGCACATATACTATACACACATACATGCATGTACACATACACATACGTACTACCCTGATATGCATACACATACATATGCACACATACATACTATACACATATGCATGCACAGACATCTATATGCATACATACACACATGCACATGCATATACACATAGAGATGTGCATTCACCTCCACATACATACATGTGCATGCAAACATACACATATTAACAGATATGCAATATGCAAACACGTAACATATGCACACATAAAAACACACATACATACACATATGCATGATGCATGCACACATTCATGCATTTATGTATAAATACAACCACACATAGCATGTAACTGCACATCGTATATATGTACATATAAACATGCCCATATACACATACATAAAACTTACAAACCTACATACGTGGATACATGTGTACACAAACATACATACATGAATACAAACATATACATACATATGTAAGAGCACTTGGAATTCAGTTTCCTCAGTGATTTTTAACAGCTGGGCTTTCTCTGGACCCGTGGCCTGGCTTTGTTATCTCAAAACAGGGCATCCAGCAGCACATACATAGACAAAGGCATACTCACATGACATACCCATGCATACTACAGGAGCACACATACACATACATACTATTCACACACACGCTATATGCACATACACACAAATGCTCATATGCACATACACACAGGTACATATACATATGCACACATGCATGCACATATATACATATAGGTATGTATCCATACATACAACTATACATGCACATACATCTATGTGCACGTGTGTGCATGAGTGCATGTACATAAGCCTACTTTTATCCTCACACAGCTCAAGCTTGTACAGTTGGTCAGCACCTAGGCTTAAACTGAGAACCCCAGAAGCACCCAGGAGACCCTCACTACACCCCAACCTCCACATACCAGCCACACACACTGGGACCTATTGGTGTGAGCTGTTGTTTCTGACAGAAATATTCTATTTTGGGGTGTTTGGAGGAAGAAGAAAAGGTGAGAACCGTTGAAATCCACTGAGATTGTCAACACATTCTCTACTTCATACCACAACCTTTTCTGTAGCTGACTTATTTCAACTTGAAGACTTCTCTTGGAAACTAACCCTTGGCCGGACAGTAGTGTGGTTACAGATCCAGAGGTTCTCTAAGGACAGCAGATGAGAACAAGAGCCCTAACGCCTTTTTCCCTCTCCCAAGGCCTCGTGCACCTCCAAGTGACAGAAAGCTTTTTGCAAGAGGCAAGCAACGCCCCCTCCCGCTGGCTGCGTGCGACAACAGGAATGCAGCACCTGATGCCCCTGGATCCCTTCCCTCTCTGCCATAGGAGCTTCTGGCTGTGGCACCCGGCACACTGGGCACGAACGCCACAGCCCATCCCACATCTCATCACCATTGTGAGCAGTGCTGCGCCTCCCATCTGTCCTCTGGACACGCATGAGGATTGAGGGCAGCTCAAAGCAGGTGTGGAGTTCTTATTAATTTTAATGAACACTTCACACAGTCCTCTGAAGTGGAGAAGAGGCAAAAAGAGCATTTGAAATTCAGCTTCCTCGGTGATTTTTAACAGCTGGGCTTTCTCTGGGCCATGGCCTGGCTTTTTATCTCAGAATAGGCCATCCAACCGCACCACCTCCTCGAATGGGGGGTGGGGGGTCTCACTTTCCCAACAGGACACTCCCTCAAAGCCCCAGCGCACACCCAGCCAGCCTGTTCAGGGCAGCCCCCACTGCAGCCAGGTCCCCATGTGCAGAGCATGCACTTTGCGGAAGCAGAGGCATCTGGACCCCCACCAATGGGGACAGCCCAGGCTGGCAGCAGCAGCACCTGGGTGCTGTTAAGACCAGTGCAGGGTCTCAGGCCGCCCTCCTGGGCCAGCAGCTGCATTTAAATGAGAGCCCCTGGAGAAACCTGAAGCAGAGCCCCACCTCCATAGATAGGCAGAGAACACAGCCCCCGCCCAGCATGGCCGGAAGCCTCGTCCCACAGACCAGCTCTCTAGAACCCTGCGGGGCAGCCGCTTCACCTGGGGAAGGGAGGATGACACAGATGGGGGGCCCTTGGCCATAGACTGGGATCACCCACAGATTGCAGAGGTATTTGAAGATATGAAACCTCAGGATATTTTTCCAACAGTGGATGGAGGGCCTTCCAAACGTCAGGTCTCATGCTAGGACCTGAAGACGCAAGGATGAGAGCGGATCTGCAGACCCCAGGCCCACTCATGGCAGCAACGCCCTGTGAAGGCTGTGATTTTGATGTCAGAAGTTGAAAACAATGGTTTGGAGTGGCCACAGGCTGGGCAACAGCAGGGCTGGCATGGGAGCAGGGCTGTCACACCCAGGTCCCGCTCTTCCCAGGGATGCTCCTCCCCTTCAGGAGCCCCTTCAAGAAGCACTGGGACAGGTGCTGAGACCCACTTTGTCATCACGCCCAGTGTTATGCCCAGCATCATCGTGTGCAGCATTGTGCCCAGCATCGTCGTGCCCAGATTCACGCTGTTGTCATGCCCAGCATCGTCATACCTAGATCTACCATCATCATGCCCAGCATCGTCATACCTAGATCCACCGTCATCGTGCCCAGCGTCACTGTGCTCAGCGTCATCGTGCCCAGAGTCATTATGCCCAGATCCACCCCATCATCGTGTCCCATCTTCATGCCCAGCATCGTTGTGCCCAGAGCCATCATGCCCAGATGCAGACCGTCATCATGCCCAGTGTCATGCCCAGCATCATCATGCCCCGATCTACCGTTATTATGCCCAGATCCACCCCATCGTCGTGCTCATCGTGCCCTCCATCATCATGCCCAGTGTCATTGTGCCCAGATCCACCCCATCATGCTCATCGTTGTGCCCATCGTCGTGCCCAGCGTTGTGCCCAGCATCACCATGCCATCATCTTGCCCAGCATCATCATGCCCAGATCCACCCCATCGTCATGCCCCCCGTCATCATGCCCCCCATCATCGTGCCCAGTGTCGTCATGCACAGCATCGTGACCAGCGTCATCATGCCCAGGCGAAGTTGAGTTGCAGCCCCCAGTTTGCCCAGGACTGCAGTGGTTCCCAGGACCCTAGAAACCAGGAAGTCTTGGCCCCCAAGTTCCCGCAGAGGTCACTGTTTTTCTCCAGGTGAGTCTCCACAGCATAATGCCATGGAAGCCACAGATGTTCGTGACCGGTCATCAGGGAACTGCCACTGTGCCCCCGCTGCAACGAGCTAGAAAGCTATCCACTAGCACCCAGCTAGCAAGCCCACGGGCAGAAGAGCCAGTGGGCCAGGGGAGTTGGCAGGGCTGTGTCCCACTGGAAAGTGAGACTCCAGGGAGGGTGTGGAGGGTGGTGGCGGCTGAGGTCCTGGTTCCCAGCCCATCTGCGCCCCCTGGGGCCCGGGCACCGCCTACCACACAGGCAGAGCGCCCAGGGTGTCCTAGGTCTCAGGGAGGAGATTCATCCCAGGTTGTGTATAAAAAGTCCTAAGTTTATTCCATTCTCTCTTTGACCTAATGTCCTTGTAAACATATTCCATTCTCTCTTTGACCTAATGTCCTTGAGAATAAACATTATCCAGAACAGAGCACTTACAGCTGACGGAAACAGCCACGATTATCAGAAAGAATGTCAGTTGGTTATTGCAGAGGCCGGAAGTCATGCTCATTCCCTAGTGAGTTCCCATGAACAAAAGCACCAGGGCTCAGACTTTCTTCTGTGCAAACGGAGAATAATAACAGCAACCACCAGGCCACCAGGCACCAGGCAACTGCCGCATCCAAGACATTGTGCGTCTATCCTTCCATTTAACCCTTCTGGGAGTCATGGGAGGTAGATCCCCACCCCCCACCCCCCATTTTACAGGTACAGAAAAAGGGGGCTTGGGAAGACGAAGCTGATTCCAGAAGCTGACATAACTGACAGGTGGTGGAGCCACGATACAGACAGGCCCAGCGAGCCCAGGACTGTCTGGTTCCACGTCTGTGGTCTCTGCACTGCTCAGCTGAGGCTGGGACCGCATTGTGCCTAACAATATTCCTCCCTCCCAGCAAACCACGTCCATCTAGAAATGGGGCTTCTGCTCCAGTTCTGTCCAAGCCATGTGGCCATGGGAAGAGTGGTTGCCTATTCTCTGCATCTCAGGGTCCAACTTAAGTGTGAAGGTGGGATTTCCAGATCCATTACCCTGTGATCCCATTTCTACAAAGGACGAGGTGCACTTCCTTTTGGAGATGTCAGAAGCTGTCACGACTGGCTGTGACTGCTGGAAAAAGTAAATACAATGTTATGACTATCCCTGCCTGACAACTCAGATAATAGAGATGTTAAATAACTTTGCAAAGTCTGCCAGGTATGGCGGCTCATGCCTATAATCCCGGCACTTTGGGAGGCCAAGGTAGGCGGATCTCTTGAGGTCAGGAGTTCAAGACCAGTGTGGCCAATGTGGTGAAACCCCGTCTCCACTAAAAATACAAAAATTAGCCGGGCGTGGTGGTGGGCGCCTGTAATCCCAGATACTCAGGAGGCTGAGGCAGGAGAATCACTTGAACCCGGGAGGCAGAGGTTGTAGTGAGCCAAGATTATGCCACTGTACTCCAGCCTTGACAACAGAGCGAGAGTGAGACTCTGTCTCAAAAAAAAAAAAAAAAAAAGTAAAAAAGAAGAAAAGAAACTTTCCAAACTCATGGGTCCAAGCTGAGGCACAGAGTAGACCCCTGAGTGCTAAACGCCCCTCCCCTAAGCTGACTCCCTGGGATGCCAAATGCCACATCCCTTTATGGACTCCTAGCCCTCCCTGTCTCCAGATTTCAGAAACCCTGAATTACGAGTAGCCTCCCGAGTGCCTTCCCTAACCCCCGCCCTGGGCTGGGTCCATGGCCCCCCACCCACCACAAGGCAGCCAAGAACGCTGTCTCAGCAGTCGCTGTCCTGCACATCCTGCCTCAGGCTCACCCTCCATCCGTGCCCACCCCTCAGCAGGGACCTGAGGCCTGCTTGAGCATGGAAGCCTGACCTACACCTGAACATCAGTGGGGACAGGCCTCGGAGCCTGAAAAAGCCTGCTGCCACTTCTAAGTGGGAGAAGGAAGGAAGAAAGGAGGGAGGGAGAAGGGAATTCCTCAGAGGTTTTAATAGAGAATCCTTGCCGCCTTGGATCAGCAAACCATTGTGTTTGTGGATCCTTTGATTAAGATTCTTTAAGAGGTAGAAATGAAAAGAGTCTATCAGACTTTAACCCCATATCTCTGGGGTAGTCAATGTATGTTTAATGACCCTCTGTAAATCTATCAATCTAATACTTAGGAATAACTACTATATCAGGGACTTGGAACCACTTACTCGCAGGATGGCAGAGTGTGATCCACAAATCCCTACCCTTGAGGAATGTATAATCTAATTAGGAAGACAAGACATGCACACATGGGTGATGTTAGGAGGATGGCAGAAGAGGAGCTTTCTACCATAGTCCCCCCAAAGAAGCTTCCATGTTGACAACTCCCCATGAACAAAAGTGTCTTTGTAGGAGTCTGGAAGTCCAGTGGAGAAGTTCCAGCACACTGTTAGAGAAAAAAATCCAAGAATAGATGCACTGATGAGGGTAAGAACAGTTTCACTTTACCCGTGTGACCGTTTCCCACAACTGTAAGCTGAGCAACTGTGAGCTGAGCAACACAGCTCAGTGCCCAGGGAAACCCCCTTGGCCCATGTTTTTTCCCACTGGAGTAAGTGAAAGTGTAGTAAGTGAGCTTCCAGCTCCCCCAGCCATGCAGGATGCTGCCCAAAAAAAGTCTGCTTCTTTCTTGTCTCACCTCCAATACTGAGGTGACTGACATGGAGGAGAAGTTGGGAGAGACTGGGAGCTAGGAAGAAAGGCTATGGACCCTAATAATTGCTCTGCAGATTTTATTAGGAAGCCCCCCAACAAGCTGATGGAGACGCCTTTCCTGTGAACCATCCCAACTGGACCACGGGCACCCAAATGCTCACATGCTTCACCCAACACTCTGCCAGCTCCCCAAAGGCACCCCCACAGATGGCAAGTGCCAGCATCTCACACAGACAGATAGCTTGACTGTGTGGGATGGGGAGGGAGAAGGCACAAGAACTTGAGCATTTCAGAGCACTGCCCTAGGGGAAACTAATGAGAGGCTAGTAGCACCTAGACTGCCTTTGTGGGATCAAGAAAAGGCATATACTCTTTAAAAATTCACCCCTCTCCAAGAGAAGCAAAAGGTGTGGAGCAGGTGCATCCACAGAAATGGTCTGAGAGAGCCTCAGAATCCCTAGCCAGGCTGTTTTGTAAAGAAATCTCTCTCCCAAAAAAAGTCCATAAAGACTAGAGGAGGTGACTGCTTTTGCAAATGAGAAAACAGCAATGCAAGACTTCAAGGAATATAAAGTATCAAGGAAACATGACATTACCAAAGGAACACAATAATACTCTAGTAAACCAATCCCAAAGAAATGGAGATCTACAAATTGCCTAACAAAGAACTCAAAATAATCATTTTAAGGAAGCTCAATGAGATACAAGAGAACATAGACACACAACTCAACAAAATCAGAAAAACAATACATTAAAAATGAGGAATTCAATGAAGAGATAGAGATTTTTTTTTAAAAAAAGAACCAAACAGAAACTCTAAAGCTGAAGAACAGAATGAATAAAATTTAAAATACAGCAGACAGCATCAAGAGCAGAATTGATCAAACAAAAGAAAAGAAAGAATATGTGAGCTTGATGACAGGTCATTTAAAAATATTCAATCAGAGAAGAGAAAAGAAAAAAGGCATTAAAAGAAATTAAGAAAGCCTGTGAGATCTAAAGGACACCATCAAGAAAGCTAACATTCACATTATGGAAGTTGTATTAGGAGAATATAGAGAGAAGCTAATAGAAAGCTTATTTAAAGAATTAATGCCTAAAAAACTTTCCAAACTTGGGAGTGATGTGGACATCAAGGTACATGAAGCTTAAAGTCTCCAAATAGGTTCAACCCACAGAAAACTTCACCAAGATACATTATAATCAAACTACCATAAATCAAAGACGAGAAGAGAATTTTGAAAGCAGAAAGAGAAAAGAAACTCATCACATCCAAGAGAACCCTCATAAGGCTATCAGCAGACTTCTCAGCAGAAAACTTGCAGGCCAGGAGAAAGTGGGATCATATATTCAAAGTACTGAAAGAAAAAAACTGGCAATAAGATTATGTACTCACAAAGCCATCCTTCAAAAATAAAGGAAACATTAAGAGTCTCCCAGATACACAAAAGCTAAAGAAGTTCCCACTAGACTTCCCTTACAAGAAATGTAAAGGAAAGTTCTTCAAGCTGAAACAAAAGGATGCTAATTAGTAACATGAAAACATTTAAAAGTGTAGAGATAACTGATAAAACTATATACTTGCCTTAGTCTGTTTTCTGTTGCCATTACTGAATATCTGTGACTGGGTAATTTATAAAGAAAAGAAATTCTTTTTTACAGTTCTAGAGGCTGGGAAATCCAAGGTCAAGAGGCCACATCTGATGAGAACTCTCCACAGAGTCTTGAGGTAGCACAGGGCATCACACAGTAAGGAGGCCCACGAGAGAGGCCACCTGGCTTTTATAATAGTCCCACTCTCATGATAACTAACCCACTCCTGTAATAACCCATTAATCTATTAACTCATAAATGGATCAATCCATTCATAATGTCAGAGAACTCATGATCCAGTCACCTCCTAAAGGCCCACTCTCTCAATACTATTACATTAAAGATCAAGTTTCAACGTGAGTTTTGGAGGGGGCAAACATTCAAATGATAGCAATAGTCAAATTCAGAATACTCTGATGGTGTAATGGTTATGTGTAAATCATATATAACTCTAGTATAAAGGTTAAAAGACAAAGATATTAAAATAACTATAGCCACAATAATTTGTTGTTGTTGTTTGTTTGTTTTTAGAGACAGGGTTTCACTCTCTCACCCAGGCTGGAGTGCAGTGACATCATCATAGCTCACTGCAGCCTCCAGATCCTGGGCTCAAACAATCCTCCTGCCTCAGCCGAGACTACAGGCACATACCACCCAGCTAATATATTTTACTTTTTTTTTTTTTTTTTGAGATGGAGTCTCATTCTGTCGCCCAGGCTGGAGCGCGGTGGCACAATCTCAGCTCACTGCAAGCTCCACCTCCCGGGTTCAAGCGATTCTCCTGCCTCAGCCTCCTGAGTAGCTAGGACTACAGGCGAGCACCCGGCTAATTTTTGTATTTTTAGTAGAGACGAGGTTTCACCATGCTGGCCAGGCTGGTCTTGAACTCCTGACCTCGTGATCCACCCGCCTCAGCCTCCCAAAGTGCCAGGATTACAGGTGTGAGCCACTGCACCTGGCCCAATGATTTGTTAATAGATGTACAATAAAAAAGATGTAAATTGTGATATCAAAAACATAAAATGGGGGGTGGGTGTAAAAGTGTAGAATTTTGTGTGTGATCAAAGTTAAGTTGTTATTAGTTTAGCATAGACTGTTATAACTATAAAATGTTTTATATAAGCCTTGTGGTAACCACAAATAAAAAACCTAGTACATACACAAAAGAAAGAAAAAGGAATCAATGCATACTACTACAGAAAATTATCAAACCACAAAGGAAAACAGCAAGAGAGGAAGAAGGAAACAAAGGATCTACCAAGTGACCAGAAAACAATTAACAAAATGGCAATGGCAAATCCTTAACTATCAATAATTACTTTAAATGTAAATAGATTAAATTATCCAATCAAAAGACACGGAGTAGCTTAATAAAAATAAATAAATAAAAAGAAGACCCAACTATATACACTGCCTACAAAAGACACACTTCAGCTTTAAGATCACACATAGACTAAAAATGAAGGGATGGAAAAAGATATTCCACACAAATTGAAACCAAAACAGAATAGGCGTAGCTATATTTATTTTATATCAGACAAAATAGACTATGTCAAAAACTGTAGCCAAGAGTAAAAAAGGGTTTTTATATAATGATAAAAGGTCAATTCATCAAGAAAACATAATCATTACAAATATACACACATTCAACATTGGAGCACCTAAATATGTAAAGCAAATATTAACAGATCTGAAGGGCAAACAGATAGAATACACTAATAGTAGGGGACTTCAATACCTCACTTTCAACAATGGAAAGATCACCCAGACAGAAAATCAGTAAGAAAACATTGTACATAAACTACACTTTAGACCGAATGGAGCTAACAGAGAACATTCCATCCAACAGCAGCAGAAAACACATTCCTCTCCAGTGCACACGGAACATTCTTTGAGATAGCTCATACGTTAGGCCACAAAACAAGTCTTAACAAATTCAAGGAGACTGAAATCATATCAAGCGTCTCTTCTAACCACAACAGGATAAAACTAGGAATCAGCAAGAGGAGGAAAACGAAAATTCACAAATACGAGAAAATTAAACAACACATTCCTGAACAATCCATGAGTCAAAAAAGAAATCAAAAAATATCTTGAAACAAATGAAAATGAAAACACAACATACAAAAACTTATGGGCTACAGCAAAAAGATATTCTAAGAGGAAATTTTATAACAATAAATACCTACATGGAGGGAAAATAAAGATTACAAATAAACAATCTAACTTTACACCATAAGGGACTAGAAAAAAACAAGCAAATGAAGCCCAAAGTTAGCAGAAGTAAGGAAATAACGAAGATCAGAGCAGAAATAATCAAAGAGAGACTAGAAAAGCTGTAGCAAAGCGACAAAACTAAGAGTTGCTTTTTGAAAAGGCAAAAAAAAAAATTGACGAACCTTTAGCTAGACGAAGAAAAAAGAGGTAACTCAAATAAAATCAGAAATGCAATGGAGAAATTACAACTGATACCACAGAAATATGAAGGGTCATAAGAGAGTAATACGAATAATTATACATCAAAAATTTGAATAACCTAGAAGAAATGGATAAATTCCTAGAAACATACAACCCACAAAGACTGAATAATGAAAAAATACTAAATTTGAACAGATCTGTAATGAGACTGATTCTGTAGTCAAAAATCTCCAATCGAAGAAAGGCCCAGGACCTGGTAGCCTCATGCCAAACTTTACCAAAAATTTAAATAGGAATTAATACCAATCCTTCTAAAATCTTACAAAAAATTGAAGAGGAGAGAATACTTCTGAACTAATTTTTAAAAGCCAGCATTACCCTGATACCAAAGCCAGACAAGAACAATACAAGAAAAAAAGATTACAGGCCAATATCCCTGATGAACACAGATGCAAAAATCTTCAACACAATGCTAGCAAACCAAATTTAACAGCACATTAAAAAGATTATACACGGCCGGGAGCGGTGGCTCATGCTTGTAATCCCAGCACTTTGGGAGGCCAAGGCAGGTGGATCACCTGAGGTCAGGATTTCAAGACCAGCCTGGCCAACATGGTGAAACCTCATCTCTACTAAAAATACAAAAATTTGCTGAGCGTGGTGGTGCGTGCCTGTAATCCCAGCTACTTGGGCGGCTGAGGCAGGAGAATCGGTTGAACTCAGGAGGCGGAGGTTGCAGTGAGCCGAGATCATGCCATTGCACTCCAGCCTGGGCAACAGAGCAAGACTCCGTCTCAAAAACAAAAGTATTATACACCATGATCAAGCAAAATTTATGCCTGGGATGGTTCAACATACAGAAATCAATAAATGTGATATGCCACATTAACAGAATGAAGAATAAACATCATATTATCATCAGTAGATGCTGAAAGAACGTTTGACAAAACTCAGTGTTGTTTCATGATAAAAGCTCTCAAGAAAGCACATATACAAAGAATGCACCTCAACACAATAAAGGCCATGTATGAGAAGTCCACAGCTAACATCATACTCACTGGTGAAAAGCTGAAAGCTTTACTCTAAAATCAGAAACAAGGCAAGGATGCCCATTCTCGCCTCTTGTATTCAATATAGTGCTGGAAGTCCTAGCCAGAACAATTAGGCAAGAAAGAAAAAAGGAAAGTGGAAAGGAGAGAAAAGGAAAGGGGAAAGGAAAGAAAAGGAAAGAGAGAAAGAAAGGAAGAGAAAGGGAGAGGGAGGGAGGGAGGCGGGAAAGAAGGAGGGAGGGATCCATCCAAATTGGAAAGGGAGAGGTAAAGCTGGCTCTGTTTGCAGATGGCATAATCTTATATAAATAAAACCCTAAAGACTCCACTAAAAACTGGTTAGCACTAATAAACAAATTCAGTAAAGTTGCAGGATACAAAATCAACACACGAAAATCAGCAGCATTTCTATACACTAACAATGAGCCACCTGAAAAAAATTAAGGAAACAATCTCCTTGACTGTAGCACCAAACAGAATGACATATTTAGGAATAAATTTAACCAAGGAAGTGTTGTGTACCTGTACACTGAGAACTATGAAACATTGAAGACACAAATAAATGGAAAAAATATCTGTTCGTGGATCAAAAGAATTAATATTTCAAAATGTCCATACTACCCAATGCAATCTACAGATTCAGTGCAATCTCTATCAAAATTCCAAAGGCACTTTTCAGAGAAATGGAAAAAAAAATCCTAAAATTCATGTAAAACCATAAAAGGTCATGTATAGCCAAAGCAGCCTTAAGCAAGAAAAACAAAGCTGAAGGCATCACACTTCCTGATTTCAAATTATATTACAGATAGATGGTAATCAAACCAGTATACTTGCTCAAACAAGCACTGGCATAAAAACAGACACATAGACAATAGAGCAGAGAAGAAAGCACAGAAATAAGCCCATGAGTGCATATACAGTCAACTAACCTTCAACAAAGGCACAAAGAATTCACAATGCTATTGGGAAAACTGAATATTCACATGCAAAAAAACAAAACTGAATCCTTGTCTTATACCATACATAAAAATCAGCTCAAAATAGAAGACTTAAATGTAATACCTGAAATCACAGAACTCCTAAAAGAAAATGTAAGGGAAAAGTTCCTTGACATTGGTCTTGGCAATGATTTTTTGGGATATGACCCCAAAAGCACATGCAACAAAAGCAAAAATAAATAAGTGGTACTAACCTATCCAACTAACAAGTTTCTGCATAGCAAAGAAAGCAATCAACAAAACAGAAAGGTACCTATGGAATGGAAGACAGTATTTGCAAACCATATATCTGATAAGAGGTTAATATCCAAAATATGTAAGGAATTCATACAACTCAATAGCCGAAAAACAAATAACCCAATTTAAAAATGGGCAAAGAATCTGAATAGATATTTTTCTAAGAAGACATACAAATGTCCAACAGGTTTATGGAAAGGTGGTCAACATCATCAATTATCAAGAAAATAGAAACTAAAGCCACAATGAGACATTACCTCACACCTGTTAGGATGGCTGGTATCAAAAAGTCAAAAGAGATTAAGCATTGGAGAAGATGTGGAGAAAGGCGAGCCCTTAGACATTGCTGGTGGGAATGGAAAACAGTACAGAGGCTCCTTGAAAAAATCAAAAGCGACAACTCAGTGGTGGCCACTGCGCAGACCAGACTTCTCTCGTTCTCGCACGCCTCGCTCCGCTTTTCCTCCACAACCATGTCTGACAAACCCGATATGGCTGAGATCGAGAAATTCGATAAGTCGAAACTGAAGAAGACAGAGACTCAAGAGAAAAATCCACTGCCTTCCAAAGAAACGACTGAACAGGAGAAGCAAGCAGGCAAATCGTAGTGAGGCGTGCGCCGCCAATATGCACTGTATATTCCACAAGCATTGCCTTCTTATTTTACTTCTTTTAGCTGTTTAGCTTTGTAAGATGCAAAGAGATTGGATCAAGTTTAAATGACTGTGCTGCCCCTTTCACATCAAAGAACTACGGACAACGAAGGCCGCGCCTGTCTCTCCCATCTGTCTGGCTGGCTGGCAGGGAAGGAAAGAACTTGCATGTTGGTGAAGGAAGAGGTGGGGTGGGATGACAGTGAAATCTAGAATAAAACCAAGCTGGCCCAAGGTGTCCTGCAGGCTGTAATGCAGTTTAATCAGAGAGCCATTTTTTTCTTTTTGTCAAATGATTTTAATTATTGGAATGCACAATTTTTTAAATATGCAAATAAAAAGTTTAAAAACTTAAAAAAAAAAAAGAAAAGAAAAAATCAAAAGCAGAACTACCACATGATCCAACAATGTCACTACTGGGTCCATAGCCAAAGGAATGAAATCGGATCTTGAAGAGATCCCTACAGTTTCATGCTGACTGCAGCATTATTCACAACAGCCATCACATAAAAACAACCTACGCGTCTGTTGACCAATCAGTGGATAAAGAAAACATGGCACATATATAACGGAATATTATTCAGTCTTGAAATATAAGAAAATCCCAGCATTTGTGACCTGGATGAACCTGGAGGGCATTACGCTAAGTGAAATAAGAATGTTCCAGTCCTCTCCCTCTCCCCACAGTCTCCCTCTCCCTCTCCCCACGGTCTCCCTCTCCCTCTCCCCACGGTCTCCCTCTCCCTCTCTTTCCACGATCTCCCTCTTGATGCTGAGCCGAAGCTGGACTGTACTGCTGCCATCTCGGCTCACTGCAACCTCCCTGCCTGGTTCTCCTGCCTCAGCCTGCAGAGTGCCTGGGATTGCAGGCGTGCGCCGCCATGCCTGACTGGTTTTCGTATTTTTTTGGTGGAGACGGGGTTTCGCTGTGTTGGCCGGGCTGGTCTCCAGCTCCTAACCGGGAGTGATCTGCCAGCCTCGGCCTCCCGAGGTGCCCGGATTGCAGACGGAGTCTCGTTCACTCAGTGCTCAATGTTGCCCAGGCTGGAGTGCAGTGGCGTGATCTCGGCTTGCTACAACCTCCACCTCCCAGCCGCCTGCCTTGGCCTCCCAAAGTGCCGAGATTGCAGCCTCTGCCCGGCCGCCACCCCGTCTGGGAAGTGAGGAGTGTCTCTGCCTGGCCGCCCATAGTCTCGGATGTGAGGAGCCCCTCTGCCCGGCTGCCCAGTCTGGGAAGTGAGGAGCGCCTCTTCCCGGCCGCCATCCTGTCTGGGAAGTGAGGAGCGTCTCTGCCCGGCCGCCCATCGTCTGAGATGTGGGGAGCGCCTCTGCCCCGCCGCCCTGTCTGGGATGTGAGGAGCGCCTCTGCCCAGCCACGACCCCGTGTGGTATCTGAGGAGTGTCTCTGCCCGACCGCCACCCCGTCTGGGAGGTGAGGAGCGTCTCTGCCCGGCCGCCCCGCCTCAGAGGTGAGGAGCCCCTCCGCCGGGCAGCCGCCCCGTCTGAGAAGTGAGGAGCCCCTCCACCCAGCAGCCGCCCCGTCTGGGAAGTGAGGAGCATCTCCACCCGGCAGCCCCCCCGTCCGGGAGGGAGGTGGGGGGCAGCCCCCGCCCGGCCAGCCGCCGCGTCCGGGAGGGAGGTGGGGGGCAGCCCCTGCCCGGCCAGCCGCCGCGTCCGGGAGGGAGGTGGGGGGCAGCCCCTGCCTGGCCAGCCGCCCCATCTGGGAGGTGGGGGGAGCCTCTGCCCGGCCACCGCCCTGTCCGCGAGGTGGGGGGCGCCTCTGCCCAGCCGCCCCCTTCTGGGAAGTGAGGAGCCCCTCTGCCCGGCCGCCACCCCGTCTGGGAGGTGTACCCCACAGCTCATTGAGAATGGGCCATGATGACGATGGCGGTTTTGTCAAATAGAAAAGGGGGAAATGTGGGGAAAGGATAGAGAAATCAGATTCTTGCTGTGTCTGTGTAGAAAGAAGTAGACATGGGAGACTCCATTTTGTTCTGTACTAAGAAAAATTCTTCTGCCTTGGGATGCTGTTAATCTTTGACCTTACCCCCAACCCCCTGCTCTCTGAAACATGTGCTGTGTCCACTCAGGGTTAAATGGATTAAGGGCGGTGCAAGATGTGCTTTGTTAAACAGATGCTTGAAGGCAGCATGCTCGTTAAGAGTCATCACCACTCCCTAATCTCAAGTACCCAGGGACACAAACACTGCGGATGGCCGCAGGGTCCTCTGCCTAGGAAAACCAGAGACCCTTGTTCACTTGTTTGTCTGCTGACCTTCCCTCCACTGTTGTCCTATGACCCTGCCAAATCCCCCTCTGCGAGAAATACCCAAGAGTGATCAATAAATACTAAAAATAAATAAATAAATAAATAAAATCCCTTTAAAAAAAAAAGAAAGAAAATATTTCTCAGTGGATTCCTGAGAAAGGGTGCATATGAGGTACATTGTTGTGAACTGAAATACATGAAAATATTTTATTCTGCTCTCAGCCTTGATGGATAGTTTAGCTGGGTGTAGAATTCTTGAATGGAAATAAGTTTCCCTCAGGATTTTAAAGGTACTGTTCTTTCTTCAACTGCTAATATTGGGAAGACTGATGTTATTCGGATTCCTAATTCTTTGTATGTGATATTTAGTGTCTGGAAAATTTTGGATTTTGTTTTTATCTTTGTGTTCTGAAATTTCAAAGTCAGTTGTCTTGGTATGAAACTTTTTTTCGTTTACTTTGCCAGGTTTCTGGTAGTTCTGTTCAATCTAGATACTCATGTCCTTTCATTATAAGAAATTTTCTTCTACAACTTGTGCAACTTTAGGAGTTTTACTCTGAGCACCCTTATTGGTCATCCTGTCCTTCTGTATTGCCTATAAAAAATATCTGTGTTGAAGATTTTTTAAAGCTTTACTTAGAATTGTTCCTCTCTAAACTTAATAAATGGAAAGCTGATTTAAAAAAAAGAAAAAAAAAGAATGTTCCAGCTCTTGCTTAGGATGAGGGGTACGGGCGAGGGCAATGGTCAAAACTGATTGCACGGTAATCTCAAAATGAGAATGACCATAAATTATACCTCAAAAACGTTTCAAAAAACAGCGTATGGGCTTAAATATATATTTAATTATCTTTGTGTTGTTATAATAATTTTTTTTAATTGGAAACAACTTAACTCTCCAATGTTAAAAGATTGGTTGGGGGGTTGGCTAACTGTAGTATATGTTCTCATAGAATGATGTGTACATACTGAGAAAGCATTTCTAGAGACAATCTTTAATGACTTGGAAAAAATGTATTACTTGAGGCCAGGAGTTCGAGACCAGCCTGGCCAACATGGTGAAACCTAGTCTCTACTAAAAATACCCCCCAAAAAAAAATTAGCTGGGTGTGATAGCACATGCCAGCTACTCAACAGGTTGAGGCAGGAGAATAGCTTGAACCTGGGAGGAGAAGGTTACAGTGAGCCAAGACTGTGCCACTGCACTCCAGCCTGGGCAACAGAGCAAGACTCAGTCTCAAAAAAAAAAAAAAGAAAGAAAGAAAGAAAAAGAAAAAACACTTAAAAAAATTTTAAGCAGTAACAAGGAGTATATAAAGATAATAGCCACCATATATTTAACCCCTGCCATGCACTGTGCAGCTACTTTACACATGATACATTTCCTTTACACGTATGATCTAGCTCCCATGAGCCTCGGCACAGTCCCACGAGGCAGGCAGAATCACACGACTTTACGAAGGAGGAGACAGACGCAAAGTGATGAGGGTCCTATCTGTGTACTCTGCCACGCCGCCTTCATAACGACACTGATTCACTTAGCGCTCACAAATGATCTGGAAGCTGTTATTCCCGTCTTACAGATGAGGCTTAAAGGGGCCAGGAGCCTCTGCTGAGTTCCAGGACACACTTTCTTTCCTAGAGCCCCACAGGTCAGCACAAGGAGCAGTGCTGAAGGACCACTCTCCCCTCCCTGCTCCCGACCCAAGTCCCATGCCGTCTGCCTCCCTGGGACCCAGAGGGCAGGGCCTGTCCTCTCTGGAACCACCACCCCCACCTCCCCACCCGGCTCTAGCAGGAGCGGTGCCTCCATCCTCAGAGCTCTGAGGGCCGGCCCAGGGCTGCAGGTACCTTTTTCTCCCGTGGGGCCGACTCTTCCAGGCCGTCCGGGGGCGCCTTTGTCTCCCTTCTCTCCCGCATCCCCTGTGGAAGAAGTCACATCCATTTAGCAGCTCGTCTGGCCAGCACAGCGTCTCAGAGTGATTTGTGGAGGAAGAACAGTTAGAAGCGTTCTCCCCGGGTCCCTGCAGGTGGCCAAGCCCCTTCTCTCCCTACCTCCCTCCCCGCCTGCAGCCCAGCCGCTACTCTGGGTGCCCCTGATTCTGCTTTTAGGGCTATTTGTCTCCCTGCCCTACCTTCTCTCTTAGAAAGGGCCTGTGTTTCTCTCACCAGTTACCCCTCTTGGCGGGCTCCTAGTCTGTCCCTGGGTGCACAGTGCCGCGTCTAAACGCCGGCTCTCCCCAACCCTAACACCAATGAGAAGGGCGGCAGCGTCTCCAGGCGCCCCCATGGGAAGCGTCACCCCGACCTCTCCCTGAGCTTCATCTGCTTGGTACTCAGGGAAGGATGAACTATGTCAGCATCCCACTGGCCCCATCAGTGTGAGCCCCCCAGGGCACAGGCTCCTGCTCAGCCAGGGCCTCCACCACGGGGGCTGCCTGTGACCAGGTGGGCACGTCCACCCACTTCCAAGGCTCAGCAGGTGCAGGAGACAGAGGGTGAATCACTGGTGGAGACACCCTACAAGGCACAGTTCAGAGATGTGCGCAGTGAGGCCAGGGGCCTCAGGAAGGCCTGTGGACACCAACACCTCCACTCCAGTCTTCTCCCCCCACTCTAATCCACACCAAAATGACTGTCCTGAAACAAATGGAATTCTATTATGTCTCTAGATTCAGCTATAAATGACGTGCAGTACTTGAGCCTCTCCTCAGTGTGGTCTCTACATCGGACCCCGGTCTTTCCCTACTCTGTGCCCTCTGCCCAGCCTGCCTGGTCAGCCGGCTCCTGTCCAGGGTCCGCCTTCTCACCTGGTTCTCCGGGAGGCTCTTCCGGATTCTCTCAACAGGGCCACTCTGCTGGCTGGGACTCGGCTCTGTAGTCATTTTTATAAGGCCGTATTTCTTACCTGTTGCACTATCCCTCCTCTGAATGGTTGCAGACAGGGAGTGTGTGTGCATGTGTGTGCATGTGTGCATGCGTGTGCGTGGGTGCGTGGGTGCATGTGTGTGCGTGTGTCCGCATGTGCATAGGTGTGCACGTGTATGTGTGCGCGTGTGTGCGCTGATATGCTACAAGTTCACCTTCCCTCTCTGCACAATTGTGCCAGCGTTCACGTAAACTTTACTTCTCTATAACTCTCCATTTGCACCTTTGTGGGCAGCCAGCCATCCAGGTGCCGAGGCAAGAGACCGAGGGCACGAGCTGTTCCAGTATGATAAAATATACAAAACAACCCTATATATAGAGAGAGCATATAGAGTATAACTCTTGTTGTTTTATATATTTTATCATACTGGACCAGCTCGTGCCCTCGGTCTCTTGCCTCGGCACCTGGACGGCTTGCCGCCCACACACGTTGTGGCCCACACACCTTGTCTTGGAGAGAGGCTCAGTTGAGATTACAGATCCCTCCACAAAATCCCCAAAGCTGATTATCTGGCCTCACGGAGGGGACTTTCCATTTAAATCCAAGTAACAAAGAGAAAAGCACAGCGATGGTGGCAGGCCCATCCCCACATCACCCCCGTGCCACAGCCCCAGCCCCGCAGGGCCACCTACTGAAAAGCCTGTGGGCTGCCCCTGGGCTGACCCACGATCAACACCCACATGCTGCTCTGAGGCTCCAAGTAGTTCTCAAGTTTGCTTTCTTATCTTGTAAGAAGAAAAGAGAAGTATTGACAGTTTAGCAAGAAATATCCACTAACAAGATAAACTCAGCATTAAGAATCCCCAGAGGTTTCAGGGGCACCAGCATCGTGCAGAAGAAAGAACAGAGAAGACGGAACAGTGGAGCAGCCGGACGCTGACTGTGCAATCGGTGAATGGAGGTCCTCATAACATGGGAGAGGCCAGTCCGGGAACAACAGCACACTGCAGCGGAAAGAGCCGAGCAGAGACGCTGTGCGGGAGCCACTCCGCAGAAAGGCGAGTCCCCGGTGACCCAGGATGAAGAGGCCTCGTGGAGCCAGCGGTGAGGAGGAAGCATTGTTCACAGGGCAGCACTAATAAGAAATGCAGGCTTTGTTTGTTTGTTTTGAAGTTACGAAGTTGAGAGTTGAAGGAAAAACTCACAAATGCCAATGTCGCTCTGACAGCAATTCCGGAAAGAGAGGAACAAAGCCTTCGTGGCTGCGAAGATTTAGTAGCTGCGATTTCCCAGTGCTAAGGAAAGCCATGAAAGAACTCTGTGAAAGGGCCTGCGGAGAACCACACGGGGAAAATCAGAGAAAAGTAACTCAGACATGTCAGAGCAACATCACAGAACACCAAGAATAAAGAGAAAATGCTGTCAGCTACCCAGGAGGGAAAAACAGGTTTAAAGACTGCATACCTGTGAATGAGAATCAGATGGACATAAGAATTCTCATTAGCAACACCGGACGCAAGAATAAAATGAGGCAATAACCTCAACAAAGGAGCCATAATTTAGACGGCAAGATCCGAAAAGCCCCTCTGAGGGGTGGTTCTCAGGCTAAGCTGCTGAGCAGGGGTAGCCAGGCACAGAGTAAGAAGTGTTCTGAGGACAGGGTCAGCAGGTGCACAGACAAGGGGGAAGGGCTGGAGGGGATGACGGGAAGCCAGGTGGTTGGGCAGAGCGAGCCACGAGCCCGAGGCAGTAGGCAGCCCAGGGACTTCATGCCTGGAGCTCATGGGGATAACCTGACCACCCATGCCACGGTCCAGGCCAATAGTGATTGTGGCTGAGATGAGGGCGGAAGAATGTTTCCTTCATAAAGCATTTCACACCGCCTACATGACAGCAGTCTGCTCTTTCTCCCACTGGCTGAAAACTCTGAGAAGACACAGCTCCATCTCACCCAACCCTCGGTCCCCCAGAGCACCAGGAAGAAGGCGGGTGCTCCATCAGTACTCGTAAAGAATTAACACTAAGCAGGTCTGCCAGCTCTTCTCATACTGCTTAAGAAAGCTCCTGGAGTTTGTACACGGCATTCACTTATTTGCATAATAATTTCACCTCTCCCCCTACATGGGGCGGGCACTATGTCCACTCTAGAGGTGAAGACACAGCTACGAGAATCAAGTGACATGTCCAAGCTGGGATGTGCTGGCACGCCAGTGTGTCTTTACCACACCTTGCTCAGGCTTCAAAACCCCAGAGCGAGACTCACTAACCAGCATGACTACTCACCCTCGTCTCCTCTCCTCCTAAAGATAAAGCAGTAAGGACAAGTTTGTCATGATAGCTTCTGACCAACCTCCACCTGCATCCATCTGCCTGTCTCTAATCTGATTTTTAAAAACTGGTTGGCCAGGTGCAGTGGCTCATGCCTGTGATCCTGGCACTTTGGGAGGCCAAGGCAGGAGGATCATTTAAAGGCAGGAGTTTGAGACCAGCCTGGGCAACACAGCAAGACCCCATCTCTACAAAAAAATTAGCAGGGGTTGGGCATGGTGGCTCACACCTGTAATCCCAGCATTTTGGGAGCCCAAGGCGGGTGGATCACCTGAGGTCAAGAGTTTGAGACCAGCCTGGTCAACATGGTGAAACCCCGTCTCTACTAAAAATACAAAAATTAGCCAGGCGTGGTAGCGGGTGCCTATAATCTCAGCTACTCTGGAGGCTGAGGCAGGAGAATCGCTTGAACCCAGGAGGCAGAGGTTGCAGTGAGCCAAGATCACGCTATTGCACTGCAGCCTGGGCAACAAGAGCGAAACTCCATTTCAAAAAAAAAAATAGCAGGATGTGTTGCTGTGCACCTGTAGTCCCAGCCACTCAGGAAGCTGATGTGGGAGGAGCTCTTCAGCCCAGGAGTTGCAGGCTGCAGTTAGCTATAAGTGCACCACTGCACTCCAGCCTGAGTGACAGAGCAAGATCCTGTCTCTAAAAAAAAAAAAAAAAAAAAAAAAAAAAAAAAAATCAAAGAAAAATAGTTCATAGTAACAACTGGAGGCACGGAAAGAGACCCTGAAAAGCACCACACATTACACTGTGTCCCACAAACTCTCGTTACTAAAGCAGGAGAGAAAGAATCATAAGTCATTAAAAACAGCAAGACTTTCTAAAGAAGAGGATTTAACACACGTTTTCTTTATATCTCTCAGCTAATCACAAAATCCACTTACATGCCATCTCCCAAGGGCTCTGCTTAATGGACCTGTGTCTGTAGTTGTACAGGGCCAGGCGCATTTCAGCCAGTGCTGGGCAGCAGGCACCCCAAATGCCTCACGGCTGTGCCTGCAGTGTGGGGAACCCAAACCTGGAGTCAGAAACTGCTTTCCTTCCTGTGCAAAACCCAGCGTAAGCCCTCCCAGCCTGGTCCTCCTCAGCTCTGATGGGGATTGAACAAAATATGCCCTGGAAGACACCGTGCTGGTTGTCACGAGAAAAAGTATTTTAATCCCTGGTTCAGGACCAACAGCACTGAGGACCAGAGAGTACAGAGGCCTCCCATCCACGGCGGGGCTGCCCTGGTTTCTCCACGGTCCCCGTCGCCTCCGCCTTGTAGACTTGCCCTGTCCACGCATCTTAAGAACCAAGGCTGTTTTCAAGCACTGTTCACAATTTGGCAGGGTTGTTTTTTTGTTTTGTTTTGTTTTTGTTTTTTGTTTTCCAGAGATGGGGTCTTACTCTGTTGCCCTGGGTAGACTCAAACTCCTGGGCTCAAGTCATCCTCCCACCTCGGCTTCCCAAAGTGCCGGGATCACAGGCGTGACCCACTGCACCTGGCCAATTTGGCAAGGTTTGAAGTGTTCATTGTCCACTGGTCCCAGGGGTCATAAAGATGTATGTCCCTGCAGGTAATGACTCCAGAGCAGGATTTCTATACACGTCCCCACTCAACACTCCATGCATTTTGTAATGTAGACCCAGCGAGCACAATGACATTTTTCCCACATCCTTTTCATTTTCAGGATGATTGACTACATAAAGTTCTAATGACAAGTTATTTCTCTACCAGGAGAGGCTAACATTTCAACTGCTGGCTCACTTCCACCATCACCACAACGCAGCTCTCTCCTCGCTCAAAGAAACAAAACGTGGCTGACATTTACTGTTTGCTTGGCTTCCCTGCAAATCATGTACAAATCTACGAACAAAAAGCTTTTACCTAGATCGTATTTGGGGTCATTTCCAACCCAGCTAGGAAGGCGCATGTCAGTTATTTTATTGAGAACCTAAGATACTTCGACATATTTATAGCCAGTTGAGGAAGATCCGTGGACAGTGCTTGACTGTCACGCCACCTGCTTACAAGCTGAACAAACTCGTGTGCCAGCGACTTCACATCCCTGCTGGCCACAACAAGTGCCACGGCACCCCAGGGCCATGGGAAGTCAGAGAGGAGAAAGCCAGGACCTCAGCCTGCCTGGCTTGTTCTACACAAGGGGAGACGGCACAGACAGGCCGTCAGGTGTCAGAAGAGCAAACCTCCCACAGCGCATGTTATTCAGGCCCCATTACTGGTTTTATCAATGTTGTTTTAAAGAATGGCAGTAAATGATTTTAAAATTAATTTGATAGGCCAGGTATGTTGGCTCACACCTGTAATCCCAGCACTTTGGGAAGCCAAAGCGGGTGGATTACGTGAGGTCAGGAGTTCGAGACCAGCCTGGATAACATGGTGAAACCCCGTCTCTACTAAAAATACAAAAATTAGCCGGGCGTTGATGGTGCGCGCCTATAGTCCCAGCTACTTGGGAGGCTGAGGCAGGAGAATCACTTGAACCTGAGAGGCGGAGGCTGCAGTGAGCCAAGGTCGCACCATTGCACTCCAGCCTGGGCAACAAGAGAGAAACTCCATCTCAAAAAAAAAAAAAAAGCAAAAAAAAAATTCATTTGATAAAGCCTATAAGAAGAACTATGACCTTTCATATTTCTGGGAAACACATTTGTTAATACAGATAAATGTTTTCTCACCTACAGCCATTTTTTTAACCATTAAAAAAAGACTTTTTTCCCATTAAAAGGAGTTGTCATTCTCTCTAAATGTAAAGACAATATATTATTCCCTCTAAATGTAAAGATAATATATTATTATTATCTGAAATGGCCTGGAATGGCAAATAAATGTCATCTCAAGCACCACCAGCAGTCAGCGGCAGCCTGACTCGTGTGCTCAGGAAGATTCTCCAGCCAAATGTGGAGTTGGCAGAGGTTTCAGGATCCAAAACACAGGGGGTTGTGGGGGTTGGGGGGGCGGCGCGTGCTGTGTTTCTCAGACCAGATGCCACCCCGTGTCCGGGGCCGAACGGCGGGACTGTGAGGAGACAGGCCGCGGCTTCTTCATCCCAGCCCTGAGCCTGCCTGGTGGATTCTCAACGGACGCTTGTCTAATGAATGGTGACTGCGTGTGTGTCTGTTTCCTTAGAAGCTGGCACTGTGCCGCACGCTGCCTCTCCTCTTTGACCTCCAGCGACCCTGGGGGGCTACGGCACATGCTGGGGCCGGCAGGGATGAAGTCTGCTGGCACACACCATTTTCTCCATTGAGTAACCCAATTCCTGACATGCTGGGTATCCTGAATCCTTCTAAACCGCTCCTTGCCCCTGGTGCTCGCCTCTCGCTTGCGGACTCGCGGGGCACGTGCTGGACGGACACCTGATCTGCTCCCTGGTCGGGCTCGCTGCCTGCACAGGGTTAGTGCTTTGTAAGTCACTGTCCCAGAGCAAGGAGCAGGGGCTGGGTCCCCGGTCACTGTGTGCCCACTCCTGGTGCCACCACTGCATCCCCACAGAGCCCCAAGCTGGCATCGCCTCCCCAACCTCACGGACCAGGAGGCCGAGGCTTGGGAGGACAGGTGACCCGTCACGCAGGACGGCTGACCCACAGCACCCTCAGACCTGCCCTACTTCCCAGCCTGCAAAGGTTGAGAAGGGACCCTACCCATGTGGGAAATGACAGCACATCCAGGGGACCCAGGACGTGGACAGCTGGGAAGGACCCTCCCAACAGCACCTGGGAAAGGCGGCGCCCAGAAAGGACCCTGGAGCCCACCCCACGGCCCCCACCAGTGCAGGCTACTGACCTGGCAGGGCGCAGGGAAGACAACCGTAGGGACTCGGAGGCACCCACCACATTGGGCAGGGACGTGACCTCCACAGCCAAAAGTCCAGCTCTCCACAGCCACCGTTTCCAACCTAAAGCTGAAGGTTCCACTCACAAACCCACACACGCTACCACAAAGTCAGGGCCAAAGCCACTTTCACCAAAACTTCTGAGAGAGCCGTAGGCATCCAACAGTTTAAGTTGCTTCCAACATAATTAAACATTTTCTAAAGCAGGTACATTTATCACAATTAAAAGCACAAAGGCCACTGGGCTTGTCTGGGCTGCAGGACAGTCCACTTGGTTTCCAACAGCAGGGCTAACACAGCCGGAAAAAAGCCCCCAGCCAGAGCTGCACAGCCTGGCAGGGTGGCCCCGAGCTGTCCGGACCCTGTGCCCCGGGAGAGGGCTGACCTTTTCATTTTGTACAACACGGGCTGAGCAGGGTTTGTCTTTCGTGGTGACTGTTTTGATCATGGGTTTGAATCTACTTTTCTCTAATGTTTCAATAAAAAGAGCCGCAGACGCTCCACAGGAGAAGCTGAAGGCCCAAGCGGACCGCGGATGAGGAGGGGGCGGACCGGATTCAGGTTGCAAAAGGTCAATGTGCCCCTCCCCCTCCTCAGGACCCACGTGACTCCCCTCCCCTCCTCAGCACCCACGTGACTCCCCTCCCCCTCATCAACCACGTGACTCCCCTCCCCCGCCTCCTCAGCACCCACGTGGCCGCCCCTCCCCCTCCTCAGCACCCACGTGACTCCCCTCCCCTCCTCGGCACCCACGTGACTCCCCTCCCCTCCTCGGCACCCACGTGACTCCCCTCCCCCTCCTCGGCACCCACGTGACTCCCCCGCCCCCTCCTCGGCACCCACGTGACTCCCCCGCCCCCTCCTCGGCACCCACGTGACTCCCCCGCCCCCTCCTCGGCACCCACGTGACTCCCCTCAGCGGCGGCCTGGACTCTGCTGCGGCCGGTGCAGCCCCGGCCCTGCCACCCGACACTGGCACACACTCTGCTGTCCCTTCTTGGGTTCTGTAATTTTGAACAAGGGGCCCACATTTTCATTTCACACCGGGCTCCCCCAGGCTTGGGGACCTGTTGCCTCTGCTTTGTAGAAGCTGGTCATTTTCTTACTTGAAGATGCTGCTCTGGAGGCTTCAGATACCGCAGCCTCAGGGACTTTCTCACCCATGCCTCACCTGCAGAACTATCTCTATCCGGGAGCAGATTACAGACAAAGCAACAAGAAAAAAAAAAGTTCCTGTCTTTTTTTTTTCCCCTAACCACTAGACCACCAGGGATTTTTTAATTTTTAAAATAAAATATTAAGAGCTCTCAGGAAGCAATGTAGAAGCACACTTTGGGAACTTAACACAAGTTGCAAATTTTCTCTGACCCTCAAATTTCCTTATCTGTAAAATGGTCCACATGAGATCATCTCATGGGGAGGATCACACGAGGCCATGTGTGCAGGGTCTGACGGAAAGCCAGGTGCCTTCCAGCAAGGTCCCCCCGGAGAGGGCTGAGTTGCAAATAAATTGCCATCTTCAGAATTAGGAATTCCATGGCCGAAGACAGTTTAGACATCATGTCACCCAACCCTTGATTTCCAGATGGGGAAACTGAGACCCAATGGGGTAAGCAGATTTGCTGGGGCTTTGTGCTTTTCCGTGGAACTGCGCAGTTGCATGGGAGTCTCTCAGCTGGCCCGGAGGCCACTGCCCAGCAGCCCAGAGTCCAGGGAGCGGTTACCTTTGAGGCCAGGGACGAGGATCTGCACAGAGCAGGCGTCATCGCCAGCCGGCTGAGGATGTCCAGATGGCAGCAGTGACAGGAAGGCCAGGCTGATTAGAACGCCCACCAGGGCCAGATTCCCCCTCATCCTGAGCGCAGGCAGGACACCAACTCCTACACAGAGGAAGGAATAAACAGTGATGGGAACTGCAACAGCCGGGCAGCCAGTGACAGTGAGCAGGCCTCGGAGGCAAGGGGTGTAGCCCTCCTGGTGCCTGGAAGGGCTGTCTGGGCCCCCATGGCGGGTGCTCCTCACTCACTCAAGCACCAATCATGAGCCTCCACTGAGAAGCTTCCACAGCAGCCCCAGGGTCAGCACCAGGCACCAAGTGCATGCCAGCCCTGGTCAGTGAGCCTTGATTGAAGGCCTACGGCTCGCCCACCCCAAGGAGTTCGATCTGATCTCTGGGACAAACGATTCCTACACAGAGTGGAGTAGGGGTCTCCACACAGCATAGCCAGCCACAGACATGGAGCCTCTGCAGAGCTGGGCACAGCGGAGGGAGGCTGAGATACAGCTAAAGGAAACAGCCAAGGCGCCTGAGGAGCCCCAAGCTTAGCGGCTCCATTCACAGACAAGGAATCCACGCCCCCACATCTCCTTAGGTGGCAGGAGACAGGCACCTGGCCTTCCTCGGTGAGATCAGTAAGGAGAGAGGAGCCCCGGCCTTAGGAACCCAGGGGCCTGGGGAGGTGGGGGCCGAGCCCATAGGAAGAGGGGTGTCATGGACATCTGACCATCCCAGGAGGGGCGGGTACGTGCTGACCTCTTTGTTTCTTCATCGTGAAGGGCGTTACAACTTGGAAAACAAGACCAGGCGCAGTGGCTCACACCTGTAATTCCAGCACTTTGGGAGGCTGAGGTGGGCAGATCACCTAAAGTCGGGAGTTCGAGACCAGTCTGGACAACATGGTGAAACCGCATGTCTTCTAAAAATACAAAAATTAGCTGGGTGTGGTGGCGGGCACCTCTAATCCCAGCTACTTGGGAGGCTGAGGCAGGAGAACTGCTTGAACCCAGGAGGCGGAGGTTGCAGTGACCTGAGATCACGCCACTACACTCCAGCCTGCATGACAGCGAGACTCCGTCCCAAAAAAAAATAAAATATAATAAATAAATAAAACTCGGAAAACAAAGAGGGCAATGGAAACTACTCAACTTGAAGGGAGAGGCCCGGGAAACAGAGGGAAAGGGACAGGAGGGGAGAGAGGGACAGGCCAGAAGGGCAGAGTGCGGACAGCAGCCCTGGAGCACAGCTGATAAAGAGCCGTGGCGAGCTGGGACTGGGGCTCCGCAGAGCATGGAAGCCACAGGAGCATCTGTCCATCCCAAAGGCCATGCTTCCGGATACTTCCTGGCAGCCTTTCGTTTGGTTAATCATTCGTTCAGAAACATTTGTGGATGCCGACCAAATGTCAGGCACAGCTCTAGGCACCAGGAGTAGAGCAAGAACATTTATGTTTTTATTCCTATTGGAAGAGACAGACAGACAGACAGACAGAGACAGACAGAGGCAGGGGTAAGCGCCGTGGGGAAGAGTGAGGCAGAGTCCAGTGGCCGGGACACATGCTGCTGTTCAGGATGGTTGCCAGGGAAGCCTCGCTGACAGGTGGGTGAGGGCGGCTCAGAGAAAGCCTTGAGGCAGTGCATGCCGGACAGTGCGGGGAGAGGTGGGCTGGCCTGGTGGGCACAGAGGACAGGAGACAGGAGCCGGCGCCCAGCAGCTTTGGGGGTTGCTCTGTATGAGACAGAGGGTCTGGATCAGCGAGCGGCTTTACAAAAGGGTCTCCCTGCTCTTGAGACGGGACTTAGGGGAACAGCAACGGAAGCAAGGAGACCAAGCCAGGGTGACCACAACAGCACAGCGGGCGAGGATGGCAGCTGGACCCCACGTGTGGGTGGAGGTGATGACAGAGGTATGGGATGCAGTCTGGAAGCAAAGCTGACAGGTTTTGCTGATCAGTTATGTGGGAAATGACAGAGAGAAATCAAAGATTAAAGCTTTTGTTCTGAGCAGCCAGGTGAACAGTGCAGCCAGCTGCTGAGAAACAGAACTGAGGAGGTGAAGTGAAGTCAGGGGCTCGGGTTCAACTTTCCGAGTCTGAGACACTATAGACTCCTATGTGACCCAGTGGGTGGAGCAATGGTTCGGTTTGCAAGGCTTGGGGGTCAGGGTACCCTCCATTTTCTCTCCCACAATTCCAAGCCAGCTGGCCCTCTCAGGTCCAAAATGAAGGTCACCTTAGCTGCTAGAGAAAGGCCATCTGTGGTGGGGGGCTTCCCACATCAACAGCCCCGTGAGAGCCCTGCTACAAAAGCCAGGGGAGGGTGGTCCGGACAGATCCCGAAAGCCAGGGCCCCATGGAGTCTACAGAGACCCCGCCTCTGGCTGGCGAGAGCCCACCTTTGCCACCTGATGTCCTGCTGCACGAGGAGTTCTCCCAGAAATGTGTGGAGGTCAAGATGCCCAAGATAGCCCTGCAGCTCGAAGGGAAGTCATTTGAAATCCTTCTCCCAAATCTGAAAAAAATCGCCTCCAATGGTCACAGACAAAAAGATGACGTGGAGACGGCTAGGGTTACTGCCATGAACATTCCATGTTAAATGTCCGTTTCCACTGAGGCAAGGGTTGATGAAGGGGCGGGGCGGGAAGGGAGAGAGGATTAGAGTTAGGGCGGAGCCAGGGCTTGGGCACGCGCGTGGGAGAGCTTCACTTGCCGAAGATGACAGAACTTAAATCCTACCTCTGTGAAAACCTACAGACCTTAAAGCTGAAGCCGTCTCTCATCCCGGATGTCCAAGAATGGCTCGGGGGAAAAAAGGTACTATAAAGCACAAAGTCACAGTGGCTCACGCCTGTAATCCCAGCACTTTGGAAGGCCAAGGCCAGCAGATTGCTTGAGTCCAGGAGTTTGAGATCAGCCTGGGCAACATGGCTAAACCCCATCTCTACAAAAAAGCAGCCAGGTGTAGTGTCACGCACCTGTAGTCCCAGCTACTGGAGAGGCTGAAGTGGGAGCATCACCTGAGCCTGGGAAGTTGAGGCTGCAGTGAGCGGTGATCACACCACTGCACTCCAACCCGGGCAGTCAGAGTGAGACCCTGTCTCAAAAAAAATAATAATAATAAAGAAAAATCCAAAAGCTCAAAGTCACAAAAAGTAAACCCATGAGCTTTGGCTACACTATGATGGTCTACATGGTCCGCACACCACCCTGTCCACGGCGACCCTACTCAAATCCCGGCTCCACTGCCACCACGCCGAGGCCCCCTGCCCGTGTGGGAAGGGTGGTGGAAAAAGGGGTTAATTCAGAAACTGCCCACATCCCCCTTTCTTCAAACATCCTACAAGAATCCACGAGGAATCAGAAGTAGAGATGACTTCACAAAGCACAGGAGTGGAAAGGCCAAGAGGAAAGTGGGGGCTCCCGACTCTTCTGAGAAGGGGCGTGGATGGGAGCCCGCCCCGTGCAGTGACACAGCCATCACGGGGCCGGGCATTGTCCTGCTGAGGCTCTCATCATTCTTAACATTTATAATGGAAAATGTCAGATACACACAAAAGCAGTACCATGAACTTCCATATACCCATTGCCCAGCTTCAACAATTATTAATACCTCAAGGTGTCATTTTTGATGTTCACTTTCTAGTTCATTAGGAGTTAATGTGTGTATACAACTACACAATGACGAGGTCTAACCACACAGCAGACACTGGTGAGTGCACCTGCCTCACCGGCCCCAAAGCCCCAGCCCCGCTCCCATCCACGCGCCCTCCCCTGGGGGACGCCATCCTGAATGCGAACTTCTCCTCTGGCGGGGTTTAAGCAGGATTCCTACACATTATGCGTTCTTAAACCATATTCTGTCACGTTTTGCTTGTGTTTGGTTTTGGGACAGGACTGGAGTGCAGTAGTGCATCTTGGCTCACTGCAGCCTCAATTTCCTGGGCTCAGGGGATCCTCCCACCTCAGCCTCCCTGGTAGCTGAGACTACAGGCATGTACCACCATGTCTGGGCAATTTTTGTCTTTTTTGTAGAGACAGGTTCTCACCATGTTGCCCAGGCTGGTCTCAAACTCCTGGGCTGAAGTGATCTGCCTCTCTCGGCCTCCCAAGCTGCTGGGACTACAGGTGTGAGCCACTGTGCCCAGCCTTGCTTGCTTTTGAGTTTTGCTTTTTTTTTTTTTTTTTGAGACAGAGTCTCGCACTGTCACCCAGGCTGGGGTGCAGTGGCTCGATCTCAGCTCACTGCAAGCTCTGCCTCCCGGGTTCACGCCATTCTCCCGCCTCAGCTTCGCAAGTAGCTGGGACTACAGCTGCCCGCCACCACGCCTGGCTAATTTTGTGTATTTTTAGTAGAGAAGGGGTTTCACCGTGTTGGCTAGAATGGTCTCCATCTCCTGACCTCATGATCCACCCACCTCGGCCTCCCAAAGTGCTGCGATTACAGGCTTGAGCCACCGTGCCTGGCCGCTTTTGAGTTTTATAAGATATCACAGCACAGTATCCATAGTCTTCAGTGTCTTTATATTCAACTTTATGTAGTTGTAGCTTATGGATTATCTAATCTTATTAAGGCAGACTGCATGCCACTGACGGGTGCTGGGAGAGGAAGGGCACAGCTGGTGGCGTGGAGCTCACCCTCATGACTGTGGGGCCAGTAGGCCAGTGCTTGCCTCCCTGGGCCATGGAGGGGCCATGGCACTGCCCAGAGACCTCCCGGGACTTGGCATCCTGAGGGCAGTGGGTGAGGGACAGCTACAAATCCACTGAACCACTTACCAGCACCTTGGCCACACCACATGCCGTTTGCAAGCCCCTCCCCTTCTCTTAATATGGAGATAGGCTATTTGAAGGGATTGCAGCGGTAATTAATGCGTGTGGCACCGTGACCCAGTGTGGCACATAGCAAATGCTCACCAAATGGCAGCTCCTGATCCTACTGTGATCACATGCATGGGCTCCCAGTCCAGGGAAAGGGCTAGAAGCCAGGGTTCCTCATCTGAGAATGCCTGTCCCCCGCACAGTGCCTCTGCGTCAGTCAATTCTCCCGCAGAATGGGTACAGGGAAACCCGTTTCCATTCAGTGCCGTCCTGTGGTGTGGGTCATCGCGCACCAGATGAGGACCTGGCTTCTTCCTGCAGAGCCCCTTACAGAAATGACTTTGTAAAGGACAGGGGTACAGAACGTCCACTGGGTTGGAGGAAAATAACTCCCATACACTGCACAGAGATCAGCACCATCACGCACTCGTCACAGATGAGGAAGCCAAAGAAAAGAAAAATTAAGAACGCTTCCCAGCATTGCGTAACCAGTGTGTGGTGAGGGTGGGACTGAAATCCAGGGCTTCCCAGCACTGTTGGCTGTTTCCTCTTTCTGCCCGACTACCCTCTCCCCATGCATCAAAGGAAGGGCTCACCTTCCTCCTTCAGTCACGATGTAAGGGATTTTTAAAAATAGGTTTTTGATGGAGAGAACAAGGAGCCAATATACGTTGTATACCAAATGTGGACACATATCTGATTTAATTCCCAAAACAACCTTGTACCTTATTACAGTTCCTCACTCTAAAGACAATGCAATATGGAAAGTTGAACAATCGGCCCCAACTCCACCACCAGGCCACGCAGCTGGGCACTCCGCCTGCAGCCTCCTCTCCACACCCCGCACCCACGGCCCGCCTCCAGCCTCCTCTCCACACCCCTCACCCACGGTCCGCCTCCAGCCTCCTCTCCACACCCCTCACCCGCTGCCTGTGCCCACACCCTTCTCCCCTGTGCTCACGCGGATATTAGAACAATAAGGGCAACCGAAAAGCGGAAACCCAGGACCCCACCAGCTGACTTCACTCCTCCCACCTTCCTTGTTCGCTGCCAGGCTTGGGTCCACATGCAAGTGATCTGTGCAAGCTACAGCTTCGTAAAGGTCTCTGGGCACGCAGAAGCCTGCAGTTTAGCAGGCACCAAACTGAGTGAACAAGTGAATGAGTAAATAAAGGAACAAACAACAGAACGAAAGTTCACAATTGCATCGCAAATAGAGCCTTCTGCTCTTCTCCTCGTGGTGTTTCCGTGTTTCCAAATCTTTATTATATCTAATGTCTACACAGTATTTCCAGGGCAGGCAGTCTGCAGACGTGGGTTACTGCCCTGCTGTCATTGTCCTGAAATTCCTAATAATGTTGAAATGGGCCAAGCACAGTGGCTCACGTTTGTAATCCCACCACTTTGGGAGGCCGAGGTGGGTGGATCACCTGAGGTCAGGAGTTCGAGACCAGCCTGGCCAACATGGTGAAACCCTGTCTCTACTAAAAATACAAAAATTAGCTGGGCATGGTGGCGGGTGCCTGGAATTCCAGTGACTCGGGAGGCTGAGGCAGGAGAATCGCTTGAACCCGGGAGGTGGAGGTTGCAGTGAGTCGAGATCACACCACTGCCCTCTAGCCTGAGTGATAAGAGTGAGACTCAGTCTCAAAAAAATGAAATAAATAAAATAAAATAAAAATAAAAAATACAAAAATAATGTCAAAACAAGGGGCACCACAAGGTTTGTAGCCAGACGTGCTGGTCCACTGGGCTCATAACCGTAGTCTCCCCGGCTCCTGCCTCAGCAGCAGTATTTTGGCTCCTTGTGGTATGTGGCTTCTGAAAGCAATAGTAAACTCTTCCTCCCCACCCACTCAGTACGCAAGTCGAACCTCACTTCTCAGTGTTTGCTGGATGCAAACTGGGTTTAGTTTTTTTTTTTTTTAATGTCTCAGGAATCAAAGGCTGACATGGGAATTTCCCCTCTAGCTAGAAGTGATTCTGTTCAGGTATAACCAGGTGTTCAGCAAGGCTTTTACTGCCCTCACTCCGCAGATGTCCCAGGAGTGGCTTCAACAAAGATCAGGCTCCGTCTCCCAAGAAAAGGGGTGAGTAGTGAGCAGAGAAACCCAGAGCAGCCCAGGCAGGATTTCTCGTGCCTTCACTCACACTCATCTGCTGATCCCAGAGCAGCCCAGGCGGGATTTCTCGTGCCTTCACTCCATTCATCCGCTGACCCCGGAGCAGCCCAGGTGGGATTTCTCATGCCTTCACTCCATTCATTCACTGACACCAGAGCAGCCCAGGTGGGATTTCTCGTGCCTTCACTCACACTCATCTGCTGATCCCGGAGCAGCCCAGGCTGGGATTTCTCGTGCCTTCACTCCATTCATTCACTGACCCCGGAGCAGCCCAGGCCGGGATTTCTTGTGCCTTCACTCCATTCATTCACTGACCCCGGAGCAGCACAGGCTGGGATTTCTTGTGCCTTCCCTCACTTCACTCATCCACTGATCCCCGGAACAGCCCAGGCTGGGATTTCTCATGCCTTCACTCGCTCCACTCATTCACTGACCCCGCTGCCCATTCACAGAGTTTCTGTCCACTTTCCTGCGAGGGGCCCCAGCTAGGCCTATGGGCACAAAGGAGGCACAGGCCCTGCAGCGGGGCGCTCTCAGACGCACAGCAGGAACCAGGGCAGGTAGGCACAGGGTGAGGGCACCCAGGCGCCCGAAGGAGTCTCTGCTTCCCAGAGGTCTCGCCCTCTGACTGCCTTCTTAGAAGAGGAATTCCATTTTGTAAACGGAGAAGCCACAGCTACCCCCAGGACCTCTTTAAGAACAACATCCTTATCTCCCAGCCAGGGCCCAAGACGCTCAGGGCCCTCCCATCAATGGAAGGGGCAGACTTGACAAGCAGGGGAGAGGGGGTTAAACGTGGAATCCTGAGAGGAAATACATGTTATGAATGAAATAAACAATGGGGCCAGGCCCAGTGGCTCATGCCTATAATCCTAGCATTTTGGGAGGCCAAGGTGGGCAGATCACCTGGTTAGGAGTTCGAGAGCAGCCTGGCCAACATGGTGAAACCCCCCTCTCCACTAAAAAGTACAAAAATTAGCCAGGTGCCATGATGCACACCTGTAATCCCAGCTACTCAGGAAGCTGAGGCAGGATAATCGCTTGAACCTGGGAGGCGGAGGTTGCAGTGAGCCAAGACGGTGCCATTGCACTCCAGCCTGGGTGACAGAGCCAGAGTCCATCTCAAAAAAAAAAAAAAAAATGAAATAGACAATGAGAAAAAATCATGGCTTCAGTTGCCAAACATGCTATTCTACTTTTTCATTAAGTATCTACAGCAAGGCCCAGCATCTTACAGGCACCACAAATACCTCCTAAGAACCACATCCCTGAAGCATGAGGAGGTTCCTCTCACTGGGGACTGCCCCAGCCCCACCGCGGTGTTTCCCTCCCTACAGTGACAGAGCACCTTCTGGGGCAGCCTGGATTCCACCCACAACAGCACACGCTCCTCTTAGCTTCTTACCAAGAGCACAGAGTAAGAAGGCACCTATCCTCTCTTATCTTCCCCCAGCGGTCAGCACATTACCGGTGTGCTCTCTTCTACGGTACATGGATTTTTCAAAATTGTAAACAAAATCGAATAGCTGTGAAAGATTGGGGCAGTGCTCTGCCTACCACAGGCAAAGTGCTTCCCATCAAACCAAAATTCCAGCTATGCACATGAGATGGCTTTAAACGTTCATCTTTAAATTGAGAACGACCACATCACCTCAGCTCTAAAAAGACCGCCAGTTCCTAGCGCAAGGCATCCAGGTAGGAGGCAGCGGCCCTAGGAAACTTTCCTCCTTTCCAATTTTGGAGACAAGATGACCCCACTTGGTTTTAGATGACCCCATCTGAACTCAAAGTCTTTCCCTGGAAAGTTGCCAAAGCAAGGCCCACCTTTCCCCCACCTCTCTGATCCCCGTTCCTGAGCCCAACACAGAGCCACTGGTCCCTGGGGGCAGTCGTGGCTGCTGTCCGCCTGGCCCGTCAGACGCTGCTCAGGCTCAGGAACAATCGTCAGGTTGTGAGACCAGGTACTGCACTGCGGTTTGGAATTAGCGAAGACTGTTTAGCCCCCTGGGCCTTGGGCTGTTTGAAATCTGCCACCCAAGAGGGTGACTCCATCATCCAGCACCTCTCATGGGTCGGATCCCATCTCATCAATAGGCTCCACGAATTTCCGCCATGAACTAATCAAACTTTGGAACTCTGGTGCCAGATTTATTGAGACTCAATCTTTTGCCTGGATCTAGGGACAGATTCCCATCCTCCTCGCTCAGCAGGAGCCCACCTCGCGCCCAGTTTGGAAGCCTGCCTGCCTCCCCTCTGCACTGTCATAGCCCCGTGAAACCCTCAGCTGCAGCCCCGGGCAGAGTCTCCTACCTGAGCACGCGCTAGGCGAACGGGGCGTCCTGCCCGTCGCTGGCCCGCGAGGACACTGCCCCCAGGCGCCTCATGGCTGCTATTTAGAGAGGCGGCCGCAGTCCCAGGCGCAGGGAGAAGCCTCGGCCCGGGCCATCAGACAGCCCAGCAAATCAGGCCGCCCGGCCGCAGCGTTATCTCGGGGAGCTTCCTGTCTGCGCTGCGTCCACCGTCCTGCCTGGGGAGTGTGGGAACGCCTGGAACTCCCTGAGGCCGGCTTTGGGGTGGGGGGCAGGACCCTCCTGGAGATGCCCCTGCTAACTCTCCAACCCGAACATCCCAATTTTGTTTCTTTTTTGGCTTTCTCTTCTTTCTTTTCGTTTTTTGAAAAAATAAGCATGACTACTGTGGAAATTCAAAAGAGCATAAAGAGGAGGGACGCTCATCACCTGGCACCAATCAGACAGAAACGAGGGCAGCTGACTGATCTCCTTTCCTTTGTTCATATGGGATTTCGCTTCAAAAGTCAGCAAGAGCTTGACCACGGCCTGTGGAGACCTGGCCACACGTGAGTCCGGAAACTCACTCTACGCATTTAAGTTTCATTTAAAGGCAAGTTTCATTTAATGCCAGAAACAAATGTTAGTCAGGGGCTGGACAGATCCAGCTTCTATGCAGCCCGAATCTTGCATGTTTTGGGGGATAGCGGAACCTTCTTTAAGAAAAAGATACATATAAAATTACAATCATAAGAAGCTAGGTTCAAAGGTGAATATTTATTTAGACTGAGAAATCATAAAATAAAACTGTAAAAACACAAATTCCACACACATAATAAAATTAAGGAAAAATAATGGATTCTTTATTTAAAACGTATTATTGAAGTTATACATAAATTTGACAACTTAGACAAAATGAACCACTTCTTGAAAACACGAACTACAACATGCCCAGCATGAAACAGATAATTCAACAGCCCTATGCCAAGGAAGGGAATTGAACTTGCAATTTAAACGCTCCCCAGAAAGACATTTCAGGGCCAGATGGTTTCACAGGAGGGTCTACAAAACGTTTAAAGAAAAATTAACACCAATTCTACACATCCTCTTCCAGAAAATAGAAGAGGAGGGAATATTTACCAATTCATTTTATAAAGTTGATTATTACCCTGATACCAAAACCAGACAAAGACAGAACAAAAACACTATAGACCAATAACCCTCATGAATATAGATGAGAAAATCCTTAATAAAATATTAACAGACAGAATTCAGCAATATAGAAAAAGATTTATCAACTATGACCAAATGGGGTTTCATCCAGGAATGTGAGGCTATGTCAATATTCAAAGCTCCTTTGATAAAAACCCATTAACAAGCTAACAAAGAAAATCAAATGAATATCTCAATTTATATAGAAACAGCATTTGGCATAAACCAACACCTTTCATGATAAAAACTCTCAGAAAAATAGGTGCAGGGGACCTTCCTCAACTTGATAAAGAGCATCTGTCAAAGGCAAAGCCACAGCTAACATCATACTTCATGGGCAAAAATGGAATGTTTCCTTCCTGAGATCAAGACAAGGCAAGGGTGTCCACTCTTACCTCTTACTCAATGCAGTGCTAAAGTTCTAGGCACACCAGCAGGGCCCGAAAAGGAAATAAACAGCATGTAGATTCGAAAAATAAAATAACTCTGTCCCTTGTTGCAGATGACATGGTTGTCTACTTAGAAAATCCCAGAGTCTACAAAAGAGCTCCTGGAAACTATTAAATCAGTGTGACAGGTGACAGGATACAAGGCAAACATTTAAAAAACCAAGTAGGCCAGGCGTGGTGGCTCACACCTGTAATCCCAGCACTTCGGGAGGCCAAGGTGGGAGGATCACCTGAGGTCAGGAGTTAGAGACCAGCCTGGCCAACAAGGCAAAACCCCATCTCTACTAAAAATACAAAAATCAGCCAGGCATGGTGGTACATGCCTGCAATCCCAGCTACTCGGGAGGCTGACGCAGGAGAATCACTTGACTCCGGGAGGCAGAGGGTGCAGTGAGTTGAGGTTGTGCCATTGCACTCCAGCCTGGGTGACAGAGCGAGACTCTGTCTCAAAAAAATAATAAACAATGAAAAACCAAGCAGATTTCTATAAAATAACAATGAACTCATAGACACCAAAATTCAAAATAATATCATTTACAATTGCTTTAAAAAAGGAATACTTAGGTGTAAATCTAACAAAACATATATAGAACTTACATGCTGAAAACTACAAAATGCTGCTGAAAACCTCAAAAAAGATCTGAATAAACAGAGAAACACGTCGTCTTCATAGATTAGGAGACTCACCCCAAGCACAGTGGCTCATGCCTGTAATCCCAGCATTTTGCAGGGCTGAAGTGGGAGGATCACTTGAGTCCAAGAGTTCAAGACCAGCTTGGGCAACATGGTGAAACCCTGTCTCTAACAAAAACAATACAAAAATTAGCCGGGCATAGTAGAATGGTCCCAGCTACTCAGGAGGCTGAGGTGGAAGGATCACTTGAGCCCGGGAGGTGGATGTTGCAGTTAGCTGAGATCGCACCACTGCACCCCAGCCTGGGTGACAGAGTGGGACCCTGTTTCAAAAATAATAAAATGAAAATTAAAAAGTATAGATTGGGAGACTCAACAGAGTAAAAATGTTGATTCTCCCCCAAGTTAATATACAGTACAAGCTTAACACAATTTCTATCAAAATCATAACAATAATTTTTGTAGATATAGACACGGCTATTCTAAAGTGTATATGAAAAGAGAAAGGAACTAGAATAGCTAAAACAATTTTGAAAAAGAATAAAATAGGAGGAATCAGCTCTCCGTCTCCGTCTCCGTCTCCGTCTCCGTCCCCGTCCCCGTCCCCGTCCCCGTCCCCGTCCCCGTCCCCGTCTCCGTCTCCCTCCATGGTCTCCTTCCACGGTCTCCCTCTGATGCCGAGCCAAGGCTGGACGGTGCTGCTGCCATCTCGGCTCACTGCAGCCTCCCTGCCTGATTCTCCTGCCTCAGCCTGCTGAGTGCCTGCGATTGCAGGCGCACGCCGCCACGCCTCACTGGTTTTCGTTTTTTTTTTTGGTGGAGACGGGGTTTTGCTGTGTTGGCCGGGCTGGTCTCCAGCTCCTAGCCGCGAGTGATCCGCCAGCCTCGGCCTCCCGGGGTGCCGGGATTGCGGACGGAGTCTCGTTCACTCAGTGCTCAGTGGTGCCCAGGCTGGAGTGCAGTGGCGTGATCTCGGCTCGCTACAGCCTCCACCTCCCAGCCGCCTGCCTTGGCCCCCCAAAGTGCCGAGATTGCAGCCTCTGCCCAGCCGCCACCCCGTCTGGGAAGTGAGGAGCGTCTCTGCTTGGCCACCCATCGTCTGGGATATGAGGAGCCTCTCTGCCTGGCTGCCCAGTCTGGAAAGTGAGGAGCGTCTCTGCCCGGCCGCCATCCCATCTAGGAAGCGAGGAGCGCCTCTTCCCCGCCGCCTTCCCATCTAGGAAGTGAGGAGCGTCTCTGCCCGGCCGCCCATCGTCTGAGATGTGGGGAGCACCTCTGCCCCGCCGCCCTGTCTGGGATGTGAGGAGCGCCTCTGCTGGCCGCAACCCTATCTGGGAGGTGAGGAGCGTCTCTGCCCGGCCGCCCCGTCTGAGAAGTGAGGAAACCCTCTGCCTGGCAACCGCCCCGTCTGAGAAGTGAGGAGCCCCTCCGTCCGGCAGCCACCCCGTCTGGGAAGTGAGGAGCGTCTCCGCCCGGCAGCCACCCCGTCCGGGAGGGAGGTGGGGGGGGTCAGCCCCCCGCCCGGCCAGCCGCCCCATCCGGGAGGTGAGGGGCTCCTCTGCCCGGCCGCCCCTACTGGGAAGTGAGGAGCCCCTCTGCCTGGCCAGTCGCCCCGTCCAGGAGGGAGGTGGGGGGGTCAGCCCCCCGCCCGGCCAGCCGCCCAGTCCGGGAGGTGAGGGGCGCCTCTGCCCGGCCGCCCCTACTGGGAAGTGAGGAGCCCCTCTGCCCGGCCAGCCGCCCCGTCCGGGAGGGGGGAGGGGGGGTCAGCCCCCTGCCCGGCCAGCCGCCCCGTCCGGGAGGGAGGTGGGGGGGTCAGCCCCCCGCCCGGCCGGCCGCCCCGTCCGGGAGGTGAGGGGCGCCTCTGCCCCGCCGCCCCTACTGGGAAGTGAGGACCCCTCTGCCCAGCCAGCCGCCCCGTCCGGGAGGGAGGTGGGGGGGTCAGCCCCCCGCCCGGCCAGCCGCCCAGTCCGGGAGGGAGGTGGGGGGATCAGCCCCCCGCCCGGCCAGCCGCCCCGTCCGGGAGGGAGGTGGGGGGGTCAGCCCCCCGCCCGGCCAGCCGCCCAGTCCGGGAGGGAGGTGGGGGGATCAGCCCCCCGCTCGGCCAGCCGCCCCGTCCGGGAGGGAGGTGGGGGGGTCAGCCCCCCGCCTGGCCAGCCGCCCCATCCGGGAGGGAGGTGGGGGGTCAGCCCCCCACCTGGCCAGCCGCCCCGTCCGGGAGGGAGGTGGGGGGGGTCAGCCCCCCGCCTGGCCAGCCGCCCCGTCCGGGAGGTGAGGGGCGCCTCTGCCCGGCCGCCCCTACTGGGAAGTGAGGAGCCCCTCTGCCCGGCCAGCCGCCCCGTCCGGGAGGGAGGTGGGGGGGTCAGCCCCCCGCCCGGCCAGCCGCCCCGTCCGGGAGGGAGGTGGGGGGGGTCAGCCCCCCGCCCGACCAGCCGCCCCGTCCGGGAGGGAGGTGGGGGGATCAGCCCCCCGCCTGGCCAGCCGCCCCGTCCGGGAGGTGAGGGGCGCCTCTGCCCGGCCGCCCCTACTGGGAAGTGAGGAACCCCTCTGCCCTGCTTGAAGGCAGCATGCTCGTTAAGAGTCATCACCACTCCCTAATCTTAAGTACCCAGGGACACAAACACTGCGGAAGGCCGCAGGGTCCTCTGCCTAGGAAAACCAGAGACCTTTGTTCACTTGTTTATCTGCTGACCTTCCCTCCACTATTGTCCTATGACCCTGCCAAATCCCCCTCTGCGAGAAACACCCAAGAATGATCAATAAAAAATAAAAATAAAAAATAAAAAATAAAAAAAAAAAAGAAAAAAAAAAAAAAAGAAAAAAAAAAAAGAATAAAATAGGAGGAATCAATCTACCCAATTCTAAGACATTATACAATGGAACAGAACAGAGAACCCGAAACTAGATCTACACCGATACACTCAACTGCTTTCTCACAAAAGTACAAAAGCGATTCAGTGGAGGGAAGACAGCATGTGCCATGAACGGTGTGGAGCAACAGGACGTCCATAGGCAAAAAAGATGAACCCCAATATAAGCCCCACACCTCATACAAAAACTATCTCAAAATAGATCATGGGCTTCAATGTAAAATGTAAACTTACAAAACTTTTAGAAAAAATGGAAGAAAAATCTTCAGGATCTAAGGCTAGGCAAATCATTCTTTGATATTCTAACATCAAAGTACAATCTATAAGAGCAATAACTGATCAATGGAACTTCACCAAAATTAAAACCTTTTGCTCTGCAGAAGACCCCGTGAAGAAAATGCAAAGACAAGCTACAGGATGGGAGGAAGCATCTGTCAGCCACAAATCCAGCAAAGGAGAGTGTCGGGAATATAGAAAGAACTCTCCGAACTTAACAGGAAAATAACAAACTGCCCAAGTAGCAAATGGGCAAAAACATGAAGAGACATTTCACTAAAGAGGATATACAGTCGGCAAATAAGCACATGAAAAGATGTTCAACGCCATTAGCCATTAGAGAAATGCAAACAAAACCCACAGTGAACTATCACGACTTGTCTATCAAGGTGGCTAAAACAAAATCCCAACACCAAATGCTGGCATGAGGGGAAACAGGGGGCAATGTGAAATGGTGCAGCCAGCTGGGTGTGGTGGCTCAGGCCCGTGGTCCCAGCACTCTGGGAGGCTGAGGCGGGCGGATCACGAGGTCAAGAGATCGAGGCCATCCTGGCCAACATGGTGAAGCCCCATCGCTACTAAAAATAAAAAATTAGCCAGTTGTGGTGGCGCATGCCTGTAGTCCCAGCTACTCCAGAGGCTGAGGCAGGAGAATCGCTTGAGCCCAGGAGGCGGAGGTTGCAGTGAGCCAAGATCACACCACTGCACTCCAGCCTGGACAACAGAGTGAGACTCCGTCACAAAAAAAAAAAAAATGAAAGAAAAAAGAAATGGTGCAGCCACGCTGGAAAAGTCCGAGAGTGCCTCAAAAAACTAAACGTACAACCACACTACCACCCAGCAGCTGCACTCTAGGAATTATTCCAGAGAAGTGGAAAGCTGTGTTCACACGCACCGGGGCCGTCCAGTCTTTTGGCTTCCCTGGGCCACATTGGAAGAAGAATTGCCTTGGGCCACACATAAAATACACTAACAATAGTTGGTGAGCAAAAAAAAAAAAAAATCTCACGATGTTTTAAGAAAGCTTACGAATTTGTGTAGGGCCACGTTCAAGCCATCCTGGGCCACATGCAGCCCCAGGGCTGTGGGTTGGACAAGCTTGCTGTACACCAAGGTTTACAGCAGCTTTACCTATAATATCCCAAAACAGGATAATCAGCCTGGACATCCTTCAACAGGTGAATGGTTAAACAGACTGTGGCACATGCCCGCCATGGAACGCGGCCCTGTCACAAAGAGGAACCCACCATAGACCCACGCAGCACCTTGTAGGAACTAGGGACTCTACTCACTGAAAAATACCAGCCCCAAAATGCTCCTTACTGTATGATTGTCTTTATACAACACTCCTGAGATGGCCAAACTACAGAAACTGAGAAGAGACTCACGGTTGCCAGGGATCCAGGAGGAAGCGGGGCAGAGGGAAGGGGGTGCTGTAGGAGGGTGCCGTGCGGGGTCCCCGTGGTGACTGCAGCGAGGCACGTCCCTGTATCTGGCTGGGAGACTGTCCTGCAGTTTCACAAGGTGCTGCCCTTGGGGATATTAAGTACACAGCCTCTCTTACAACTGCATGTGAACCTATAATTATCTCTAGATATTAATAAAAGTTTAGTTTTTAAAAAGCTGCCTGACAGCCCTTATGTTTTTGTTTATGTTTTTGGGGGGGTTTTTTGGGGTTTTTTTTTTTTTTTTTGAGATGGAGTCTCGTTCCGTTGCCCAGGCTGGAGTGCAGTGGGGTGATCTCAGCTCACTGCAAGCTCCACCTCCTCAGTTCAAGCGATTCTTCTGCCTCAGCCTCCTGAGTAGCTGGGACTACAGGCGCCCGCCACCACACCCGGCTAATTTTATGTATTTTAGTAGAGACGGGGTTTCACCGTGTTAGCCAGGATGGTCTCGCTCTTCTGACTTCATGATCCACCCACCTCGGCCTCCCAAAGTGCTGGGAGTACAGATGTGAACCATCGCACCCAGCCCAGCCCTTACGTTTTTATATTATTTGGCTGTATATTCTTTCATTGCCTGCTCCCGTGAACACAAATTTCTACAAAGAGAACAGAAGATGACTCAGTATTTGCTCTTTCTTGCATGGTTATTTAAATATCTTCTTATTGGTAGCTTCAAAACAGTTTACTTCAGCTCCACAAGCCTTTATCAGTGACGCCATGAACAGTTTTTGGATAGCTGTCAAGTCTGGGGAAACCTCTATCAGTTTTCTTTCATATACTAGGTGTTTGATTTCAGGCATCTCAACGATTGGGTTTTGGTTTGTTTTGTTCAGAGTAATCCTAGTCTTTGAAATGACCACACCACTGACCAATTTGTAGCTCATGACCTCCTCCTGCACCATGAACCACCCAGCATATCCAGCTGAAATCCAAAATAATATAACCCCAACTCAACGTCAGTTTGTTCTCCCCACCCCTCGGGCTCAGGGACATTTGACAATGTGCAGGAGACATTTTTAGTTGTCACAACTGGGGACATGGTACTGGCTTCTAGTGGGAGAGGACAGGGAGGCTGCTAAACATTCTACAATGCATGGGATGGCCCCACAGCACAGAGCTCTCCAGCCCTAAAAGCTAACAGTGCCAAGGTGGGGAAACCCTCAGCAGGATGCAAAGATGCCTGGGCCGCATCGGCACCACTCAGCAGGAGGCTGTGACAGAGGAACCAGACAGCGGTCTTCACTCATTGTGCTTTTTTTTTTTTTTTTTTTGAGACAGAGTCTGGCTCTGTCGCCCAGGCTGGAGTGCAGTGGCGCGATCTCGGCTCACTGCAAGCTCCACCTCCTGGGTTCACGTCATTCTCCTGCCTCAGCCTCCCAAGCAGCTGGGACTACAGGCGCCCGCCACCACGCCCAGCTAATTTTTTGTATTTTTAGTAGAGACGGGGTTTCACCGTGTTAGCCAGGATGGTCTCGATCTCCTGACCTCGTGATCCGCCCGCCTCGGCCTCCCAAAGTGCTGGGATTACAGGCGTGAGCCACCGCACCCGGCCCATTGTGCTTAATATTTTATTTGTGCTAATTTTATACAAATATATGACCACAGAACTCAATGCTAAGGCCTCTCCAGCCGGATCTTTATTGGCCTCATGGTGAATCTGCCTCTATTGTCTGAAGTGGGGTGTGGAGCACAGTGTGCCCAGGCCAGGCCCATCACATCATGTCCTTTGGGCAGCCATCCCCTCTGCCCGTGGAGGACGCAAACTGGGGTGAAGAGAACGGAACGTGTGTAGAACCCGGTGCCAGCTAGGATCATTCACGACCGCTCGCTCATGGAGGCCTCACAGCTACCCTCATAGCAAGGAGGAGTTGTCGCCCCTGTTTCAGAGTTCAAGAATGAGAGACCTTGCCCAAGATCACAGTTCACAAAGAACGTGCCAGTCGGAGTCTGGGCCCGTCACACTAAAGCTGCACTTGTCACCAAGCAAGCCAGCAAGGCCCACAGGACCCCCCAAGACCCAAGCGCCCAGCGTCTGTTTCACAGCTGATGTGGGTGTTTTCCGTTTGTTTTTGTGTTCCTGAAACGTTAAGGGCTTTTTAAAAATTAAAAAAAAAAAAAAATGCCAATAAGCCGATAATTACTCTCAGTTATATAAATAAGTGATCATTCAACTTCCTATTTCGAGTACACTGTATTGGAAGCACAGTTAGACTATAAACCGTGTTCACACCTGCACTGGGAACAGAAGGGCCAGGAGGCCTTCCCCCTCCTCCTTTTTCCTCTCCTCCCCGCAGCTTTTTCTTGAAAGTGTTGAAGTCGTGGCTGCTGGGAACAGCCTTTTGCCTCGTGAACCCTGACCCTCTCATGGAACGAGTCCACGCCAGGGGGCCAGGAAAAGACTCTGGCGCAAATCCCAAATCGTATTTACATTTCTCAGAGATAACTCAGAAATCTGGACAGCAGGAGCCGGATGAAAACCCCGCTTGTCTCCGGATGGGAATTCTCACTGGGATCACACAGTGCATGCTGCCAAATCTCTGGGACATTGTCCATGAGGACATTAACGGCAGCCACCTCTCCCCGTCCTTAAGTTCCCGGACAGAGTGGAGCCCTCTGGCCTCCTGCCTCAGCAGTGTGGGGCTGGGCCTCCATCTTCTCCCCGGCGCTTCCCTCTGACCGTGCCAGTCCGGCAGCGCACAGCTGTCCAGGAGCACAGGCATGAGATCCGGAGCACAGGCATGAGATCCGGAGCACAGGCATGAGATCCGGAGCACAGGCATGAGATCCGGAGCACAGGCATGAGATCTGGAGCACAGGCATGAGATCTGGAGCACAGCCTCCCTGCCTGGGCGCATGAGGGCGGGGCCCCACCACTGTCTCATCAGAGACTATTAGGGAGTCAACTATCAGAGGTCCTCAAACTTGAGCTTGCATCAGAATCGACTGGAAAACTTCTTAAAACACATGGCTGGGCCCCACCCTAAAGCTGCCGATGAGATATGCTGCCGGTGGGACCTCAGTGTTCTCGTTTTTAAAACTTTCCAAGCATTGGAAACCACTGCCTACCTCCCAGGGTCCTTGGAAGGATTTGAGCTAATCCTTCAAGAGTCTACCCTGGTGCCTGACCCACATGGACCGACACTCAGTGAAGACATAGGAGCTGTTCTGGTGTCCCCAAACACCATCCTACTCACCCCCAACTGTCTGCCACACTAGACACTCCTGCTCCAGCACAGGCCTTAAAACTGAAAATCAAGTTAACCCCAGGCCAGGCATGCTGGCTCATGCCTGTAATTCCAGCACCTTGGGAGGCCAAGAAGGGAGGCTCACTTGAACCCAGGAGTTCAAAATCAGCCTGGGTAACCTAGCAAGACCCCCATCTTTACAAAAAAAAATTTTTTTTTTTTAATTAGCTGGGTGTGCACCTGTAGTACCAGCTACTCAGGAGGCTGACGCGGGAGGATCGCTTGAGCTGGGGAGTTTGAGGCTGCACTGAGCCATGATCACACCTCTGCATTCCAGCCTGGGTGACAGTGCAAGACTCTTGTCTTAAAAAGATAAAATCTGTAACTGGTTTGGTTTTCAAGGACAGGAAAACACATTCATTCATCTTTACTAAGTGCCAAATACTCTGAGAACTTGTCTGTATTTACTGATACTTTAAACTTGTAGTACTTAAAGTCAGTGGCTTTTAGAATTAGAGGGACCCTCAGACTCAGCTAGCCCACGCTCTTTCATTTCCCAGTGGGAAACCTGAGGTCCACGAAGGAATGATGCAGCTCATCTTCAGGCCACCAAACACAGGGAGGGACTCCCCACCCACCACATCAAACTCCCCAAGAGCTTTAGGCGAAGATTTAGCCATGTCAGGTTAAGATGTGGTCAGCGCTGCTTTCAGGGTCCCTGAGTGAAACGGTCAGGTACTATCACAAGCTTGCAGCATGCCAGAGATCACAGTCGGGAATAAAACTGGCAGAATGCTAAGGGAGTTCTGTCAGATAATGATTTAAAAGCTAAGTAAGGAGTGATTTGCTCTACTTTCAAGAGGAAGCTTAGGCCATTTTAGATCCAGATAATTAACAGCACGCTGACTTTAATGGTGGCCTCATTAAGTGTGTTATTACAGAGCACGGCCCTGATGTTATCTGTATAGCATTTTGAGTAAAATGTGATTGCTAGAGGCATTCAGACTAAACTTCATTACAGTCACTCACCCACTGTTGCTGCTATTGATTATAGTGAGAAAATTCGATGGAGTTAAAGCATTTCCAACAGCTCATCTAGCAATAACAGGAATCTTAGGAACCAGGCCCATCTCCAGTCATTGAAATGTCTCTTTCACTAGGCTGTGTTTGCATTGTCCTGTTATAAGTTTTAATAAATATCAAGTCTAATACCTGCTTTACAGGTCTAGTATCATCTCAGTGCCTGAAAACATTCAAGATGCTGTACTAAAGAACTGTGTGACTTTGTATACCTTCACTAGTTCCTTTATTGTGTTGTATGAATCACGGAGAAAAGGCTGCACTAATGTACCTAGAAGGGAAAAGGATTTTTTAAAACCACTATTACTTCCCATAGCAAATGCATACATTCATGCCTGAAGGTTTACTATCTAATCTTTGTTCAACAAAATCATGAAAAAGTTTATATTTACCTTTCAAAAATATTTGATATATTTAAGCTTTCTTGACAAAAAAAGATAACTTAAGTTTTCTTGACAAAGTTTACCGATGAAAATTGTGCGTGCTTAGCACGCTAGGCCCCAAACTCTTCCATTGTGCACTCCAAGTGAAACTTTTGAGTACCTCCAATGCGTAGTTAATACAGAACGCACCACGGTACTAATAGGGTATGTACGTTATAAAAACACAGAAGGTTTAAATGAGTAACCACAGTAATGATATCTAAGTCTTTTTGTTCACCAAGGTATTAATTTTAGAGAAAGCAATGATTGTTATACTTTGATATAACAATTTAAAATCTAGTTTTAAGTTTGGCACTTGATTTTAATAATTATCACAGCTAAAAGATTCCTAAATGATATGTTTAGAATTTGCTTCAAAAATCTCCAGCGAAAAAAGGGTGAGAATAGATGAAACAAGATTAGCAACGTGTCAGTACTAGCTCAAGCTGGGTGATGGGACAGAGGCCCACTACTGATTCTGTTATACTTTTGAGTATGACAGAAAACTTCCACTATGAGGGTTTTTTTTTTAAAGACCCCTTACAAAGATAGATGCGGACAGAAGCATATCTTTGGCTATGCTTCCCATCTAGCAAATGTGAAGTTTTTGTTGAAAAATCAACCAAAATTTTCCATCTTTCTTGGTATTCTGGTCATCTTTTGTTCTTGCCAAGTAATTAGAAGGGATTAACAAATAGATTCAAAGCCAACTGAGACTCTTCACAAGCATCTTAAATAGGTAAGAATATTCTATTTCCGAGTTTTTATGTTATTGATACCTTACAGGTCAATGTAGCTTTCACCTAAAATGGAAGCATATCCCAATGGACATCCTAAAGTAAGCTCATTCCTTACACTAATTTCAAAAAACAATTGTTTTCTCACATGTTAAAGTTTCTTCTTTTCCTGGAGATGGGTTCTTTAATGTCTTCTAGGTATGCTACTGATAGCCACTGGCATCGTAGGAAAATCAAGAAATTCAGAACTTTTTTTTTTTTTTGATACGGAGTCTCGCTCTTATTGCCCAGGCTGGAGTGCAATGGTGACATCTTGGCTCACTGCAAACTCCACCTCCTGGGCTCAAGCAATTCTCCTCCTCAGCCTCCTGAGTAGCTGGGATTACAGGCACCCACCACCACGCCTGGCTAATTTTTGTATTTTTAGTAGAGACGGGGTTTTACCATGTTGGCCAGGCTGGTCTCGAACTCCTGACCTCAGGTGATCCGCCCACCTCAGCCTCCCCAAGTGCTGGGATTACAGACCTGAGTGAGCCACCATGCCCCGCCTGGAACATTTTTTTAAAAGGAAAATGCATAACATTCTAGGACAGCCTGTGTAAATCTTGTTTCCCAAACCAGTGAATCTGTGAATTCCAATACACTAAATGTTTGAGATGACACAGATGAAGCCTCCCAAAAAGCCACTAAACAGGTCGCCAGGAAATGGGGGGTGGGGGGAGAAGGGTGCTTCGTGCTGGAGAAGGGTGAGAATAGGTTTGCAGCACCCTGGGCCTAAGTAAATACCTCATTCCAGAGAAACCAGGGCGACCCCGACAGGGACAGGGTGAAGACAGCGGAAATGGGTTAGGGACCTACGGACTACTGAGGATAAAGGGCCAGCCTTGGTAACTGACTGCTTAACGGGAATCTTCCTCACTACCCACTCATCCACAAAGGCCTCAGCCAAGTACCATCAAGAGCGCTTGCCAAAGCTTTGAAAACATCCCGTGTGCCTGCACCGCCATGTGAATTCTGCCTGGACAACAGCCTCAGGAGCCTGACAGTAGTTCTACTCCTAAGAGGCCTGACCCTCACCTGCAAAATGGGAAAATACTATTGTGTCGCCTCAGAGGCTTCCTGGAATGAGTCTATCTGTGGGAATAATTTGTTGTAAAACATGTTATTTGGGGGGTTGTTCAGTAAGATTGTCTCTTCACCCTATAGAAGCAGGAAGGTAAATTTTACAGGTCATTTTAAGGCTTATCAATACCTGAAAGCAATCTGGCACAAAGCCAAAACTGAGGAAATAATTCTCTAAGAAGACATCTGCTCCACCCTACAAAGACCTGGTCCAACTCCAGTCACCTGACACCACACCAGGGTCCTCACTTCAGGCTTTCATTTCACCCAGAGCCTTCGTTTGATGAAGTGGAAAACTAAGGAAGTGAGGAATTGGAATACCCAAGTTTACACACCACTTAGCATCTACTAAAATCTTAATCAGACTCTGACATTTAACTTGTGAAAGTCCGTTTAACACCTAACATGAGTTTATGTATAAAAAATTCAACAAATCTGACAGAATGAGAAGTGGAGGTGCTGGTTTCATGGGTAATTTGAGTTCTACAAGATGAATAAAAAAGTTCAGAGTTCCCTTTCCCAACTTTGTAGATACACTTAAGGCTACTGAGCTGTAAAGTTACAAATGGGTAATATGGTAAATTTTACGTATAGCACAATAAAAAAAGTACCTGCTATATTTTTAGTTTGAACCATGCAAAAGTGCCAATATTCAGCCATTTCTGCAGCATCACGTGATGACACTTGTACCCCTGAATACAAGCAGAACCTCACAGGCATCAAGCTTTCTGGCACAGACACCCCTCCTACTGAAATCCTCTGGCCCACACAGGACGCCACTGATAATGAAGACAGCTGCGCATCCGTGAATTTGGAATTTTGAAAAACATAACTGAAACAGAGTACTGTGAATATATACTTTTTATTTAGTCATTTTTGTTTACAATTGAAACTCTGGGAATTCAAAATTAACATCCTTGCCCGTGAGCTTCTTATAGACACCAGAAAAAGTTTCAACCTACAAGAAAAGAAAGAATTCATCACAGAACTTTGAAATACACACTCAGCTTAAAACCTAATAGTTTCGTGAAATTGTGCCCTGTATTGTTTTTCTCCTCAGCAACTAAGTACACACAACATGTCTGCAGCAGTCTTCACGACCGGGGACAAGCTCTTCTCCAATGCTGTGGGACAGAACTGTACACCACTGCACCGGGGAAGCCATCAGGGGACCCCAGCAGTCACCCACATGGTTATGTCCCCCCAAGACACTGATCCCATCACCACCCACCCCTAACTCACCAAGAATATACAGCCTAACTAAAAGACCACAGAAAGAGTCTACTTCCAAAAGGTACAGAGAATTTCAAGTGTTCAATTCTTGAAACATCTCCATTTAACACCTGACACATAATCCAAAGGAGAGCAGGCTGAAGTGCGGGTAAAAGAACTAGTCCTGAGTTTACTACAGTCATTGCTATGGTGGCGCATGGAGACTGGTTACACTAAAATCCACTCTCACTGTGGCTGAACCTTTCCATGATAAAATGTTGACCTATTACCTTGTGTTCCACATTGTTCTGCTGTGCTTTGTCCAAATGAACCTTTATGAGCCGGCTGCCATCTAGTTTGACGCGGATTCTCTTGCCCACAATTTCGCTTGGGAAGACCAAGTCCTCAAGGATGGCATCGTGCACAGCTGTCAGAGTACGGCTAAAAGAATAGTTTAAAAGGTAAGCAACCTAGCAACGCCTGCCCTCTGGGCAACTCCAGAGGGCACCTCTTTAAGTCAAAATGAAAATGCAAATCCCAGGTTCCTGAAGTCAAATTAACACTCATTTTCAAATAAGCTTGTTATATTTCACGTACCAAACTAAAGCCTTTGCCTACCTAGAATAGGGTAATAGCTTACTGATTTATTTCAAAAGCTCAGTCAATTTTAAATGTTACTCTGGGATAAACTACAAACTCACCAAGGCAATGAGTGACCATCTCTAGGGAATGTGAGATTAGAGGACTTTTATACATCTTTATTTTCACTTGTATTATTTCTCAACTAAATCACTACAATAACCTTTAACACTCTTGCTCATCTCCAAAACCACCCCCTTCCAATGTCAAGATAATCTTTCTAAAGCACGGATATGATCACATCATTTACTTAGCATCACAGAACTGCCAGTGGAATCTTGCTCCTCGTCTGAATATCACTACCAAGTTCAAAACCTACCTACCTGCCACCTAACAAATGAGAAGTTTCAATTAATTGCAAGCTTTTGGGGCAGCTACCATGTACCATGAGACATCAGGAGTAAGTCAAGAGACGGTTCTTTGTTTCAGCATTTAGGGAGCTGCCTTACATATGGTTATCTGTCTACGTCTCACCCCATAGTAGCTAACAATAACACTATAGTCTACTCATTTGGATTTCCTATCTGGCAGCGCCCATATACACAGTTAACATCTTCTGGTGGCTCTCAATTTTACTGCCAACATCTTAATATGTCACAGCCACAAAGGGCAAAAGCCTGAACAAAGTCCATTTCCCAAAACCCTCATCACCTTTCAGAAAGCAAATCAAGACAAACGGATTATTCATTGCGACTCATTAATTAAGCATATTCTTACAATACTAGGAAAGCACCCAAATACGGAAATTAGATTCCAATGTCATCTACAATCTTTTAAAATGGGGAGCAATGGCACCATAACTCAATCATCACAAACCACAGGGACTGGAGCGCTTTAGAGGAAAAACCCTGCTATACCCAAAAACTATCAATTTCAGCATTTAACCTGAGTTAGATAAAGATAGCTCTACTGAATAGGGAAAATAAATCTGAAAGCAGGAAGCCGGATTGGAAAAGTGGTAGAATCACTATGACCTACCAGCTAGGCTTAGTGTGAAGGCTTTCAATGTACAGACTAGGTCCCACTAGAAACACTGAAGCCATTGTCTGAGAAAATTTGGAAAACAGAGGTTTGTACTGAGGGAAACTAAAGCTATGGATTTGAGGGACAGTCCTCTGGGACTGTTCTTATACTCATTTCCTAACTGAGGTTCTCAGAACTGAGTTTCCAAAACCCTCTTTAAGTGTCATGATTTAGGGGAAAAAAATCCTAAATTCTTATGCCACTCTGCCTTTAAAAGTTTTTCAAAGTACTAAGCCATAGAATTCAAGTTCTAGAAAAGCTGGCACCTACCTTTCCACATACCACAGCTCGACACAATAACACATTACCAGACTCCCAACACTGTGTTCTAGTGGTTTTCAGAACAAGACCGAGTTAAAAAAAAAACATTCTTAGCACTACTAGTACTAGCTGCAATCAGCAAATTATCCCAGCCTTGGATCAGTTTCCTCATCCACTGAGAGTAACAATACAAATTAAACATGTTAGAGGGCACAGGCAACACTAGGATTTTTTTTTTCTTCAACTCATCCTTAGGGAAGAGTCCACAGGGATTTAATAGTTCACATTTGTAAAACAACATACTAATCAGAGACTAACAAAATACCAAAAGATCTAGTTCAAGAAGACAACTACCAATATTTGAGTTTATGCCAGATAACCTGTAAGTCAATCAAGTTCATAAATCATTTTCCATCAGCATCTTCAACTGCAGTGATATTTTAACCTGTGATGTTATCACCAAAATCCACCTACATTTTTTTACCTCCAATCCACAGCAAAAATAAAAATCAAAGATAAATCCAAGCCCATGTCAACTGTGTCTAGCATGCTATATCACAGAATTAAAGTAATGATTTCCTTCTCATCATTCCTATCCTGTGCACAAATAATCGGAGGAAATCATCTCATCTTGTGACAGCACTGACCTAGTAGGCAAACAATGGCTACATGAATACATGTATGTTTTACATCTAGAATTCTAAAACGTATCATGTGCAACTATACAGGAAACCAAATGCTGCTACTCAAAAATTCCCACTTGAACATCTGTTTTCATAAACTACAACTTAAACAAATTAAGAGTTGTTAATAAGAGGGGTACACACATTTCTGAAACTACTAAAATACTCACCTCCTGGGACGCTTTTGCTTATTTTTTGTACGGCTTTTTCGAGTTGGCTTAGGCAGAATTCTCCTCTGTAAGGTAAAAATTATCATGTAACAAAATGAAAAAAGACTTTAAATTGACAAAAAGCTGTAACTGCCATACTGCTTTAAAAGCAAGAAGAATGGCAGGGTAAGTTCAAAGTTCGAGAAGGCTAAACAACTTAGACGAACAATTGACTGAGCAAACCCTTCTATGGAGTTACTTCCTGATTCTTGAATAAATCATTCAGAATCCACAGCCTCTACTAATACGCCAGTGGACAAAATCTCCCAGATACGCCTTTCCCCATGCCTATGACCCAGAATACTACTTTTATTCCAGATCAATCCTGGCACTTCATTCCCCATAGACTTCAGTTTGCACCAATCCCCCATCCGAACTGTAACAGGTTTCTTCTTTTTTTGAGATGGAGTCTCGCTCTGTCGCCCAGGCTGAAGTTCAGTGGCGGGATCTCGGCTCACTGCAAGCTCCACCTCCCGGGTTCACGCGATTCTCCTGCCTCAGCCTCCCGAGTAGCTGGGACTACAGGCGCCCACCACCACGCCCAGCTAATTTTTTGTATTTTTTAGTACAGACGGGGTTTCACCGTGTCAGCCAGGATGGTCTCGATCTCCTGACCTCGTGATCCGCCTGCCTCAGCCTCCCAAAGTGCTGGGATTACAGGAGTGAGCCACAGGGCCCGGCCTGTAACAGGTTTCTTAGTTTGATCATCTATGTAAGCAACCCACTAGACTTGTGGAAATTTAAATATGGGAAATCATTTTCATAACTCAAAACACAGCAGTCTGTCACTTTACAGACTTCTTGTTTCGACTCTTAATTAAAGAACGTACTTTATCTTTCTTTTTAAAACTTATTTTTTCTATTTTTTGTAGACAGGGTCTTACCATGTTGCCCAGGCTGGTCTCTACAGTGATCCACCCGCCTCCACCTCCCCGTGCTGGGATTACAGGCCTAAGCCACGGCGCTCTGCCTGTACTTTATCTTTCTACCCAATTGGATTCATAAAAGGATTGTTTTCATGACTCCAACTACCAATGCAGTCTAAATACAAGCAATTTTAGCAAAATTCACAAACAGAAACGTGCTGCAACAGTAGAACAGATACCTGAGCGATAAAGACGACATGCTTCCCACTGAACTTTTTCTCCAATTCGCGTACTAGCCGGACTTGGATTTTCTGGAAAGATTTCAGTTGAGGAACGGGAACAAAGATTATGATAGCTTTCCGACCACCACCAACTTCAATTTCCTAAAGAAAAAAACAAAAATCCACTGTGTTAACTGCTTCAGAAAGTAAACGTTGTGGTCAAATTAGAGGATAAGAAGACCTTATCACTAACACCGTAGCTGCACTACAAACTAATACTAGTTTTGAGTTAATCATAAATGCATCCTTCGGAAATGTTCTCATCTCTCTCCAACCTTCACATTTCCTTATTCCAGGAAGGGAGACTGTTCAGGCCAGGAGGCCAATCACTACCACTTCTGCACCCCCACTTGCGGCAACTCCGGGCTAAGGGTAGAGAGAATCTCATCCTGAGCTCCCCACAGCTCTTTGCCGTATCTATAACTAAGTAAGGGCAAATAAGGTCCGAAATGGGCCCAGGCCCTCCCTACTCCACGTTTCTCCACCGCCCGCATGTGGACAGCTTAAGCCGCAGGGTACCTGCAACCCCACTCCCCGCACCTGGGCGGTATCACTCCCAAACAACACGGCCGAACCTGAGTTCAGGTTAGGCGGCCAGGCGGCAAGTCATCATCAACCGTAACCCAGGTCCAACCCTCTCAGGCACTGCGCGGGGAGACGCGCCGCAACCTCCCTCCCAGCCGAGGGAGCGCCAGCTTACCTTAGCTGCCGTAATATTCAGCTCCCTGAGCTGAGCCTTGAGGTCCGAGTTCATCTCCAGCTCCAGAAGAGCCTAAGAAGCAACGAACAGCAGGACCGACCCTGAGCGCGCGTCCGAGCACCCCGGGCCCAACACACGCGCGGCCGCCTCCCCTCCCGGGCGGGGCGCCTCCCCCCACCCCAGACCCCAGGGAAACCCTCTCACCTGGGAGATGCCGGACTCGAACTCGTCCGGCTTCTCGCCATTGGGCTTCACGATCTTGGCGCTCGAACTGAACATGGCTTTCTCCTGGGAGAACTGAAGGCACAGCGGTCAGCGTTACGCGGCCCGGGCTGCAGGCGCCGCTGGCTCGCCCTCCCGCCCGCACCCCCCGGCCAGGCCCCGCTCGCCCCGCAGAAGCCATCGGAAAGCACAGGGCGGGTAATCGGCTGTATCCCCACCCTGTGAGCAAGGCTCGCCCCTCCAGGGCCTGACTCCAAAAGGCGTTTTCCTCAACCCAAGAAGAAAAGTTCTGTCGGAGAGCAGGCCGCCAACCTACCTTGCCGAGCGCCGGCTTAGGAAGAGACCCAAATCTCGCGAGAGCACGTCAAAATCCGGCGTCCGAAGGCAAGAGGCGGAAACAGCGCGAGGAGGAGGGCGGAAACCGGAACATCACTGAGAAGCGGTAGGAGGCTAGAGAGTCCCAGGAAGCGGCTCTGGGGACGAGTGTCTTGGTAACGCTTTTCCGCCCTAGGATTCGTACTTTGGTGCCGTTTCCGAGCGTTCCGGTACCGGCTCCCAAGGTTCCCGTCTTCAGTGCAGGTTGCAGGCGGGAACCGGCCTCGTCCCAGCCCTGGGCCTGGGAGAGAGAAGGAGGCCGAAGAAAACCAACTTCGGCAACCTCCGGAGACAGGACGTTTAAAAAAGGCTAACTTGGCTGGGCGCTGAGGCTCACGCCTGTAATCCCAGCACTTTGGGAGGCCGAGGCAGGAGGATCACTTGAGCTCAGGAACCAGCCTGGGCAACATGGCGAGACCCCATGTCTACAAAAAAAAAAAAAAAAAAATTAGCCAGTCATGGTGGTGCGCGCCTGCAGTCCCAGCTACCCCGGAGGCCGACGCGGGAGGATCGCTGGAGCCGAAAGGTCGAGGCTGCCGTGAGCCGAGGTTGCACCACTGCACTCCAGCCTGGGCGACAGCGCAAGACCCTGTCTAAAAATAAATTTAAAAAAAATTGCGAGGCCTTCATTCTATGCTAGTACTGTACTAGGTGCTAATTATTAAGTAAAACCGACTGAACTCTTGCCCTCATGGAGCTTACAGTTCAGTGGAGAAGACATTACCTAAAGCAGTATGACTAAATATATAATGACATATTGTAATAACTTACATAACAGTACAATGAGAGGGTGGGGAGGGATTATTTATGCTTTAAGAAGTCGGGAATCCTGGAACGGAATGACATTAGACTGAGACACGGAAGAGCCGCAGGATCTATTGCTGGGGAAGAGCATTCCAGACAGGGAGGAACTCGTGCCGAATGATCCCGCTGTGGACAGGGAATTTAATCTGAGCTTCGGTTTCCTCTTCTGTCAAATGTCATGCAAGAGTTACTTTCAGCCGTGGTCCAGGCACTGTGAAAAATGCAGAAGCCACACTAGGTGCCCTCTCTCAGGATTCCCAACCACCTTTACCAAGCAGAGATGGTATTCATCCCACATTTTTAATGCTAGATATGCTCCCGCCCGGTGCTTCTCTAATAATGTTTTTTAAAAGGTAAGTGACTGTCTCCTTGGAAAATTAAGGATAACTTGAAGTTTCTTCCAGATAGAAAGTAAACTACAGCTGCGTCTACAATCTCATCTGGGCAGTCGTTCTGAGCCCTTTTGTCGAACTAGGTCCATTTCCTTACTCCACATGCACTTTTCGACCTGGCTTTTATCTCTGCTGCTCTATAAAAGTAGTAATCTAAAAGTTCATCCAGTAAAGCTTTTTCTCTGTGAACCTATCACTTGAGAACAAAAAAAATTAAAGTTATTTCTGGTTTCCAGTCCTTTGTTGAATAGGAGTGGTGAGCAAGGACATCCGTGCCTTGTTCTCCATCTTAGGGGAAAACCATTCAGTCTTTCACCATTAAGTATAATATTAGCTCTAGGATTTTGCAGGTATTTTTAATCAAATTCAGGAAGTTCCCTCTGTTTCTATTTCTGAGAGGTTTTTTTAAAATCATGGGCCGGGCACGGTGGCTCACGCCTGTAATCCCAGCACTTTGGGAGGCCGAGGCGGGTGGATCACGAGGTCAGGAGATCGAGACCATCCTGGCTAACACGGTGAAACCCCGTCTCTACTAAAAATACAAAAAATTAGCTGGGCGAGGTGGCGGGCGCCTGTAGTCCCAGCTACTCGGGAGGCTGAGGCAGGAGAATGGCGTGAACCGCCGGGGGCGGAGCCTGCAGTGAGCCGAGATCGAGCCATTGCACTCCAGCCTGGGTGACAGCGAGACTCCATCTCAAAAAAAATATATAAATAAAAAATAAAATAAAATCATGAATGGATGTTGGAGTATGTCAAATGCATTGTTTCTATGAACTAATATGATTATGTGAGTTTTTCTTTTTAGCTGTTAATGTGCTGTTAATATACATAAATGCTTTTCCTTTCTAACTCTTTAGCTTTGAGCCTCATGAGATCCTAAGAAATGTGATTTTTAAAACCTAGAACCTGATAGAAGTTGATAGAGGTTGCACATGTATTTTTAATAGGTAGTTTCAGGATCATAATCACAACTTAGAGGGTCATTCTACTAATTTTATGTTAGGAAATGCCTACTAATCATTACATTAGATTGTTTTCCTGGTTTTACTAGTACTAGCTTCTTTATTATTTAACCATACAATAAGTGAGTCGATAATACCAACATGATTGACAATGAACAGAAATATCATCTATGCAATCCACTTACTTTTAGAACACTTTGTTAACTCTTTTATGTATCATTATGGACATGGGACATTTCAGATTTGCTGTACATCAATCAGTCTCAGCCAATATTCTCCTTTGATCCTCAAATTGTCTCAGTTGTGACCAGGAGGGGCCCCTCTTAGATAAGCAGCCGAGTCTTGTCATTTCTATGAATGTCTGAACATCTTGTTTTCTGGCACAAGATATTCCAGGCTCCTCTTGTAATTTTCTGCCTGAGACATAGAATGAGCCTTTTCTCCTAGAAGTGCTGATACTTTTGTTTTTGTTTTTCTGGAAAAATAGTACTGGAGACCAGAATTTTGGCAGCAGGAGGCATCGTGGGGCTCCTCATAAGCCGTTTCAGCGGACAGAACTTAGAAAGATGGCATTTAAAATAATTTTTTCATAAAAGATACAAGTTCACATTGACATTCTCAATCCACTTCTAACAGAACAATTCCTTCTGAAATCCTCGATTCTATCATAGCATCTCCTTTTCTCCTGTAATAAAAACCTTGCTTCCTAAACACAAAAATACAATTACTTGCTTTATCTGACACTATGAGAAAATACATTCAAAATAACAATGCAGGTGGGCCGCAGTGGCTCACACCTGTAATCCCAGCACTTTGGGATAATCCACCCAGGGTGAGTGGATCACTTGAGGTCAGGAGATAAGCCTGGCCAACACAGGGAAACCCTGTCTCTACTAAAAATACAAAAATTAGCCAGGTGTGGTGCCACCCGCCTGTAATCCCAGCTACTCGGGAAGCTGAGGCAGGAGAATCGCTTGAACCTGGGTGACATGAACTCCTGACCTCATGTGATCTGCCCACCCTGGCATCCCGAAGTGCTGGGATTACAGGTGTGAGCCACCATGCTCAGCCCTTGTTGACTTTTGAATATGTGAAACACTCTGCTTCTGAAAGTCAAAGCCATCTAAGGAGGTCACTCCCTTGAGAAGGCCACACTCCACCGGCCCCTGCCTTCCCTCCTGCACCCAACCTTGCTTTCTGGTTCATGCTTCCTGGGTTTCTTTTTGCTTGAATGTATATTTTCTTACCTCTCCTTCATTCTTACACAAAAGCAGGATTTGATTTTTGCATTTTGTGTTCGCCTAAACATATTTCCTGGAAATCCCTCCATGTCAGTTCAGGAGACCTCCCTCATGCTTTTTCACCACGGCGTCGCTCTCCGCTGGGCTGTCAGACCACTTTCACCCAGCCCGTGTTCTGTGGAGACACTTGGACTGCATCCGAGTCATACTCAACATTTTGAAATTTTAAACAATGCCCCACAAATAAACTTAGGCATATGCGTTAGGATGCTTTTGGAGCAGCCCCTTTGGGATAAATTTCTAGAAGTGGGATCTCAGCCTCAAAAGGTAAAGGCATAAGTAATTTTGTTACGCATTGCCACCTTCCCTTAGAAAAGCGCTGTGCGTCATATGGGAATTCTTGTTTTCCCACAGCATTCCCAACAGAATGTGTCATCATACTTTTTAATTTGTTTCTATCTGACAGGTGAAAAATGAGACCGCAATGTAATTTAATTTGCATTCTCTAATTCAGAGTGAAGTTGGCATCCTTCCATGGGTTTCATACGTTCAAGGACCATTTTAAAGCGTTTTATACGTTTTTGTGTGATTGTTTTCTGCTCATATTTTAACCATTTTTCTTTTTTCTTTTCTTTTTCTTTTTTTTTTTTTTAGGTTGAGAGCAGAATTTTAATAGGCAAAAGAAAGAGAAGAGCTCTCTGCTGCAGACAGGAGTCCTGGAGAAATGGGTTGCCCTCTTTTTTCTTTTTCTTTTTTTGAGACAGTCTCTCACTGTCACCCAGGCTGGAATTCAGTGGCGCATTCGTACCTCGCTGCAGCCTCAACCTCCTAGGCTCAATCGATCCTCCCACCTCAGCCTCCCGAGTAGCTGGGACTATAGATATTTAACCATTTTTCTATTGAGATTTGGTCTTCTCCACCACCCACCACAGATTTTTGTAATTAGAGGTCATTTTTCCAAACAAATGATTCTTAAGGTCCTGCTGTCTCTGAATATTATTTTTATAGAACAAGCATAAGTATAATTGGATCAATCATCTAACCTTTCAGATCCTCAACTTAGTCTTCCATTAATGAGAGGATTAAATCCATTAGTTAAATGTTCTCTAAGAATCAGTGTGTCTCCAACTTCAGTGTACAAACAGCGGGTCACCCAGGGATCGCAGTGGGACGCAGACGCTGATTCCGCAGTTGTGGACTTGGTGGAGGTGGGCGCTGTCTCAGTCCATCTGGGCCGCTATACAGAGTGCCACAGACAGAGTGGCTTACGGACAACAGATGCTCATTTCTCACTCTCTGGAGACTGGAAGCCCAAGATCAAGGTGGCAGAAAATGCCGTGTCTGAAGAGGAACTGTTTCCTTGTTCACAGCCTCTTCTCACTGTGTCCTTGCAGAAGGGCTGAGGGAGCTCTCCAGGGGCCTCCTTCATAAGGGCACTCATGCCATCGTGGGACTCCACTCTCACGACCTCATCACCACCCAAAGACCATCACTTTGGGGGTTAGGATTTAACATGTGCACTTTGGGGGGACACACACATTCAGTCCACAGCAGCTCCAATATGTTGCATTTCTAATTAGCTCACAGGCAATGCTGATGATACTGGTCCAGGGACCACACTTCGAGTAGCAACAAACCAGATAGCCACAAAGAGGAATTAATAGATGTAGCATTAAGGAAGAAAGATTCCTTCCAGTGCCAAGGAAACTCATCACAGTACCTCCAATACCGTGTCATCCTGGAGGGACCACAAGACCCTGGATAGTTGGCCCAGGACAGAATACTGCTGGGGGTTTGGAGGGTGGCAGTTAAAAAGCCAAGATCTGTTTACCTGTTAAAATATATATTCTTGCCCTCTCCCTCTCCCTCTCCCTCTCCCTCTCCCCACGGTCTCCCTCTCCCTCTCTTTCCATGGTCTCCCTCTGATGCCTAGCCGAAGCTGGACTGTACTGCTGCCATCTCGGCTCACTGCAACCCCCCTGCCTGATTCTCCTGCCTCAGCCTGCCGAGCGCCTGCGATTGCAGGCACGCACCGCCACGCCTGACTGGTTTTTGTATTTTTTTGGTGGAGACGGGGTTTCGCTCTGTTGGCCGGGCTGGTCTCCAGCTCCTAGCCGCGAGTGATCCGCCAGCCTCGGCCTCCCGAGGTGCCGGGATTGCAGACGGAGTCTCGTTCACTCAGTGCTCAATGGTGCCCAGGCTGGAGTGCAGTGGCGTGATCTCGGCTCGCTACAACCACCTCCCAGCCGCCTGCCTTGGCCTCCCAAAGAGCCGAGATTGCAGCCTCTGCCCGGCCACCACCCCGTCTGGGAAGTGAGGAGCGTCTCTGCTTGGCCGCCCATCGTCTGCGATGTGAGGAGCCCCTCTGCCTGGCTGCCCAGTCTGGAAAGTGAGGAGCATCTCTGCCCGGCCACCATCCCATCTAGGAAGTGAGGAGCGCCTCTTCCCCGCCATCCAGCCCATCTAGGAAGTGAGGAGCGTCTCTGCCCAGCCGCCCATCGTCTGAGATGTGGGGAGCACCTCTGCCCCGCCGCCCCATCTGGGATGTGAGGAGCGCCTCTGCCCGGCCGCGACCCCGTCTGGGAGGTGAGGAGCGTCTCTGCCCGGCCGCCCCGTCTGAGAAGTGAGGAGACCCTCTGCCTGGCAACCGCCCCGTCTGAGAAGTGAGGAGCCCCTCCGTCCGGCAGCCACCCAGTCTGGGAAGTGAGGAGCGTCTCCGCCCGGCCAGCCGCCCCGTCAGGGAGGGAGGTGGGGGGTCAGCCCCCCGCCCGGCCAGCCGCCCCTTCTGGGAGGTGAGGGGCGCCTCTGCCCGGCCGCCCCTACTGGGAAGTGAGGAGCCCCTCTGGCCGGCCACCACCCCGTCTGGGAGGTGTACCCAACAGCTCATTGAGAACGGGCCATGATGACAATGGCGGTTTTGTGGAATAGAAAGGGGGGAAATGTGGGGAAAAGATTGAGAAATCGGATGGTTGCCATGTCTGTGTAGAAAGAAGTAGACATGGGAGACTTTTCATTTTGTTCTGTACTAAGAAAAATTCTTCTGCCTTGGGATCCTGTTGATCTGTGACCTTACCCCCAACCCTGTGCTCCCTGAAACATGTGCTGTGTCCACTCAGGGTTAAATGGATTAAGGGCGGTGCAAGATGTGCTTTGTTAAACAGATGCTTGAAGGCAGCAGGCTCGTTAAGGGTCATCACCACTCCCTAATCTCAAGTACCCAGGGACACAAACACTGGGGAAGGCCGCAGGGCCCTCTGCCTAGGAAAACCAGAGACCCTTGTTCACTTGTTTGTCTGCTGACCTTCCCTCCACTATTGTCCTGTGACCCTGCCAAATCCCCCTCTGCGAGAAACACCCAAGAATGATCAATAAAAAAATAAATAAATAAATAAAAACATTTAAAGAAAAAAATATATATATATTCTTTTCTTTATTAAAAATATATATATTTTATATATAATTTCTTCTCTATTATGTAGGATCCTGTGCCTGGAATGTATAATCTCTGTGCTGCAGAAAGCCTAGAGGTCAGATAGGTGAGGAGGCCACAGGCTTCAAAGTCATTCTTCCCCTCCGAATCTTAATGTTAATAACGGAGTGACAGAAGGAAAGTTACTAATGAGTCCTTGCATGTGAGATGAAGTTATGGACCTGTCTGCTCGATCAAGAATTAATGGATTGCATTTAACAGAAGGTCCTTTCTCTCCCCTCCACTTACAGCTGGCAGAGCCTTTATTATTATCATCGTCCGTGGACCAGTGCAAGTGAGATGAATATGCCAGGCTGTAATGAGAGTGAACTCCTGGGTTAGCACACGCTTAACTGAAGCAAGGTCACAGGCCTGCTCTGTAAAGTCAAGGCCACTTTTCCTGTATGGCAGTAAACCGTCTCTAGACATGGGCGACCTGTGGGTATATGGAAAGTAATTGCTCATATATTAATATTTAAAATATAGAAATATTTGCACTCGATTTTTATCATAAATTGATAATTTGCTTACCTTTGATAGATCTCATCAAAAGAAACACTATTCTTACCATTAATTGTCACAAAATATGTACAGGATGAAAAGAACACTGGTTCTTTTCATCCTCTATATGCCCGGATAATTTTTATATTTTTAGTAGACACAGGGTTTCACCATGTTGGCCAGACTGGTCTCGAACTCCTGCCCTCAGATGATCTGTCTGCCTTGGCCTCCCAAAGTGCTGGGATGACAGGTGTGAGCCACTGCACCTGGCCAGTTATCTCCATTTTTCACAGGAGAGAACAGAATTGGAGCAATGCAGCAGATGCACACAACCAGCAAACCTAGAGCTGGAATCCGAAGTCGATGCATGTGAACGTCCCAGCTCAGAGAGAGGCGGTGAGCAGGAGAGGACTGGGTGAAAATGGTTCGCACACACACCTTTGTCTTCATCATTTAGTCCTCCAGGGTGTCACATGGACTACGCCACTTGACCTCCACAGCAATTCTGTGGCATTTGTGCACCAGAAACTTTATCCCTGTTTTGCCAGCGAGGAAACTTAGGTTTGGAACGGGTAGATCACCGCACAAAGCCTTACTGTAAAGAGCGCCAGGCCTCAAACTTTTGCTGGCATTGTCCTTCACAGTTTACTTTAGGGCCTGTCATTTACTGGGGTGAAACACAAAAGTTTCTTGTCCCTGAAAGTCTGCAATTAAAGTGCCATTAGCACAGTAATGTACCAACCAGTCGTTCCTTGGGCCGCAAGGGGGCATGTCTACTGCTACTCAGTCTCAGTGGGTAAGCTGGAGAGTCCTCCCACAATGAGCAGATTCCGAGGCGGGTGTGTACATGGAAGGACTCACAGGGGTTGGGGAGGCAGCAGTGGCGTTCTGTCCGAGCCTGTTTGTGTTGCTATAAAGGAATACTCGAGGCTGGGTAACTTATGAAGAAAAGAGGTTTATTTGGCTCAAGGTTCTGCAGGCTGTACAAGAAACATGGCGCCAGCATCTGCTTCTGGTGAGGCCCTCAGGGAGCTTCCACTCATGGCAGAAGGGGAAGGGGAGCTGGCATCAGATGGCAAGAGAGGAAGGAAGAGAGGAGTGCGGGAGGTGCCAGGCTCGTTTCAACATCAGCTCTGGCAAAAACTAACAGAGCAAGAACTCACTCCTTCCCGAGGGGACAAGAGGATGGCACCAAGAGGCACATGACCCCAAGACTCCCAGTAGGCTCCACCACCAACACCAGGAATCAGATTTCAACATGAGATTTGGAGGGACCAGGTATCCAATCTATCCATCCACTCCAAGCATCCATTTGATACCCAGAATGCATTATTTCAGCACCCGTATCCATTCAACAAAACTATTTTAAATTATAATCATGTAATAGGAATAATCATCATTTTCCTAATTATTCTTCGGTTTCAAAACCAAAAATTGGCAGGTCATGGTGGCTCACACCTGCACTCCCAGCACTTTGGGAGGCCTCAGGTAGATCACCTAAGGTCAGGAGTTAGAGACCAGCCTGGCCAACATGGCGAAACCCCATCTCTACTAAAAATACGAAAATGAGCTGGGCGTGGTGGCGTGTGCTTGTAATCCCAGCTACTGGGGAGGCTGAGGCAGGAGAATCACTTGAACACGGGAGGTGGAGGTTGCAGTGAGCCGAGATCGCGCCACTGCACGCCAGCCTGGGTGACGAGAGTGAAACTCCATCTCAAAAAAAAAAAACCCAACAATTACACTTTTAAAAAACAATAAATTTCTTTCCTTTTTTTTTTTTTTTTTTTCTGAGACAAGATCTCACTCTGTCACCCAGGCTGGAGTACAGTAGTGCAGTCACGGCTCACTGCAGCCTTAGCCTCCCAGGCTTAAGCAATCCTCCACCTCAGCCTCCCAAGAAGTTGGGACCACAGGCACGCTTGGCTAATTTTTAAATTTTTTTGTAGAGACAGGATCTCACTATGTTGCCCAGGCTGGTCTCAAACTCCTGGCCTCGAGTAATCCTCCTCCGTTGACCTCCCAAAGCATGAGCCAACGTACCTGGCCAAAAAAAATAAATTTCAATTGTATTTTATTTATTTATTTATTTAATATTTTTTTGAGACAGAGTCTTATTCTGTCGCCCAGGCTGGAGTGCAGTGGCCCAATCTCGGCTCCCCGGGTTCTAGCGATTCTTCTGCCTCAGCCTCCTGAGTAGCTGGGACTACACGCCCGTGCCACCACGCCCAGCTAATTTTTGTATTGTTAGCAGAGACAGGTTTTCACCATATTGGCCAGGCTGGTCTCGAAATCCCGCCTCGGCCTCCCAAAGTGCTGGGATTACAGGCGTGAGCCACCACTCCTGGCTAAATTTCAATTTTAAAGACATTATTTGAATTCAGTAAAATGTGTAATATATGAGCTAAAATCCACACTATAACAAAAATATTTCAGCTTGCGGTTCCCACCGCCCTGTTTCACTGATTCAAATTTTAAGCACAAGTGATCACATGGAATGAAGTGAAGTAAAGCAAGTTCTCCTCGTTTGTCTTTATAGTCATAGTGCTACCACGGTTCACTTCAAACCTGCTGTTTACATGCAGGAGGTTGCAGTGCCCATCAGCTGGATCAAACTGTGCCTGAAGCTAGCACTCTGCTTCTGAACCAAATAAACTTCTTGTGGCTGAACGAAGACGTGTTGGAACCAAGTGCATAGCTGGGAGCCCTTGGGATTAACTCCCATGTAAGACATGTTTGTTAAAAGATTAGGGATAAAAATGGAATTATACACATATAATTACAAGAAAGTTTTTTTTCTGGGAAGAGTATTTATCACTGACAGTGTTTAGAATTCCCGGTGCTCAGTTATAATAACAGAGCACCCTGACTTTCAGTCGGCTTGATCAGTCTTTTTTTTTTTTTTTCGAGACGGAGTTTCACTCTCGTTGCCCAGGCTGGAGTGCAACGGCGCGATCTCGGCTCACCACAACCTCCGCCTCCCGGGTTCAAGCGATTCTCCTGCCTCAGCCTCCCGTGTAGCTGGGATTACAGGCACACGCCACCACACCTGGCTAATTTTGTATTTTTAGTAGAGATGGGGTTTCCCCATGTTGGTCAGGCTGGTCTCGAACTCCCAACCTCAGGTGAGGCTTGATCACTCTTTTAGGTTCTCTGTGGCTAAGGTGACGCCCACACCCGAATGAAGTTCCCCTTCCCCAGCCTCAGGCATCCATGGCAGGAGGTGAAGTTGTGGGGATTGTTGATAATGGATGGAATGTGAACGAGTTGCATCAGGAAATGCAGGCTGAGCACAGTGGCTCCCGCCTGTAATCCCAGCCCTTTGAGAGGTCAATACAGGAGGATTGCTTGAGGCCAGGAGTTTGATTCCAGCCTGAGCAATATAGTGAAACCTTGTCTCTACAAAGAATTTTTTTTCTTTTTTTTCAGAGACAGGGTCTCGCTCTGTTATCTAGACTGGAGTGCAGTAGTGTGATCATAGCTCCCTGTAACCTCAAAACATTTTTTTTTTTGAGACAGAGTTTCACTCTTTTTGCCCAGGCTGGAGTGCAGTGGTGTGATCTCAGCTCACTGCAAGCTACACCTCCCAGGTTCAAGCGATTCTCCTGCCTCACCCTCCCAAGTAGCTGGGATTAAAAGTGCCTGCCACCACGCCCGGCTAATTTTTTGTATTTTTAGTAGAGACGGGGGTTCACCATGTTGGCCAGGATGATCTCAATCTCTTGACCTCATGATCCACCCGCCTTGGCCTCCCAAAGTGCTGGGATTACAGGCATGAGCCGCCACACCCGGCCTCAAAACATGTTTTTTTTTTAATTATACAGGAGGCGCACACCTGTAATACCAGCTATTTTGGAGGTTGAGGTGGAAAGATGACTTGAGCCCAGGAGGTTGAGGCTGCAGTGCGCTATGATTGCGCCAATGCACTCCAGCCTCGGCGACAGAGCAAGACCCCGTCACAACAACAAAAAATGAGAAAATGGACATTTATGGCAAACTACTTCTGCCCCGAGATTTCCTGTGGGTTCTGCGTGATTGGCTCTCAGGGTGTGGGCAGCTAAGGTTCCAAAGTGTACTGTTTAATCCTAGCACAGCACAAATGGCTTGCAGGAGATAAGGCAGAATCTCATCAGCACATCAGGGTAAGCACCCAGCTATCATGGGCTAGACCCATGGAGAAGCCGTGCTCTGGGAACCCCCCTCCTCCTTCACTAGAGGCAATGAAATGAAGCAGTAGCTCCTGCTCTGACCTTACTGCTCCCAGAGTCCTTGTGGGTACTAGTTCCAGTCTCAGACTAACAGCCAGAAGATCTGCCATTGAAGTTTCAGTTCCAAAACTAATGCGATGACTTTGGGTAAGTCATAAAACCTCAAGGGTCAGTTTCTTCATCTGTTAAATAAAATCGACATCTGCCCTGCCAGCCTCACAGGGTTGTTTTAAGAAGGAGATGGAATAACAGAAATGAAGGAGGGAGGCCGGCTGCTACCACAGGGCAGGGACTATCACCCACTGTGGCCTCCAACCTGATGGTGCCTCAGAGTCAGCTGGGGCTGCCCAAACACAAACCGCCGGGCTCCACCCCCAGGGATTCCCATGCTGAGGTCCGGGTTGAGGCCCAGAATTTCCATGTCTAATGAGTGCCCAGGTGGTGCTTTTGCTGCTGATCCAAGGACCACACTTTGAAAACCATGACTTAGGTTTAGGAGGACGGGCTCTGGAGGCAGGTTTGAGTCCTGGCTGTACCACTTCCTGTCTACATGTCTGAGGACAAGTGACTTAATCTTTACATTTCAGCTTTCTCAGCTATAGACAATATAATATTGAGAGTGCAAATTAGTTCAACCATTGCGGAAAGCAGCATAGTGATTCTGCAAAGAACTTAAAACAGAACTACCATGCAACCCAGCAATCCCATGACTGGGTATATACCCAGAGGAATCTAAATCGTTCTACCATAAAGACACATGCAGGTGTATGTTCACCACAACACTATTCATGATAGCAAAGATGTGGAATCAACATAAATGCCCATCCACAGTAGACTTGACAAAGCAAATGTGGTACATTTACATCGTGGAATACCATGAAGCCATAAAAAAGGAACGAGATCATGTCCTTTGCAGCACTATGGATAGAGGTGGAGGCAAGCTAAGGCAGAAACAGAAAACCAAACACCGCGTGTTCTCACTTATAAGTGGGAGCTCCACAGCGAGAACACAGGGATATTAGGAGGGGAACGGTGGGCAACGGGGCCTACCTGAGGGTGGAGGATGGGAGGAGGGAGAAGATCCGAAAAAATACCCATCGGGTACTAGGCTTATTCCTCAGTGATGAAATTATCTGTACACCCATCCCCCATGACATGAGTTTACTCATGAAACAAACCTGCACATGGACCCTCAAACCTAAAATAAAAGTTAACAAAAAATTTTCCTGACCAACCTCTTCAGGAAGAGGGGCAATCCTCGTGTCACAAGCAATGCCAATAAAGAACAGGAACGCCACCTTTTTCAACTCCTGAGAGATGAATCCAACGTCTGACCCTGCATTGCATGCACTCTCGCCCACGTCGGCTCTCATCCCCACACTCCTCGTTCCTGTCACCGGCCTATGCTGTAAACACCCTAGCAGTCACAATCAGTCACTTATCTGTCTTATGGGTCTATTATTTCATTCTCTGTCCTGCAACCGAAGCTCTGCGTTGTCTTACCCATGTTTAGAACAGCTCCGTTCAATGATGAGAGTCACACAAGCCATCTAAACTTTTCTGGTGGTCACATTAGAAAAGTAAAACAGCAAGAAATAGTTTTATTATTATTATTAAGATGGAGTCTCACTCTGTCACCCAGGCTGGAGTGCAGTGGGACAATCTCGGCTCACTGTAACCTACACCTCCCGGGTTCAAACGATTCTCCTGCCTCAGCCTCCCAAGTAGTTGGGATTACAGGCACTCACCACCACACCCGGCTGATTTTTGTATTTTTAGTAGAAATGGGGTTTCACCATGTTGGCCAGGCTCATCTCGAACTCCAGACCTCAGGTGATCCACCCGCCTCAGCCTCCCAAAGTGCTGGGGTTACAGGCATGAGCCACTGTGCCTAGCCACTAATTTTAAATGTATTTCTTTAACCCAATATATTCAAAATATTATCAGTTCAACCTGTAATCAATATACAAAATTAACAATGTGTTTTAATTTTTTTGGCAGTAATGAATGCCATGTTGGCTTTTATTATTTTTTTTTTCTAATTTTAAGTTCCAGGATACAAGTGCAGAACATGTAGGTGCTATATAGATAAACATGTGTCATGGTGGTTTGCTGCACCCATCAACCTGTTGTCTAGGTTTTAAGCCCTGCGTGCATTAGCTATTTGTCCTACTGCTCTGCCTCCCCTCGACCCCCACCCCTCTTAAAATTCTTTTTATTTTTCACACTGAGTCTTCAAAGTCCGGTGTGTATCATACAGCACATCTCAATAGCCACATGCAGGCAGGGCGCGGTGGCTCACGCCTCTAATCCCAACACTTTGGGAGGTCGAGGTGGGCATTGGACGATGCAGGTCTGGACAAGTGCCTGGTATATTGTGGGCACAATTCTTGAATGGACCCTGAGAAATAAGCAGAAATGGTTTTGTTATTCCTAATTTACAGAGTATAATAGATAATGGCAATAGTGACTTTTATTTGAGTTTATGTCATGTGTCAGGAATAGGCTATGCATACATTTATTATTTCATCTAAAATCTCATCCTCAAAACAAAAGCCTTTTGCAGTGGGAATTATCACTCCCATTTTTTTTTTTCAGTAGAGAAAATTAAGTTTCAAAGGAGCTAAGTGACTGAGACCACATATACACTCATCTTCTGATTTCTGATCCAGTGTTTGCTCAGGATAAGAAATGTCCTATATTTCTATGAGCCAGAGATTAAGATAAAAAAAGATTTTCAGGAGTAACCAGTCAATGAAAAGTCAAAATAAATAGTTTTGGCAGCCGGGCGTGGTGGCTCATGCCTGTAATTCCAACACTTTGGGAGGCCGAGGTGGGCAAATCACTTGAGGTCAGGAGTTCAAGACCAGCCTCACCAACATGGTGAAAACTTGTCTCTAAAAATACAAAAATCAGCTGGGCGTGGTGGCGCATGCCTGTAATCCCAGCTACTCGGGAGGCTGAGGCAGGAGAATCGCTTGAACCCAGGAGGCAGAGGTTGCAGTGAGCCAAGATCATGCCACTGCACTCTAGCCTGGGCGTTGGAGTAGGACCCGGAAAAAAAAGAAAAGAAAATAAAGAAAGAAGAAAAGGAAAGAAAAGAAAGAAACAAGAAAAGAAAGAAAGAAAGGAGAAAGAAAAGAGAACAAAGGAAGAAAAGACGAAAGAAGGAAAGAAGAAGGAAGGAAGGAAGGAAGGAAGGAAGGAAGGAAGGAAGGAAGGAAGAAGGAAGAGAGAGGGTTTTGGCACTGTGGAAAGTCATGTGGATGATCCTGCAAGCGTCCTCAGGTAATTCCAACCTAGGACTTCTCAGGGAAGATGAGTCCTTGTGATACAGGACCAGCCAGTGGGCACAGAAAAGCAAGCCCTTGGTAGGTCAACCCTCAGATATGCTGACGAGGTGGGGGCAGCTGTCAGGTCATCCTGAGAGCCTTCCCGGGCATCTCTGGGCTTCCTCAGATATCTACACAAGGGTAGGATGATCAGTCATAAATGGACTTTAGGGACAGCTGTGTGTGTCTTTTTATTTTAAAATAAGAATCCGTCTTGAAGTGCAATAGGTAGGAATGAGGAATGAAAGCTATGGCCAATTTAAATTAAAATTAGGAAAGCTGAAATGTTTAAAATTGATGTTCTTTGGCCAGGCACAGTGGCTAATGCCTGTAATCCTAGCACTTTGGGAGGCTGAGGCAGGCGGATCACTTGAGGTCAGGAGTTCGCAACCAGCCGGGCCAACATGGTGAAACTCTGTTTCTACTAAAAATACATAAAAATTAGCCAGGCGTGATGGCGGGCGCCTGTAATCCCAGCTACTTGGGAGGCTGAGGCAGGAGAAATGCTTGAACCCGGGAGGTGGAGGTTGCAGTGAGCCCCAATCGTGCATCGTGCCACTGCACTCCAGCCTGGGCGACACAGCAAGACTCTGTTTAAAAAAAAAAAAAAAAAAAAAAAAAGATGTTCTTCGATTTCACAGAGGAACACAACTTACCACGCCAATGTACGCGTCGCTTTTGCCTGGGCCGTTCCTTCTTCCTAGAATGTCCTGCTTCTTTCTCTTTGTCTAACTCATGTGAATGAACTTTTTAAAAAATTAGTATCCTTCAAAACTGTATTTGCTCAGGCGTTCTGATGTGAGGCCCTCCTGACTCTCCAGGTGCGGGTGCTTCTCTGCTCTGTGTCTCTCACCTCCAACAGCTTGTTCTGCCTGCGCACTATTTGCTGATGTGTTATCTCCGGGGATTCTCGAATTTCTCACCTTCATCCCCAAGGCCTGACAAAATACATGGCAGGTGTGCAAAAGGCTTGTTAGAAGACCTTAAGAAAATTAAAGAAAAGTGGTTTAAAAATAATTCGAATAACAATGTTTGCCAATGGAGACTTTTTTTTTTTTTTTGAGACGGAATCACGCTCTGTCGCCCAGATGCAACCTCCACCTCTCGAGTTCGAGCGCCTCTCCTGCTTCAGCCTCCTGAGTAGCTGGGATTACAGGCGCAGGCGACCACGCCCGGCTAATTTTTGTATTTTTAGTAGAGACAGGGTTTCATCATATTGGCCAGGATGGTCTCGATCTCCTGACCTGGTGATCCACCCGCCTTGGCCTCCCAAAGTGCTGAGATTACAGGCGTAAGCCACCACGCCCCTCCAACCCATGAACACTTTTAAAATTACTTGATTTGCTTACAGAGCAAAAGGTCAAATGGGGAGAATTCTAAAAGTTACCTTCTCAACTCAGTTTTCTCCCGGGTCGTGGTGCTTGAGGCACTGGATATCCCCTGGTTAAACACCCACGTGCAGTGGAGCAGGGAGGGGACGCGCCCCTTCGGGGGTGGGCGCCCAAGGCAAGGGGAGGAATGCGGCTTCCACGGCCTCCCCTCTCGCCCTCCTTTGTGCTTATTCTAATTCATGAATTCTAACATCTTTCTGCCCACTAAAAAATGTGCATTCATTCATCTGGCCACAGCCCTTACTGTAGATCCGCATCCCTGGAGCTCTCGAGGAGCCGCGGTTACCGCACGTGGGTGCCGGGCGCCAGGGGGTTCAAGGGCTTCCCGCGGTGACCCGAGCACGCCGGGGCGTGGCCCCCGAACTGCGGCCTGGGGGCGGGGAGAGAAGGGGCCCAACATGGTCCATCTCGACCTTCCTCTGCCGGGCCCAGGGCTTCAGCCCCGCTCCCATAGGCCCCGCCCCATCCCAGACCTCGCCCGCCTTCGGGATCTCAGCCCTGGCTCCGCTTCTTCAAGTACCGACAGGAAGTTGACGAGTTCGGGCTCGTCAGGGGCCGAGCTCCGGGCTCCGCCCTACGACACCGCCCCTCCCTAGGCCCCGGCCCTCATCAGGACTCCGCCCAGACGTGCGTCATCTTCCCGCGCCGGTGACGGAAGTGCGGTGTTGAGCGCCGGCGGCTCGCGCCCACGCTGGGCCGGGAGTCGAAATGCTTCCCGGTGCCGGGAGTGAGCGATGAGCTGGCTTCTGTTCCTGGCCCACAGAGTCGCCTTGGCCGCCTTGCCCTGCCGCCGCGGCTCTCGCGGGTTCGGGATGTTCTATGCCGTGAGGAGGGGCCGCAAGACCGGGGTCTTTCTGACCTGGTGAGTGGCCCGCCCGCCGAGGCGCCTCCCTGCCGGCATCGGGGTCGAGGGAGGCCGGAGCCCGGCTAACCCCGGCGGCGGGAGCCTGGCGGTCCGAGTCTGTGCCGCGCGCTGTGGCTGTGGGTGGTCGGGGGACCGCCTCGTTTTCCTGCTCGGCCGGCGGGGTTCCAGGAGGCTCATGGCCTGGGACTGGAACGCACCGAAGACTTGTTTGAAATATCAGAAACGTCGCGTAAAGGTTAGGGGTGGCCTAATAAACCCTGTGTTTAATCCTCCATCTTTGTTGCAGTTAAAGTGCAACAAAAAGTGACACGTAATCAGAACGAACCCCCGTTACCAGAAGACTTTCCGTACCAGCTAAATTGGGATTGGAACTCAGTACCTAATCTTCCCTTTTAAAAAAGGCAAATTCTAATAAGCCAGTATTTGCAGTTGGATCCTTGTAACAACCCTTGGAGGTGAGAGGGATTATTCTCACTTTCAGGTATAGTTCTTGGGGTCAGGAAGTTCCCAGGGCATGTAACTGACAGAGAAAGGACTTGAGCCCAGCTGTTCTGACTGTACCACCAGAACTCTTCCCACTACAAGATACCAAAGTTCGTTACCTGTGTTTCCCCATGCACGGCAGCTACAGTATTGAGGAAGAAGCATCTCAGAAGTTGACCTTTTTGTTGTAAAGAAATGGTTAATATTTTTTTCAAAGACCGCAGTATTTTGTTATGCTTTGAGTTTGACGAAAGCCTTATGGTGCTGGTGTGCTGGCTGGCTGGCATACAGTAGAACACAGGTGTAGAGTCTGACGTGCAGGATAAAACTATAAGGTGCGACTCTGCCCTTTTCACGCAAAAATTGGTCCTCTATATCCAGTTTGCATCCTCAGTTTCAGCTAACCATAGATCAAAAATATTTGGAAAAAATTAAAATAGAATACAGTTTTAAAATACGCATAAAAAGACAATACAACTATATAGATTGTATTAGGTATTATAAACTAGAGATGATTTAAAGCATGCAAGAAGATGTGTGTGGGTTATTTGCAAATACACCATTTTATGCAAAGGACTTAAGCATCCTCTGATGTTGGTATCTGTGATGGGGTGGAGGACTTCCTGGAATCAGTCTCCCTCAGATACCAAGGGACAACTGTATTTCCAACCTTAAGAATCTCAATAAAAAAGGGGATAAGTTAGAGAAGGAAGAAGGAAATAACATTGCACATCTTTTCCAGGAATGAGTGCAGAGCACAGGTGGACCGGTTTCCTGCTGCCAGATTTAAGAAGTTTGCCACAGAGGATGAGGCCTGGGCCTTTGTCAGGAAATCTGCAAGCCCGGAAGTTTCAGAAGGTAGTCACCTCTCATATCAGTGTGACATTTTAACCTATTCAAAGGCTTTCATATGCCAGATGGCATTTGATCTATATAGCTACCCTCTAGGCATGTAGGGAACCTCGTGTGATTGTTTTCATTTTACAAATTAGGGAACAGACTGAAAGCAGTTACAAATAGTGGTTCATATTACTTACAGTATTAGGGATAAGCCAGGACTCAGCTCTCCTGTTCCATTCAGCCTTTTATGCCATAATTCCTTGTCTTTTTTTAAAAAAATACTTGTCCAGCCTGGCCAACATGATGAAACTCCATCTCTACTAAAATACAAAAATTAGCTGGGCATGGTGGCGCACACCTGTAATCCCAGCTACTCGGGAGGCTGAGGTGGGAGAATTGCTTGAGCCCGAGAAGTGGAGGCTACAGTGAGCCGAGATTGCACCACTGCACTCCAGCCTGGGTGACAGGGCAAGACTCGTCAAAAAAAAAAAAAAAAAACTTACATAGTTATTGGACTGGATGGGCTACAGTTTACAGGAATGAGTGTGGTTCTTTCCATGGCATGCCCCTTTGTGGTGTTGCCTTTTTATTGAGAACAGAGTCACACAATCTGAATTTCTTCTTTTTTTTTTTCCTTGAGACAGAGTCTCTGTTGCGCAGGCTGGAGTGCAGTGGCACAATCTTGGCTCACTGCAGTCTCTGCCTCCTGCGTTCAAGCGATTCTCCTGCTTCAGCTTCCGGAGTAGCTGGGATTACAGGTGCGTGCCACCACGCCCGGCTAATTTTTGTATTTTTTTTAGTAGAGATGGGATTTCACCATATTGGCCAGGCTGGTCTTAAACACCTGACCTCAAATGATTCACCTGCTTTGGCCTCCCAAAGTGTTAGGATTCCAGGCATGAGCCACCACGCCTGTCCAATTTCTTCCAATTTTATGTGTTATAGAAAGTACGGTTATTCAAAGTTTAAAGCCCAATATAAGATTAATTCCCAATATAATTGGAAGTTTAAAGCCCATTATGCAGACTCAGATGAGCAGGGTGACGACTTTAGAGCGCAAGATTTTAAAAATATTTCTGGATCTACACTGAGGAGGTGATCTTACGTGAATGTTACTTACAAACTTTTTACTATAGCAAATTAAGACTGAGCAGAGCATAGTTTTAATTACCTTATCTTGAACAGCCTCTCTAGAGGCCACTGAGATGCTTGAACCTGAACAACTGCTCCTTCGAATCATCGTAACAATCCTGGACAAAGCACAATTCAGAGCGAGGCAGGTTGTGTCCAGAATGGATCCCTGAAGAGTTAGTTTGCAAAGCAGGGTCGACCCTCACTCAGTGCATCTGCTTCACCCTCTCTCTCTTCAATAGCTTTTAAAGGAGATTCTGTTTGAGAATGAGGACACGTGAAAAAGGCTCATCGATGTGACAGTTCTTACTGCTTACTGCATGACAGCCAATAAGCTGAGAGACAAGGTGTTGGGGCAAGGAAGGCGACTTTTTTCCGAGAGCCAGCAAGTCAAGAAGATGGTGGACTAGTGTCCTGAAGAACCATCTTAAGTTAATAGAACTTGAGACTTCTTTTATGTTAAGGGAAGGGGAAAGAAAGGCGGAGGTGAGATCAGGAGGAGACCGATGAGCACAGACATCTGGATGGCAGCGAGGGTCCAAGGGGATTGTGAAACTTCTCTGTCCTTGGTCAGGCCATGATGCTCCTCCTATAAGTCTTCAACATAACATTGTTATTTGTGTGTACTCCCTCTTTATCTCCTTGGGGGTTAGTTTTGGGAACGGACCACTGTCATCCTTGCTTTAAACTATAAATTCTTCCCATAGTTCACTCGGCCTATACGATACCACTATGGGGATGTTAAGGGAGAATGGAGGCAGTAATGCTGAGCCGCCTCCTCGCTGTTACAGCTGTTCATTTTTCTACCCAGATGGAAAAATCAGTTTGAGACAGAAAGCAGGTTTGAAAATATGGCTTTTTCCTTCTTTGCTGGGTTCCTGATACTTCCTTTTCTTAATTTTCCTTTTCAGTTTTCCTTTTCACAAATTTTTTGTTTTTAACCAATCAGTAATTTATTTGTATCTCAAGTCTTCCAATATAAGTATGTTTCTGTTTTTATTAAGTACTCTGACTCTTAAAGCAAGCTAGTTCTTTTGAATCTACTTCTTTAAACTTTAGAGACCTCCTAGTCAGTGACTTACGTCTATAAATTGAGATTTAGTGCCTTTAATGATTCAGATCTGTATCAAAAAGTCTTAGCCCCTTTTACAGTTTTTTGTTTTTTAACATTACATTTATCCTTATTTTAGAATTATTGAGCTATTTACTGGTTCTTATGGTTTATATAAGCTGATTTAAGGTTAATTTACTTAAAAACCACAATTTTGTGAAGTAAAACTTAACTGACAAGTGTGTTTTTTTCCTCCAAGTCTTATCTGTTCTGTAAAGTGTCCATCTCTGTTATAGTAAGTAAAACCAGTGTTTATATCCGTGTTAAGGTTCTACAAAATGACACTTTAACCTGGACCACAGTATCTGCATTTACTTCAGTAGAGTACCTAGAGGAACGTTTTGGAGATGAGTGTGTGAAAACAAAATGTGGCAGTGGAAACGCCAGCTGTTGCTGACGTCGTGCTGATCACAGTCAAGTGTTGCCCGGCGCCCTTAGGGTTCCGAGAGGTGTGGGTTGAGAAGCTCCACTAGGCTGGACATTTTCTTGTTCCTTTCTAGTAGGCGTTCTGTGATGTTCGTGCCCCATTTCTCCATCCCTGGTTTAGGAGTTGAGAGCTGGAGGTGAATCCTGTAGTGTTGGGTTAGGGTTGTTAGTTTGCAGGTAGTTGGTTGCTCCTGTGTCCTTATTTTCACTCCATGTAAGGAAAAGTCGTTTGAGATCATCTAGCCCAGGGCCTCGTTTTACAGAAGCCCAGAGGGTTTAATTCAGTTGACGGAGTTCGCAGCTGATAAAAGGTATAGCACAAATTGAAACTGGTTTTTTGAGTCCTGGTCTAATTTAGCTGTTCTACTTCAGCTGCCATAGTATTACCCAGTGAGTGAGATATGGGCCCTTCCCAGATAACCCTGAGGTGGTATTAAGAATCTCTTTGGGGCCGGGCGCAGCGGCTCACGCCTGTAATCCCAGCACTGTGGGAGGTCAGGGCAGTGGATCACAAGGTCAGGAGTTCAAGACCAGCCTGGCCAAAATGGTGAAACCCCCATCTCTACTAAAAATACAAAAAAATTAGCTGGGTGTGGTGGTGGGTGCCTGTAATCCCAGCTACTTGGGAGGCTGTGGCAGAGAACTGCTTGAACCAGGGAGGTGGAAGTTGCAGTGAGCCACGATCGCGCCACTGTACTCCAGCTTGGGCACAGAGCAAGACTCTGTCTCAAAAAAAAAAAACTATTTGGGATTAACCTTGAGGTCCCCCTGAAGAAAAACTTCGTTGCAGAAGAAAAACTTTGTTGCAAAAGAAAAGCTGCAAGAGTACTGACCCTGAAGGGACCCAGTTGCTTCCTTTTAGTTTCTGGTTTCTGTTTCCTTTTTTTTTTTGAGACAGAGTCTCACTCTCTCGCCCAGGCTGGAGTGCAGTGGCGCGATCTCCGCTCACTGTAAGCTCCACCTCCTGGGTTCACACCATTCTCCTGCCTCAGCCTCCTGAGTAGCTGGGATTACAGGTGCCCGCCATCACGCCTGGCTAATTTTTGTATTTTTAGTAGAGACAGGGTTTCACCATGTTGACCAGGCTGGTCTTGAACTCCTGAGCTCAAATGATCTGCCCGCCTCGGCTTCCCAGCCCTGTTTTCCTTTCTTAATATGTCCCATTATCTGTTTATTCAAGCTAGATGAACCTGCACCCTCTGAGCCCTCCTAGGGGTTCTTAACTTCGTGTCCATGTAGTTGTATTTGAGGCAGGGAGAGGCTGAACCATGGACACAACTCATCTTTTTTTAGATTTATCTATTTTTAAGCAAAGGGGTCTCACTATGTTGGCCGGGTTGGATTCAAACCCGGGCTCAAGCGATACTCGTATGTCAGCCTCCCGAGTAGCTGGAACTATAGGCACACACCACTGCGCCCAGCAACACCACTGATGTTATATACACAATTTTGGGCCATGTTTTTCCTGGAGAAAGAGCCCCTTGAGATGCTGTGGAGGGGATTGAGATGCTGTGGAGGGGGTGGAGGTGGTGTGGAGGGGAGGGGGTGGTGGTGGTGTGGAGGGGAGGGGGTGGTGGTGGTGTGGAGGGGAGGGGGTGGAGGTGGTGTGGAGGGGGTGGAGGTGGTGTGGAGGGGGTGGAGATGGCGTGGAGGGGGTGGAGATGGCGTGGAGGGGGTCATTCCCTCGTTTCCCTCGTTGTAGGGCCACATAGAGAGGGTGTTTTTAAGTCTGATTTAATGATACTAAATAATTTACTGAATGTCTTCATTCTCTAGCATTTCGTGTTATGTTCATTGTTTCCAGCTCACGAGTGGACTCTTGTCTTTCAGGGCATGAAAATCAACATGGACAAGAATCGGAGGCGAAAGCCAGCAAGCGACTCCGTGAGCCACTGGATGGAGATGGACATGAAAGCGCAGAGCCGTATGCAAAGCACATGAAGCCGAGCGTGGAGCCGGCGCCTCCAGTTAGCAGAGACACGTTTTCCTACATGGGTACATCTTCCTTGGGTTTTCAGATTTTAATACCACAGTCAGGAAAATGTTATGTGTAAAAGGTGTTTCCCACTTGATGGGGGGAGTTTGAGCTGGTGTTTATCATCTTCATTCTTATGTGTAAAGATTATTTAGAAATCACTAAGGCCATTATTTATAATCAAGTAGTGCAGAATTAAACTTTTGGATGTTCTTAGGAAAACCCTTACATGTAAATGAACAACTGTAATCTTTTGAAATACTAGTATTCCCTGTGCATGCAGTACTTAACGTTAAGATGAAATGCGAAGACTCCAGCTTTTTCAAATAACACCTCACACGCAGCTGCTTGTTATAATTGATTAGCACCAGCATTTTAACCTTTCATATTCAATCTTTGGAAAACAAGAGATTCTATTTTATCCTGAGAAGCAAGGTAGTAGTGAACTTTTCTGCTACCTTTCACTCCAGGAATCAGTTATGTATTTAGTGACTCACAGAATAGAATTCTCCTTTGTGTCTTTTACACATATGAGCAGAAAGTAGAAATAAGCATTAAAAAATATAAATCAGTATATTTATAGGTTCTAATTTAATTCAAGGGAAACCAGTAGAAAATGTTTTGCCAAGCTGTATTATTTATAGATATGTTTTGCAGTTACGTAAAAAAAGATCAAACAAGTATTCTTTATTTGGTGATTTACTAGTAGGAATTGAAGCAAAGATTTGTGGAGTTGCAGGGAGATGAGCCGTTTCCAGACACTGACCATTGCTGGAGGCTTGGTGGCCTGGAACATGGCGGATAGCAGGTGCTGGCTCCTGAGACAGTTCAGTGGCTGGGTGGGAAGCTTGTAGTCATGCTGATACAGTTAAGTTCCAGCTGAACGGAGGAGCCCTGCCCAACACCCACACTCCCCTTGGCTCTCAGCCCCGCTCCTGTGAGGAGCACATCCCCATCTTTGCCCCTTCGCCACTGCTGAGCTCAGTCTGCCGTCCTTCGGACAAGTACTTCCACTTCCTGCGCGTACCACCTCTATTTGCCCTCTCGCCCAGCTCTTTTAACACTGTGCAACCTGACCTCTGATCCCACCACACTACTGAAGTGTCCTGGTCACCAGTGGCCTGAGAATGCCCCCGTCAGTCCTTTTTTACCTTGTTCTTTACAGCCTTTGTGTGTCAATCATACCCTCTATCTAGAGGGAAAGAAGCAAAGACGGGAACCACACTTAACTAGCAGCAAATATGCCAGGGAAGAAATTAGACCAGCACTGGTCAGGAGACTGGGCCCTCTGGCAGGCAGGGTCACCGTCATGCTGAGGCGCTGCTCGTCTCTGGAGGATGGCTCCCTGGGAGTGAAGGTGACCCTGCCGTGGAGACAGCGCCATTGTCCTCTGAACCCACAGTGTGGGATGTGAACAGTAGTTTTTACTGCAGCAGGCTCTAGTTTTACAAGGTGATTGCCTTCACCCCGAACTTGCCTGGCCTGCAAGATCAAAATGTAAGTGGATTCCAAGCATAAATGTTAGGTGCCCCCTTGTAAGGAATGGAGCATGTTTTCCTAGAGAGAAAACGTCTGCAGCGTTGTAAAATACCCTCTCGGTTTAAAATGCTAAGTCGACCTAGTGGATTTTTGAGGTGAATTTCAGTTTTTAGTAAGGTCAGCCCAGCAGCATGTACTTCCTTTTCCCACAGGAGACTTCGTCGTCGTCTACACTGATGGCTGCTGCTCCAGTAATGGGCGTAGAAGGCCGCGAGCAGGAATCGGCGTTTACTGGGGGCCAGGCCATCCTTTGTAAGTTAAACGAAGCTGAGTTTTACTGAATCATGTTCCACAACTTGTGAAAAGATGAGGCGGGATCTGCTCATTGTTTGATTATTGGGAAAACCTGCAGATAAGTAGCTCTGGCAGGGGTGGCAGAGGAGCAGCTTTGGTTCGTGTTGGGGCTAAGCGGCATTGCTTTTCAGAACGTGAGGTACCTCAGCTTTACTTCCTTTGCTTTTTTTTTTTTTTTTTTTTTTTTTAAGACACGGTCTCACACTGTTGCCCAGGATGGAGTACAGTGGCACAAACACAGCTCACTGCAGACTTCACCTTCTGGGCTCAAGCGATCCTCCCACCTTGGCCTCCCAAACTGTTGGGATTATGGGTGTGAGCCACTGCACCTGGCTTTGGTGTTTCTTTCTTGCCCTGGGGAGGAGTCTTTTTTTTTTTTTTTCCTGAGACGGAGTCTCACTCTATCGCCCAGGCTAGAGTGCAGTGGCGCGATCTCGGCTCACTGCAAGCTCCACTTCCCAGGTTCACGCCATTCTCCTTCCTCACCCTCCCGAGTAGCTGGGACTACAGGCACCTGCCACCAGGCCCAGCTAATTTTTTGTATTTTTAGTAGAGACGGGGTTTCACCGTGTTAGCCAGGATGGTCTCGATCTTCTGACCTCGTGATCCGCCCACCTCGGCCTCCCAAGAGGAGTCCTTTTTTCAGTAGAGATGAAGTCTCACTATGTTGCCCAGGCTGGGCTCAAATTTCTGGGCTCATGCGATCCTCCCACCTTGTCCTCCCAAAGTGCCGAGATCACAGGTGTGAGCCACCACCCCTGGCCCAAAAATTGCTCATTCTTTTAGGAAACTCTGGATCTCCTGGTGACCCCAAATTTTAAATAACTTGTCTAAGGGTTTTTCTGGTTCCTTGATTTCATTTTCCTCTTTTACTTCCTGGAGGTTTTTAGTAGTTTCAATCTGAAGTCTCACTCTCTCCATTCTTCTTCCCGAGTTTTCTCCTGGGATTCTTTCTGCTGCAGCCATAGGGCCTAACCCAGGGTCCGCAGAGAACCAGCTTTTACTTCCTTTGCCCTAGTGGAACCCATGAGAGTCAGAAGGTGCCCAAGTGTGGAAACCTGTGTGCTGCTCTCTGCTGGGAGTCTGTTAGTTTGATTTTTATATGATGCTTTTATATTTCAAATAAGAATACACACTAGTTTATCGTTATCCATTAAGAAGAATCACTTTGAGAATTCACTTTATACTTTTATTTTCTTTTGTACTGTTTTGAAACAGAAATGTAGGCATTAGACTTCCTGGGCGGCAGACAAACCAAAGAGCGGAAATTCATGTAAGTTATCAGATACGTTTAAGCCTCTCTTTTTTGAGCATTGAGTATGAAATTATCAAATAAACTAATTCTTTTTTTTTCTACCTATACATATAAGATATTTGAAGAGAGACGGGTTTAATAACAATTTTGAAAAATAGGAATTTTGTAGAAAAATTCTAAAAACTTATTTCAAATAGATGTCTACACAGGAGAATTGTATGTATAGTAGTGTTTCATACAGAGAATATAATCAGTACAGAGGGGATGTTTCAATTTCGAAGTACTTTTGAACTTTAGTAATGTCAGAGTTGAACATTTTCTGTAGCATGACTATCGACTTGTCTTTTCAAGGCAGCCTGCAAAGCCATTGAACAAGCAAAGACTCAAAACATCAATAAACTGGTTCTGTATACAGACAGTATGTTTACGATAAATGGTAAGCTTTCACATTTGATTTCTTCTGTTTTTCCAGTAACTGTGAAGGGAAATTGGTAGGAGGTGTTGTAACAGGGCAGGACCCAAATGGGAACGGGGGGATGACATTGGTTTGTCAGGTACCGAGCAAAGAGTGAGGATTTTGGAGTCTCCCTTCTGCTGCTCTGATGTTTTCCACATGCTTATTTCTTTGCCAGGCACTGGAGATGCAGTCAGAAGTGGAAGTGGCTCTTACTTCTAGTCTGTGTGTGTATAAGTCACTTAAGATGGCGTGTTGACTGCTTCTTTGGGAAATGCCCTGAATAGGAGCATGTAGGGGATGCTTACGAGGCTGGGGAAGGCTCCTGGGAGAAATGACATCTTAAGCTGACAGCTGTAGGTAGAATACAAGTTAGGGGAAAGGGAAGAGAGGAGGGTATTTCAGGCTGTGCCAAAGGCCAAAGCAACTAAGGCCAGCTAAGGAAGTGAAGAGTCAAGGATGGTGACTCAGAATACAAGTGGGATCAATTATAAGAGGTAAGACTAAGGAGGTGAAAAAGGCAGGACACTCAAGATTGACTCACCAGTGATCGTGCATTTTTGTAGGTATAACTAACTGGGTTCAAGGTTGGAAGAAAAATGGGTGGAAGACAAGTGCAGGGAAAGAGGTGATCAACAAAGAGGACTTTGTGGCACTGGAGAGGCTTACCCAGGGGATGGACATTCAGTGGGTGAGTATCTTAAATGTTCATGTCCTATGGCCATTATGACCAAATAAGCTAAGTTTACTAGAGATTAATGGTTTATGTAAGTGGTTTAATGACATAACAATTTCCATGATATTAATATCATAATGTATATTACAACGTATTTGAGGCTGGGCGTAGTGGCTCACGCCTATAATCCCAGCACTTTGGGAGGCTGAGGTGGGTGGATCACGAGGTCAGGAGTTCAAGACCAGCCTGGCCAGTATGGTGAAACCCCATCTTTATTAAAAAATACAAAAATTAGCCGGGCATGGTGGTGTGTGCCTGTAGTCCCAGCTACTCAGGAGGCTGAGGCAGGAGAATCACTTGAACCCAGGAGGCGGAAGTTGCAGTGAGCTGAGATCGCGCCACTGCACTCCAGCCTGAGCAACGATATGAGACTCCAAGACCCCGTCTCAAAAAAAAAAAAAAAATATGTGAGCCTGGGCTCAGTGGTTCACATCTGTAACCCAGCACTTTAGGAGGCCCAAATGGCCTGACTACTTAAGCCAAGAAGTTCGAGACCAGCCTGGATAACATGGGGAGACTCTGTTTCTCGAAAAAATAAAAAATTAGCCAGGGGTAGTGGCACATGCCTGTAGTCTAGTTACTCAGGACACTGAGGTGGGAGGATGACTTGAGCTGGGGAGGTCGAGGTTGCAGTGAGCCAAGATTGTACCACTGTACTCTAGCCTGGGCGACAGAGTGAGACCCTGTCTCAGAAAAACAAAACAAACCCACCCACATACACAAATTTGATTATTTTCCTTATCATACAAGTAATACAGTTTTTTGGTTTGGTTTTTGAGACAGGTCTCACTCTGTCACCCCAGGCTATGGCGTGATCTCATTGCAACCTCTGCCTTCTGGGTTCAAGTGATTCTCGTGCCTCAGCCTCCCAAGTATCTGGGATTACAGGCATATGCCACCACGCCTGGCTAATTTTTGTATTTTTAGTAGCGATGGAGTTTTGTCATGTTACCCAGGCTGGTCTTGAACTCTTGATCTCAAACATTCCACCTGCCTTGGCCTCTCAAAGTGCTGGGATTACATTTGTTTTGTGTCACTTCCTATATGTTTTTGTTTTATGACAAAAAGGTTTACAACTAAATCAATAATCATGTCAAACTTTTTTTTATTGTTTTGAGATGGAGTCTCGCACTGTTGCCCAGGCTGGAGTGCAGTGGCGCAATCTCGGCTCGCTGCAACCACAAGTAATACAATTCTAGTGAGAGTGTCACTAGGCATAGAATACACAGGCAGTGTGGTTTGAGGGATGTTCTACAATCCTTATATTTTGTTAAGAACACGAAGTAACACCCAACCTGGGCACATGGCATTACTATGACAGCTGTATGTCACCCTGTTCATTTCTTTGGAATGCATCATAATGTTAAATAAAACTATCAGTGTATTTTGTTTCAAACAATAGTAAGGTTGTATGATTAAAGCCTTGGTAATAGAACTTTTATTCCAAGATGGAAGCACTTTTTAAAATCATAGATCATGTTTATTAAAAAGTTTTTTTCAAGCAATAGAGAACAAATTACACTGCAGCCACTGTCTCAACCCTGCCTTGTTCTGCCTTCCTGGAACCACTGATAATAGTTTGGTAGCCTGATGTGTAAATTTGCTTTGGCAACATAAATGTAAACAGTGGTTAAATAAGTACATTATTTCTGACAGCACTGCAAGGGAAGCGTGTGTGTGTGTTGCATACATATCCGTCCACCCATCTGTACATACATGTGTTTTGCCTGGAAAGCTTATCAAGTCCCATTGATAAGTGGGGAGGAAATAGCAACATGAACGGTAAAATCCAATTTGTGAAAAAACAAAATGGAATGTTCGTAAATCACATCCATTGCGTAAACGCATGAAGAATGGACAGCGTGCTGTTGAGGATCATGTCTGGGGAGAGGAGCGTTGAAGTTGAGCTTATGCTGTGCAGTCTGTTCTGAATGGTTTTTTATGATGACAATATAGTCATGTGTTGCTTATGTAAAGATGAGTAAAAATAAAAGGAAAACATTTATCTTAACAGATGCATGTTCCTGGTCATTCGGGATTTATAGGCAATGAAGAAGCTGACAGATTAGCCAGAGAAGGAGCTAAACAATCGGAAGACTGAGCCATGTGACTTTAGTCCTTGGGAGAACTTGAGCCAGCGGCTGTCTTGCTGCCTGTACTTACTGGTGTGGAAAATAGCCTGCAGGTAGGACCATTGCAGTGATGGGCAGATGCGTCTTTCACACGGAATCAGGCACAGTGGCCTTCTGTGACATGTGTTTATAAAAAATGGTTAAGTATATAATAAATTGAACATCTTTGAGATTGGAGAATTATGTGAGATTTCCACATTATGTTTACTGGGTTCAATACTGTCCTTGCTTGTTTTATTGCAGGCAAGCAAGGCAAATGGCCTAAAATGCTGTGGCTTATATTTTGATAAGAAATCAAAAAACCATTGGTTAAAAGATGCAACTCAGAAGTCTGGAAGTATTCTGAAAGCATCCATTTACCGTCCAGTTGACAGGTTTGAGTCTCCTGCTTGTATAGGTGACTTGTGCCCATGGGTACATTAAAGGAACATGCTGCCCAGGGCCTGGGCGGACAGCTCAGTGGGCAGGATGTGTGCTGGGTCTCAGCCCCATGTGCCTGCTTGCTGGGCAGTTAGTATAGGGCAAAGCCTGCCTGCGGCGACCCTGGCTGCTAGGCCATTCTCTAGGAACAGCTGCGACTCATAAAGACCAAGAAGCATAAATAAACTTTCAAAAATTTATTTGGCTCTTTCGTTAAAAACTGTGCAAATTAAAAAAAAAAAAAAAAAAGTAAGACACCGGCTGGGCACAGTGGCTCACTTCTGTAATCCTAGCACTTTGGGAGGCCAAGGCGGGCAGATCACTTGAGGTCAGGAGTTTGAGACCAGCTTGGCCAACATGACGAAACCCTGTCTCTACTAAAATTACAAAAATTATCCAGGTGTGGTGGCACGGGCTTGTAGTCCCAGCTACTTGGGAGGCTGAGGCACAAGAATCACTTGAACCCAGGCGGCAGAGGTTGCAGTGAGCCAAGATTGCACCACTGCACTCCATCCTGGGCAACAGAGTGAGACTCTGTCTCAAAAAAAAAAAAAAGTAGTAAAAGTTTGACATGATTATTTATTTAGTTTTAAACCTTTTTATTATAAAAACATACAGGAAGTGACACAAAACAAATGTATAGCTTATTGAATGATTATGATTGTAAGGTGAATAACCTTTGTGTCCACCACCTGGTGAAGAAATAGTACTTTGCCAGATACCCCAGGAGGCTCTCCCAAGTGCCCCTCCAGCCACAGCCCTCTTCTTCTCCCCCTCCTTGCCCCAACAAGTAATCCTGACTTTTACAGAAATGACTTTCTTGGTTTTTTGATGGCAGTTTAGTCTTGTCTGCTTTTTTTTGTTTATTTTTTTATCTACTTCAGTGTCCATTTGCAGTCCCGTCGGCCTCACTGTTTTCCCTGCCGTTTATCTGTTGAAGAGCCTGGGCTGTTTGTCCCATGGCTTCCCACAGTGTAGATTTTGCTGACCACGTGGTCATGGTGTAGTTCAGCATGGTCCTCTATGTTTCCTGCACATTGGCAGCTGGGTCCAGAGGCTTGATGAGCCTCAAATTTGATCCCTTTGGCAGGAGAACAGGCGGTTAGGAGCTTTCCTCAGGAAAGTACCATGTTGACGGCAGCTGATGCTCAGTGCCAAGATCCATTAATTATTTGGGGTTGCAAAATGGTGGTATTCTCATTCTGTCGTTTTGCTTGCCTTTATTAGCTGGAATGGTTTTCTAAGAAAGTGTTTTCTTTTTTATACTTATCTGGTTACCCAGTGGTACAGTTCATATAGGAAGGGCAGGATAAATGCTTGATTCTTTGCTCTTGTACACTAAGTTTTTAAGATAATGCATTAGTTGTCTGTCAAGGAAGGTGAGTGGTGAAGGGTTTTTACATATATACAAGAATTCATGGGCTGGGCATGGTGTCTTATGCCTGTAATCCCAGCACTTTGGGAGGCTGAGGCTGGAGGATCACATGAACCCAGGAGTTTGAGACTAGTCTGGGCAACATAGTGACACCCTGTCTCTACAGAAAATTAAAATAAAATCAGGTGGGTGTGGTAGTGCCTGCCTGTTGTCCCAGCTATTCTGGAGGCTGAGATGGGAGGATCGCTTGGGCCCAGGAGGTCGAGGATGCGTGAGCTGTGACCATGCCACCACATTCCAGCCTGGGCGACAGCAAGTCCTTGTCTTAAAAAAAAAAAAGAATTTGTGGAGTTAAGCATACTTGGTGGGTTTCAATCCGTTGTGATTTTTATCTTTATTTAGCTCAGACTAGCTTATTCGGTCAGTGAGAGGGAGCCTCTTCAGCTTGGCTCTTGCTTTCTTTTGATAAGTGTGCACATGTGTGCATACATGTGTGCACAGACCACACGCACAGTCATTGATAGCTCCCTGCAGCCTGGCATGTCAAGATGCTCTAGGCCCAATTTATAGAGCTTCTGCTCCAAACCTGTCTTAAAAGAAAAACTTTAGACAAGTTAGCAGTTTAATTGAGCAGAAAATAGTTTCTTCAGCTGGGTAGCACTCAGGACCAAAAGTGGTTCAGAACGTTCTCCTGTGCGTTGTGTGCAGGCTGTATTTATTTATAGCCACAGGAAGGGAAAGACACATGTACATGGCCAGACTGACTGCAGGTCAGCCTCCACCTCACATAGGCATGTTTTGGGAGCCTTCAGCATGTGATTGGTGAGACTCTGCTGCTTGTTACAGAAGTGTACTCTCAAGTCAGGTCCCAGTTTGCTTATACATTAAGTGAGGTTATAAGTCACTATGTACAGAGGCAGTTTTAGGCCAAACTTAATTCCGTTTAACACTTGGAATCCATTATTTTTCCCAGAGTCTCTGGTAGAGATGGTATTTCAGATCCAGTTTAGGATGCTCATTGCTATTGCGTTGGTCATTATTTCTAGATTTTTGGACGGAGCTTTAAAAAAATACAAACATTGCACACACATATTTAAAGGAAGAATATTTTCTGAGCCTATATTGATATTCCCAATACAAATTCAGGGTCCTGGGGCCTTTACATAGCCTCCTCTATATGATGTCTGTGTCTCCTGCACTCGGAATCCTGCTTCTCAAGACACAGGACAATGGCATGGAATATCCATCCCTTAATCACTCACTTGTTTTATTCCTCTTTAGCATTTAGCATTTAAAAAAAATACTAATACCATAGCATTAATTGTGATGATGAAAACAGCACTGTGTCTACGTTGTCAGAAAAATTGCTCCTTTTTACCACCATTGACTCATTTCTGTGTGTTCAGGTCTCATAACCAGTCTATAGTCAGTGTCATCTTGGGGACAGTATTCCTTGAGTTTCTGATGTTGAATTCAGTTTTGCTGGATACGAAATTCTTGGCCCAGATTTTCTTTGAGTATCTTGTTTTATTCTGTTTTCTTCCAGCATAAAGTGATGCATGAAAAGCCTGATGAATCTTGTTTTCTTCCCCTGACAGTCATATGCTGTTTTTCCTTAGATGCCCAAAGGATTTTTTCCTTTTTCTGTCAAGTCGGCCGTTTTATTCGAATGTGTCATGTGTTGGTATTGGTTGTCCTGGTCCATATTTGCAAGCGTATGGTGTGCTCTTTCTATGTGTACTTCATATCTGTTATTTTAAGAAGATTTGCTTGAACTGGAGTTTAGTGTTACATTTTTCTTGCTTTGGCTTTTTTCTGTGGGGATCCCTGTTATCTGTATGTTGAAATCTAAATTGGCTGTTCTCAGTGTTTGCCACTGTCTCTTGAATCTCTTTTATCTCTTTCTTTGTTTCTTTTTGAGTTTTAAAAGTTGTTATTGTACCACTTTTGTTTTGTTTTGTTATTTAAAATAGGAACAGTGTCTCACTGTGTTGCCCAGGCTGGTCTTAAACTCCTGGCCTCAAGCGATCCTCCTTCCTTGGCCTCCCAAAGTGCTGGGATTACAGGTGTGAGCCACCAAAGCCGGCCCCACCTTGCTTTTTAAAACAGCTCTGTTGAGGTGTAACTGACAGGTAATGAACTGCACATACGTGAAGTGACCGATGCATTTGCCTGTGAAGCTGTCGCCAGAACATGTCCATCACCACCAACAGCAGTTTCACACCCCGGTCTAAACCGTCCCTCGTGTCCTCCATGTTCAGGCAACCACTGGTCTGCTCCCTCTCACTAAAGGTTAATTTATATATTCTAGAATTTTATCTGAGTGGAATCGCAGAGCAAGTACTGTGGGGGGAGGTGCTTCTACTCAGCATAATTATTTTGGCATTCACCCATTTTGTGTACATCAATAATCCACATTTTGTATTGCATGGATATACCACAGTTTATTTATTTACCTGTTGACCGATATTTCGATTATTTCCAATTTCTAAATAAAAATAAAGCAAATAAAGCTGCCGTGAACATTTATATCCTCGTCTTTGTCTTCTGTTTCTCTTGGGTAAATGCCTTGGAATGGAATGCTTGGTCATATGGCAGGTGTGTGCTCTTTTTTTCTTTTTTTTTTTTTGGAGATGGAGCCTCACTCTGTCACCCAGGCTGGAGTGCAGTGGCGTGATCTTGGCTCACTGTAAGCTCTGCCTCCCGGGTTCACACCATTCTCCTGCCTCAGCCTCCCGAGTAGCTGGGACTACAGGTGCCCGCCACTACACCCGGCTAATTTTTTTGTATTTTTAGTAGAGGTGGGGTTTCACTGTGTTAGTCAGGATGGTCTCAATCTCCTGACCTCGTGATCCGCCTGCCTCGGCCTCCCAAAGTGCTGGGATTACAGTGTGAGCCCAGCCAGCTGGTGTGTGCTTTTTAAGAAACTGTGAAACTTTTCCAAGTGTGAACTTTACACTTTACATTCCCTCCAGTCAGGCAGGAGAGTTCCAGTTCACTCCACATCCTTGTCAACACTTGTCACCTCATTCTGTTACAAATGTCCATAAGTTTTTTGGTTTTGCTGTTTAGTAGTTCTGTTTTTAGGTGGGGATTTGAGAAGATTCAAAAAGCATGCTCCTGCTGCTGCCTCTGTCTTCTGAGAATCTGTGATTTAAAAAAAAAAAAATTGAACCAGAATTGGAAATAGATGAAAAGTTGTGCCTTTAGAAACTTTACGGTCTGTGGGATTTTCACAACACAGATGATGTTGGCTGGGCGCAGTGGCTCACGCCTGTAGTCCCAGCACTTTGGGAAGCTGAAGCAAGTGGATCACGAGGTCAGGCGTTCAAGACCAGGCTGACCAAGATGGTAAAACCCCATCTCTACTAAAAATACAAAAATTACCCAGGCGCGGTGGCAGGTGCCTGTAATCCCAGCTACTCGGGAGGCTGAGGCAGGAGAATTGCTTGAACCCAGGCGGCAGAGGTTGCAGTGAGCCAAGATTGTGCCACTGCACTCCAGCCTGGGCAATAGAGTGAGACTCTGTCTCAAAACAAAAAACAAAAGTGATGTCAGTACAGCAGAAAGTGCATGAAGCCGGAGGGAAGGAAAGGTCCAACCACTTTTAAAGAGGAATCTTAAATTTTTAGGGGGCAATTTTTTTTTTATTAAAAGAAAATATATTACTGAGAATCAAAAAATCAGCTGCATTTTTTATATCTTTAGAAACTTAACAATGATATATAATTGCATCTTCATCAGCTCCAAATCAAAATATTTGAGTGACTGTCATATCAGATTGTGCTACATATTGTGGAATATATAAGCTTTCAACTGGTGCTGCTTTAATAGGATGTTCGTGCCGCACAAATAGAGGCCGTTGAAGAAATGTTCTTTGTGCAGAACTCCCCTCCTGGTGTCTGCCGGTACTGGAGCGTCACGGTGTCACCCCATTGCTGAAGCCTGAAGGTAGCCACTCTGCCATCTTGTAGGACAGGCACAAAAGTGCACGAAGCCGGAGGTCAAACAAAACGAGAAAGAAAAAGCCCTCCTGGCTGGTGGACAGCTTGGGTAACTGTAAATAGGAACCAATGAAAGCTGCACTCCTGATTTCAGGTGATGTTCATTTCAAGTTGAGCAAGTCTGGGCCACAGATGCTGTGGCTGAAAAGGAGGGCCTCGGGGTAGATTTCTGGTCTTTTTCCTAATTCTAATATTCTAGTAGTTCTGGAGCAAGAAGGAATAGGTCACTCAACTAAAGCCCCTTTTTTAATAACGTGATGAGCTGACATTCAGAACTCAGGATGTCATCAGAACAAAACACGTAGCAATGATCGTGGTGGTCGTGGTTCCTCAGTTCGTAAACACTCAGGGGTAACATGGGGAGGGCCGGCTGCATCTGCCTGCATTGTGTCTCCTGGCACACAGAAGGCGTTGACTATGCTGGCCAGCTCGTTCAAGCAGCTTTGGTTCTTAATTGCCCATTGAGAGACAGGAATTGGCACAAGGTGACTCTGATATTGTGTTGACATAAGTATTTGTCAAAGAACAACTTTCATCAAAATACGCCCCCAAATTAAGATTCTTTGGTGATACGGGAAGCCGCCAGTATATGGTGGTAGGGTTTTGGACAAAGACAAATATGAATGAAGTGGGAAACAGGGCAAGTGGACCGCTGTCTCTGCCCGCAGCTGACAGAGCTGTTCTCTAAACCTAAATATGCACAGATTCGTGTATATTAAAAGCAGTACCTCAACAGTAAACAAGGGTCTTTAACCTAGGATTTAACATCCAGCAATCATGAAAGAAGACTACGTATAAATAAAAAGGTTTTGAAGAGCCATAAGCAAAAACAAACTAGGAAAAGAAGTTGCAACTCATATCACAAAGGACTAATTTCCCTAATATATAAGAACTAGAAATTGAAAAAAAACTAACAACTCAGAAGAATGGATTGGCCAAATTGTTTACAGAAAAAGAAATACTCATGGCCCTTTAGGAATGAAAAGATGCTCGGCTTTACTCACGAGAGAATGCAGATTAAAACACCAAGACATCATTTCTCTGTATGATATTAGCAACAGTGCATATGTTGCTGAGGCTGCCTGGAAACGTGTGCTCACCTGTGTTGGTGCTGAGTGCGGATGGGCACCACTCAACACCAGACAGAGGCGTGGCCCACTCTCAGAATTACAAATGCTTTGATGTTTAATCCACCAGTCCCCACTCTGCAGATTGTATGCTGTAGATACACCTTGCACACATAAAAATAAAAGATGACCAGGTTTTTAATATCAGAGAACTGGAAACTATACTGGGACCTGAAGCGGCCGTGGAATAAACAGCGTTAGAGTGACAGACCCCATAAGTACCCACAGACCAGAAGGTGCTCTGGGCACTGTTAAGTGGAAAAAGGAAAGTACCTGATTCATGTTACAGCAGGCTGCCTTTTGTGTCAAAGAGGATAAATAAAAATTCACAAACAGTGAAGTATTACTCTATTACACTGGGAATGGGGAGAGGATGCTGTGGGTGGGAACAGGGCGGTAATGAGACTTGCTGGGGTGTGCGTCTTTGTATGCTATCTTTTTATCTTTTATATATATATATTATATATATTTTTTTGAGATGGAGTTTTGCTCTTGTTGCTCAGGCTGGAGTGCAGTGGTGCCATCTCGGCTCACTGCAACCTCTGCGTCCTGGGTTCAAACAATTCTCTTGCCTCAGCCTCCGGAGTAGCTGGGACTACAAGGTGCCCAACACCACGCCCGGCTACTTTTTTTGTATTTTTAGTAGAGGCAGGGTTTCACCATGTTGGCCAGGCTGGTCTCCGACTCCCGACCTCATGTGATCCACCCGCCTCGGCCTCCCAAAGTGCTGGGATTACAGGTGTGAGCCACTGTGCCCAGCCTGTATGCTATCTTAAAAAAAAAAATTGTTTTAAGACAGTTTCGCTCTTGTTGGCCAGGCTGGAGTGCAATGGTGCGATCTCAACTGACCGCAACCTCCGCCTCCTGGGTTCAAGCAATTCTCCTGCCTCAGCCTCCCGAGTAGCTGGGATTACAGGCATGCACCACCATGCCCAGCTAATTTTGTATTTTTAGTAGAGATGGGGTTTCTCCATGTTGATCAAGCTGGTCGCGAACTCCTGACCTCAGGTGATCTGCCTGCCTTGGCCTGCCAAAGTGCTGGGATTACAGGCATGAGCCACCGTGCCCAGCCAAAAAGATTTTCTTTCATCTTTTTTTTTTTCTTTTGAGACACGGTCTTGCTCTGTCACCTAGGCTGGAGTACAGTGGCGCTGTCAAAGCTTACTGCAGCCTCCACCTCCTGAGCTCAAGTGATACTCCAGCCTCAGCCTCCTGAGTAGCTGGGACTACAAGTGTGTGCCACCATTCCCAGCTAATTTTTATTTTTGTTAGAGCTGGGGTCTCACTACGTTGTCCAGGCGGGTCTTCAACTTCTGGGCTCAAGCAATTCTCCAGCCTCGGCCTCCCAACACGCTGGGGTTAGAGCCATGAGCCACTGTGCCTAGCCTTTTTATATGTTACCTTGATCTTTGAATCATGTTGTAATACCTGTTAATAAATATTTGATAAAAAATATTCGAAAGGTCTGCCTTCAAAGAGGGCAGGTAAAGGGCATCGGTGCTGTGGGACTCTGACCAGCAGAAACCCCAGTGGCCAGGTGGACACATGCTTAGCTGAGGTGTTCAGATCCCACCCCAGTCTTTGCAGCTCCCATCTGCTCTGTGAAACTCTGTGACATGGCACAGTGTGTGTATCTGAGATTCGTATAATATGTAGTGTGCTCCTTTTAGGTAGACAACATGCTTTAACCTAACATTTTGAAACCCAGAAGAAAATTGATGGGGATCACATTTAGGAACTGAATGGATCCCCCAAAATTCATGTCAAACCCCTAATCCCTGGCGTGGCCATTTGGAGAGGGGCCTCTAAGGAGGTACTGGGGTTAAGGTTATAAGGGTGGGGAGGCCCTGACCCGATGGGATGGGTGTCCCTATAAGGAGAGACCCCAGAGTGCTCGTGCTCCCTCCTGCCTGCAGGGGCACTCTCCCGGGACAGACCACGCACCAGCCTCTGCGAGCCAGGAAGGAGCCTCTGCAGAAACGGAACCAGCGGGAACCTTGACCTGAGACTTGCAGCCTCCAGAACTGGGAGAAAATAGATTTCTGTTGTTTCAAGCCCCCGAGCCTGTGGTATTTTGTCCCAGCAGCCTGAGCAGGCTGAAATGGTAGGTTGGGATGCTTGGTAAAGAAAAAAAGGAAATTCTTGTTAAGGGTGTGAAGAGGCATTATTCAAGGGCCCACTCCAGTGAGGTTTTGCAGAAAAGGAGAGAGATGGGGCTCAAATCCGAGTACAGGGATGGGTGGGAGCTGACAGCCCCGGAGCAGGGGTGGGGCCTGTGGACAGAAATTCCTAAGTGGAAACGTCAGGAGTCAGGGTGGGTTTCCCCAAGCAGGCTCAGCAGGATTTGCTCAAACGGAGCCAGCCCAGGACAGAGCCCAAGGTCAGAGCCTGGTCCACGAGGGGACTCGGAGGGGTGGACTCAAGCTTGGTCCCAGAGGGGAGGGGACTCGGAGCGGTGGACGCAAGCTTGGTCCGGGAAGGTCTTTGTCAAGGCCCATTTGTTTTATTTTACAGGGAGGAAACTGCAGCCGAGTCAGCTCCTCTGACTCTAGGCCGACCGTTCTTCCCTGTATGACATGTGACTCACCAGATAAAGCCACACACGTCATTCTTTTAAAATTCTCTACTCTGTGAGTGCAATGAAATTAGTATTTTTCCACAAGTCCTTTCCTTTCTCTAATGTGTAAAGTAAGAGGCAGAGAGATCCTGCTCTAGTCTCTGGGCCCTCCCTCTGCTGGCAATGTTCTTTTTCTGTTTTAACCATCTGAGCAGCACACGACCGCCCTGTCTTGGGGCAGTGACGTGTCTGTGGTCAGTACAGGACCTGGTGCTGGCTCTCTCGTGGCCGGGACCGACAGTGCTCACGCCTGGACCCCGCTGTGTGTCCTACCCTGTTCAGTTTGCCAGCACAGGCTTTTGGTTCCATTTTCAACACATCTCTAGTCTGATCAGCCCTAACCTCCACTGCAGGCTGCGTCCTTCCCTGCCTGTACTAGTGCAGAGCTCCTGGTGGGTTCGCACCTTCTCCCCCAGCTCCTCCCTCTCCAGGTAGCAGCCAGGATGGCACTTTCAAACCATGTCAGATCACGTCGCTGCTGTGCTCAGGACCCTCCCGTGACTTCCTTGTCCCTCTCAGAATAAAATGCAAATTCCTCCCCCACACCCACAGGTGTCCCCCTGTCCCCACCCCACACCTCACCTGCACTTGCCAACTCCAGCCATGCGGCTCTTACTGCCGTTCCTCAATGTGCTGGGAACCTCCTGCCTCAGGGGCTTTGCTGTTCCACTGCCTGGGCTTTACTCAGATGGAACTTTCTTTGTAAAAAATTGATTTCTAAAATTATGGTAAAATATACATAACATAAAGTTAACATCTTAACCTTTTTTTTTTTTTTTTTTAGACAGGATAGTCTCACTCTGTCACGCAGGCTGGAGTGCAGTGGTGCAATCACAGCTCACTGCAGCCTCTGCCTCCTGGGTTCAAGTGATTCTCTTGCCTCAGCCTCCCAAGTAGCTGGGGACTAGAGGCACACACCACCACGCCTGGCTTTTTAATTTTTTTTTTTATTTTTAGTAGAGACAGGGTTTTGCCATGTTGGTCAGGCTGGTCTCGAACTCCTGATCTCAGGTGAACCGCCTGCCTCACCGTCCCCAAGTGCTGGGCTTACAGGTGTGAACCACTGCGGCCAGCCCATCTTAGCCGTTTTTAAGTGTGCAGTTCAGTGGCATTAGGTACACTCACACTGCTGTACAACCATCAGCACCCTCCATCTCCAGAACTTCTCATCTTCCCAGACTGAAGCTCTGTTCGTGTTGGACACGGACTCCCCAGCCCCTGGCAGCACTGTTCTGCTTTCCATCTCTATGAATGTGACTCCTCTAGGGACCCCGTATAAATGGAATCATGCAGGATTTGGCCTTTTGGGCCTGGCTTATTTCACTGACCCTAATGTCCTCAAGGTTCCTCCACATGGTAGCAGGTGTGAGAATTCCCTTCCTTCTAAGGCTGAAGAATGCTCCATTGTGTGGATGTGGCACAGGATTTTTTCTGTGCCACTTCACCAGCCGGAGACCTCCATGGCCGCTGGCGCCCCTGCCTGGCCTCACTCGGCCCAAGGATCACTGCTGGTGATACTCTGCACATTCGGCCCAGTGGGCTGTGCTCGGCTTGCACCCCGGCCCAGATCCCACGCTTGCCACAGGATCCGCGCTCAGCCGGCGGTTGGGCCGGGCATGCCGCAACCCGCTTCTGCCTTGGGCACCGGTGTCTGGATGAGGGGAACGTGGTGGCACCCAAAACTCAGAGACACCAGGAACCGCAGAGCCCCAAGGGTGTCACAGCTCAACCGTTCCCACCACCTGTGACTTGGCGAGCAGGGCGTGCTACAGCCCTGGTTCAGGGAGTCTGATGTCTGGGCTCTTGGGAAGCACCATAGCTCTAGTTCATTCCTGCCGCCCGCAACTTCAGCAAACGGGTGTGTGGCAGCCAGCAGTTTCTTCTCCTCCACTGCTCAGCAAGCAGGAGGGAGGGTTACAGTGTTACAGCCTTTTTTCACACCCACTGTTCTGCAGGTCCCAAGTTCTTGTCCCACATCCAGAAGAATAAGGTTATGCAGACAACCAGAGAGTGAGCAGGGCAGAAAAAAACTTCTATTGCATGATGGAACAGCTCCCAGCGTTGAGGGGACCTGAGAGTGGGCAGCCACTACCTGAAGGTGAGTAGTCTCTACCCAAAGGTGGTAGTCCCTGCTGTGTGGCTGAGTCCAGGGTTTTTATGGGCTCAGAAAGGGGGAGTGTGTGCTGATTGGCCCATGGGCGGGCCTAGAAAAAAATCACCATTCGATTGGCTAAAAGGTCGTGGACTTAACCTGGAACTGGCAGCTTGGTTTTCCAGCTTCAGGCTATCTTTGGCTTGAAGGTCGGGCTTCACTGGGGACCTGCCCCAGTCTGCCTAGGAATCTGTCTTCTGCTACTATCAGAGGGACCACGCTTCGCTTATCCAGTCGTCATTCACGGACCCTGCATTGTCTCTGCCTCTTGGGCTTTGTGAAGAATGCTGCTGTGAACAGGGGAGTGCCCCTGCCTGTTTGGGTCCCTGCTTTCCATTTCTTTGGGAGGTACGTGGAGAGGAGATTGCGGGGTCATGTGGTCATTCTGTTTGGCTCTTGGAGGAGCAGGCATCCTGTTTTCCACAGCAGCTCTGCCATCAAATGGCACTTTCTTAGTGACACCTCCCGTATCTCTCCCCATAAATGTATCTCTCCCCATAAACATTGCAACTCCTGGCTCACCTTCCTTCTCCTGTAACTTGTCACTGTGGAACTCTCAGGTGTGCCTGAGCCGACTCGTAGCAGCCCAGGAGGGCCAGCAGTGAGGCCCCTTCCCCACTCCGTGGTCAGTGCCTTCACACAGGGAGTTTGGAGGTGGCTGTAGTGGGAGGACTCACACCGCAGAAATCAGCCAGTGCTGCAGGTCAGGGGCCGCCATCCCCCAGAGCTGCTGTGAGACATCGACCAGCACATCAGTGGGCTGCTTTCCGCTGGTTTTATTTGCATGTATTTTGGTCTGTTTCCCTACCTAGAAAATAAACTCCCTGTGGCAGAAGTTTTATCTCTCTGCTCCCTTCTTGGTTCCCAGCTCTTGGAACAGAACCAGACTTCTGGCCGGGGCTCAGTCAGTGCTTGCAAGATGTTTGTTGGCACCAGGCTGTGCCAGGAGAGGTGAGCTCTGAGAGGGCAGTGTGAGGAAGGAGCAAGCCTCGCGGCTCTCTTTGGAGAAAAGGCCCGGGTGACATTTTATGCGTCCTTTCCCTTCCCCTGAGGCAGCACGATCGGCTTCTCTGTGGGCACAGAGGCCTGGGTTCTCGCCTCGCTCTGCCCGAAGGGTGAGCAGCTCCATCAGTCCTGTCTGCGCGGGAGAGCGCCTCCATGCCCCTTAGTGCGGTGCCTCCCAGCCTTTATAATGTCAGGGTACGGCTAGAAAATATGATTTCTACAGCACATCAGGGCCAAATGGAGGGCGTTGTTGGGTGCATCTCTTTGGGCCTCAGTGAACACTTTCACTAAATTCTTTACATGCAATCATGCACTGCATAGCAACATTTCTGTCAATGATGCACTGCATATTCAACAGGGGCCTCGTCAGATGATGATACCGTGTTTTTGCTGTAACTTTCCTATGCTTAGATACACAAATCCTTACCATTGTGTGACAGTTGCCTGCAGGATTCAGAGCAGTGACCTGCTGTACAGGTTTATAGCCCAGAAGCCATAGACTGTGCCACGTGGCCCGGGTGTGTAGTGGGCTGTACCATCTAGGGGTGTGAAATCACCTAAGGACACCTTCCTTAGAACCTATCCCAGTCAAGGGATGCGAGGCTGAGTAACGGGGCCCCTTGGGAGTTCAGCACTCAGCATGTTTCAGTGAGTGACTGAAATAATGAACGTTCTGATCGGGCCCTCTCTGGCTGGCACCTGTGAACCACTCGCTTTGTACCCATTATTTCTTGTTCCCACAGCATCATTATAAACTGCTGATCTACTGTTTCTTTGTCAAACGGGAGGAGATAACATGAGGGTCATGAGAAATGTTTGCAGACGGAGTGAATGCCTTGAAAGTGCTGCGACCAGGTGCTGACACCCGGAGGTCTGGCTGCTCAAAGTGTTAGCTGACACGGAAGACACACGGACTTTCCCTCCATTCCCCAAAACTCCCCTTCCCTGACTCGTCAGCTGCATAAAAACCCTCTCCTTATCTCTTTGTCAAGGGGATTTGAGAAATCTTGCTGTCTTGTCTTCTTGCTTTGGCCAAATGGAATAAACCTTTCTCTGTCTCCAGACACCTATGTCGCAGTGTTCGGCCTCAGCTATACGGCAGGTACATGAACCTGGTATTTGGGCTTCTACAACAATTGTACTTATAGCACAAATAAAGTACAAAGTGTTAGGGAAGACCAAAGACCATAGGTAGAAAACTTGGATACAACTTCCAAATAAACACTCTTCAAAACATTTAATGAGCAGCTTCTGGAAACGTAACTTTTTCCTATCAGGTTTATAATTAAAATAGCTGTAGACTTCCCACCCACAGCTTTTTAATGATGATCTCTTGAAATTATTTTTGGCCTCACGTTGTCATCCAGGCTGGAGTGCAGTGGAGCAATCATAGCTCACTGCAGCCTTGAACTCCTGGGCTCAAGCAATCCTCCCACCTCAGCCTCTTGGGTAGCTGGAACTACAGGTGTGTACCACCACGCCTAGCTAATTTTTAAATTTTTTGTAAAGGCAGGGTCTCTCTATGTTGCCCAGGCTGGTCCTAACACCTGGGCTCACGCAATCATGGGGAGCTAGAAAATCCTGTCCTTGGAAGAGTGTCCCTGAGTTTTGCACGGACTCAAAAGGAACAGAGCCGCTGTATCCAAATTTCTGCAAATGCTGGAAGCACAGGGTGGCAGCAGAGTTTTAGGGCATATTAAGTTTGTTCCAACTTAATTTGCTTTTTAATGCAATTATTAAGGCTGTTAGAAACTGTTCTTGTTTATACGGAAAAGCCACTGTTTTGTAACAATACCTGCTTACTCTCCTACTGTGTCTTAACACTTTTCCTGTTAATTTCCTTGAGTTTTCCAGGTATGCAATCCCATCATCTGCTAATAATAATACTCTCATTCCTTCTTCCCCATCCTACTACTAATACTCTCATTCCTTCTTCCCCCTCCTACTAATAATAATACTCTCATTCCTTCTTCCCCATCCTACTAATAATAATACTCTCATTCCTTCTTCCTCATACTACTACTAATACTCTCATTCCTTCTTCCCCCCTACTAATAATAATACTCTCATTCCTTCTTCCCCATCCTACTAATAATAATACTCTCATTCCTTCTTCCTACTACTACTAATACTCTCATTCCTTCTTCCCTCCTACTAATAATACTCTCATTCCTTCTTCCTACTACTACTAATACTCTCATTCCTTCTTCCCTCCTGCTAATAATAATACTCTCATTCCTTCTTCCCCATCCTACTAATAATAATACTCTCATTCCTTCTTCCTCATACTACTACTAATACTCTCATTCCTTCTTCCCTCCTACTAATAATAATACTCTCATTCCTTCTTCCCCATCCTACTAATAATAATACTCTCATTCCTTCTTCCTCATACTACTAATACTCTCATTCCTTCTTCCCCCCTACTAATAATAATACTCTCATTCCTTCTTCCCCCTACTAATAATACTCTCATTCCTTCTTCCCCGTCCTACTAATAATAAAACTCTCATTCTTTCTTCCCCATACTACTACTACTAATACTCTCATTCCTTCTTCCCCGTACTACTACTACTAATACTCTCATTCCTTCTTCCCCCTCCTACTAATAATAATACTCTCATTCCTTCTTCCCCATCCTACTAATAATAATACTCTCATTCCTTCTTCCCCATACTACTACTAATACTCTCATTCCTTCTCCCCCCCACTAATAATAATACTCTCATTCCTTCTTCCCCATCCTACTAATAATAAAACTCTCATTCTTTCTTCCCCATACTACTACTACTAATACTCTCATTCCTTCTTCCCCGTAGTACTACTACTAATACTCTCATTCCTTCTTCCCCACACTGTGTCGCTTACACAGTCTCACATCTCATGGCCTCATCTAGCACTCCCTCAACATTTTCCATTCGGGTGATAAATTGGTAGTGAGTGCCTCCAAGCTAAGCACCATCAGTTAGATGTGTTTCTGGCCTTTAGGAAAAGGGATTCCTTGCATTTCAGCAGAAAATGGTGCCTGCCTAAGCCCCGCTGTGGGCCGGGGTCATTTGCAGTGTGGACCACCCAGTCCAGGGTGGGGGCCCTTCCTGTGGCTCACTGCAATGGTGGCAACGGGGCCGGGCCAGGGCACAGCAGTGGACTGACAGGGCTGGAGGGAGAGAATGGGTGCCCGTTCAGAGATCGCTGGCGTTGTGTCCCAGGGCACCATACACAGAGGAGTGCAGGCAGGTGAGATGGGAGACAGAGGGCAGGGGCAGTGAAGGGCGATGCTTTGCCCTGGGTGATCCTGAGGCTGGCAGGGTGGCCAGTGCCGCCAGGCCCAGAGCTTTGCCCCGCGTGAGGCACACAGAATGGGGGCCTTTTGCGCACATCACGAGACTGCTTCAGAGTTTCAGGTGTCTTGAAATGTCTGTCAGTAGGGACATGCGGGTCCCACTGGAGATTTTAGTACATATTTCTTCCTTCCACAATTTGTACAGTAACAGTCATGGCAAACAACTACATACATGTGGTGGTGGTGTGGTGGTTGGTGTTGGCCCAGGCTGGAGTGCAGCGGCGCGATCACCGCGCTCCGCGGCCTGGACCTCCTGGGCTGGGGCGATCCTCCCACCTCTGCCTCCTGAGCGGCTGGGACCACAGGTTCAAGCTACAAATCCAGCTTCTGCATTTTAAATTCAGAAAATTAGTTCCTTCAGGCTAAATTAAAGAAGATAAGCCAAGTTTCGTGTGCATATGTATTTTGTGGGATATTCACTTGTTCCAGCACCGTTCGTTGTTGAAGCTAACGTGATGTTAAAACTACGTATTTTTAAATAAGTATCGATTCACAGGCAGGTGCAGAAAAAGTGCAAGGAGGCCCTGGGTCTCCTTCACACACTTCCCCCCAGGACAGTGTCTTGCACAGGTATAGATAGGTGCGTTTTAAAATTTATCTTAAGTAAATAATAAAAGTGGATAAAACATGAACAAGAATGTTTTTGAAACATTATTTATAAAAGTCACAAACAGCAAAAATCTAAAAAGCAACAATAGAAGTGCATTTACATAAACGACAGCTCCGTGTTGCAGTGGAGTCCTGCGGGTCATTAGGAAGTGATGTCCACATGTGGCCATGTGGCTCTTGGCTCTCAACGTGTTAGAAGTCAACATATGGCCGGGCGAGTTTCCCCGACAAGGCCGTTTAGAGCTGCGCCCGGGAAGGTGGGCACGAGGGAGGTGGCACAGGGGCGGGGGCTCGCAGGCTCCCCAGGGGCGTGCACTGCAGTCTCCAGGAGGGCGACGCGCAGAGCTCCCCAGTGTGGTGAATGCCCCTGCACGTGTGGGCAGAGTGCAGGGCATGCGCACAAAGGAAGGGTCACGGAGCAGCGCGCAGGCCTCAGCGGGGATCTTAGTGTGATGAGAGGCCAGGGTCCAGGCGTCACTCTGCGGGCGGGCGGCGTTTCTCAGTGTGACACACCCCCTGAGGTGGCCCGTGAGGTGGAGCAGCCAGGCCCGGCTTTGGCATCGGGCTGCTGTGCCCTACACCCGAGAGAGCCGCAGGCAGCCCGGCTGCAGAAGCGTTCACTCTCGGTCCTCCCCAGAGGCTCAAGATGAGGGTGGGATCCCCGCGGGCTGAGGAGCGCTGGGCCAGGAGCTCAGCAGACGGTTCCGGACTCTGCGCCGCCGCCCACCAGCCTCCCACCGCCTCGGCCCACAAGCTCCCCAGACGCAGACGGCTCCTCCAGCACCTGTGCAGACGCAAGGGCGCGCGCACACACACACACACACACAACACACCATATACAACACGCCACACACACCACACACACCACACAATTCACCACACACCAGACAACACACACCATACACAACACACAATTCGCCACACACCACACACCATACACACCACACAACACATACCACACAGCACACCACACACAACACACACCACACACCACACCACACACAACACACACCACAGACAACACACACATAACACACCATACACAACACACACCAAACCCATCACACACCACACAACACACACAGCACACATACTACACACAACAGACCACACACCATAGACAACACAAACACAACACACCATACACACCACACACCACACACAGCACATACACCACAGCACACACACCACACACACCATAGACAACACACACAACACATACCACACACACCACATACAACACACACCACACACCATACACACATCACACACACCACACATACACCATACCATAAACACACCACACAACATACCATACATACACCACACACACCACACATCACACCCTACACTACAGATACCACATACACACACCATACTACACATATACATCACACTATACCACACACCCCACACAACACACTACACACCACAGACACAGTACACCACACCCATGTCACACCACACACGCCATACACCACACTTACCACACAACACACACAACACACCATACCATACACACTCCACCATACACACACCACACACATTCAACACACAACATACTATACACATACCACGTACACCAGGCATTACACACACCAAACACACACCACAGTATACACACACATCACACACACCACAGACACATCACACACACCACACAACATACACATACCACACACATTCAACACACAACATACTATACACATACCATATACAACAGGCATTACACCACACACACCACAGACACACATCACACACAGCACACAACATACACCATACCATATGCACACACCACTGCCCTCACACAACACACCATACACACACCACACACCAGCAACCCCCCTTCCGCGCACACAGCACTGCGCTCCCACCCTGTGCCACGCTCTCTGCCCCACCCTGTGTGATTTTTCTCTTTTGAGGGGGTGGTAGGGGGGCGCCCTGCAGACTGGGGGAAGAGTGCAGGCTGGGTGGGGGGGGGGGCGCGCCTCTGAGCCCTGCGCCCTCCCTGTGTCCCGGGACGCCAAGCTCCGGAGTCAGGGTGTGTGGAGCCCGTGCTGCCGGCCTGCTGGTGGTGACTCGGCCAAGGAGCGTGGAGCCACCTCTCCGACTCCTAAAGCGACTCGAGTCGTTCGCCCTTCTTGGGTTTTTGCTTCTCTGCCTTGGCCTTCCCAGCCCCCAACATTGGTGTTCACCGAAGAATGTTCTATGGAACATTTTCGGAGTCAGTAGATGCCTCTGCCCTAAGAGCCAACAGTTGTGTTACCTGAAACAGTGTCTTCATCGCAAGCCTTCCCACTGCCCAGGACGGAGCTAGGACCGGGTTTTCTCACATTTTTTTTTTTAACCTCAAAACCCTTTTTGCTATTCACCTCACAACTTAGGTGACATGAGACACATTTTGGGAAACGTTTTGGGGGCAGTGTGACCTTGAAGATGATGACAAATGCAGAATGAGATACCCTGGAATGGACATGTGGTTAGATTTCATCCTGGGGGCACGGAGGTCTGGCATAATTCACTGAAATGCTGTAAACCAGCCTGCATTTTCTCCCAGGAAAAAAACCTCCATCTTTACTTCAAAGAAGATGTATGAAGATCAAGAGAAATGTTTTCCTTTTAATTAGTTTCAACCACATTTTGCTGACTGTGTCCTCCAGGCAGCTGTTTCTGAATATGCTGCTTCTTTCTGAAGAAATCCATACCCACACTCCCTTTTTTCAATTAAGAAAATTTACATGCACAGATGGGTTGCTTGTTGATTTATAGAGAACACAACTTTTTTTATTATTATTATTATCATTTTTTGAGATGGAGTCGTGGTCTATCACCCAGGCTGGAGTGAAATGACATGATCTCGGCTCACTGCAACCTCTGCCTCCCAGGTTCAAGCGATTCTCCTGCCTCAGCCTCCCGAGTAGCTGGGATTACAGGTGCCCACCACCATTCCCAGCTCATTTTTGTATTTTTAGTAGAGACGGGGTTTCACCATGTTGGCCAGGCTGATCTCAAACTCCTGACCTCAGGTGATCCATGTGCCTCAGCCTCTTAAAGTGTTGGCATTACAGGCGTGAGCCACGGCGCCCGGCCTATAGATAACATAACTTTTTTAAAATTGAAAATTTTCAAAAAATTTGAAATACACAAGAGAATGGTTTGTTGACCATCCAAATACCTCTGTCACCTACCTTCAATAATTATCAACACTTGCTACCCTAATTGGGAACGGTATTCTGGAAGTGGTTTTTTTTCATGTGCAGTACTAGGCGTGACTCTGATACAGGAATCTATTACAGTCTCCTGTCATTTTAGGTATCATCTGTGAACCTGCCTGCCTTCCTTGACTTGTAGGGTCTGGGACAGTCTCACTGGTTGTCATTACACAGGTCTTAGTGTTAACCCCAGGCTTATTTATAGAGACACCCTTGCTTTCACTGCAAACATACTATATTCTTAGCTGTCAGCTGTCAACTGCTCCTGAAACAACCCTTTTTACCCAGGTGCTCCTCCGCAGCTTCTAGCCATCCACCCGTCTTCCATTATTTATCATACCTCTGGTCCCTTACTGTTTTCTCTATTTCCCAGCAAGCCCTTCAGGCTGTTCCATTTAGAAGACATTAAGTCAGTTTTGGCCCTCCCAGGAAGAGTGGTGTAGACTCAGCCTCCTCCACAGAATGGTGTCTGCCCTGGCAGCACTCAGACTGGGTTCAACAGGGAACAGCCAGGAGGGTATGAGACCTGAAGTCGTGGCATTGAGAGCAGCTTTGCTCGTCTCTTTCACTTGCAAGCTGTTGGAAACACTCACCAGTAGGACACCTTGGCAGCTTAGTATTTGTCATGGACGTCTGGCCTGTCGGTCTGCCCTTCCACCGCCCCTCTCCCTGACCAGTCGTGGGGCTGAGGGGCTGCCAGGCAGAGCACCTCCCAGACTGGGCACCCGGCCAGGCCCAGGGTAGTGGAGTCTGCACCTCGGGCTCCCAGAGAGATCTAAAGGGCTTGCAGTCTGGAATCTCCCATGAGACTGGATATCCCATCATTACATAACAGAGCTCTTTTGCCTTGAATTGCAAGCAAGTGCAGTCTTAGAGCTACTGGCGGCTGTTTTCTGACCCATGCAGAGAGCTCTTTTTAGTAGCTGAGTATTCAGACAAGGCACAGAGAAAAGAGGGTTGAGATAGGGAGGAGAGAGAGAAAGAGAGAAGGAGAGACAGAGGGAGGAAGAGAGACAGGAGGGAGAAAAGGGGGCAGAAAGAGGGAGAGAAGAGAAGAAAAGCTAAGTGAAGAGAGAGACACACACATATGGAGAAGATAGAGACAAAGAGACATAGACAGAGCTGTTAACATACTTTCAGCCCTGAATCCTGCCATGCCCAAGGTGCGTTCTGCTCTAACCCTTCTCATTTATGTGATCCAACATATCTTTGTTCCCGTTTGTTTGCTTAGGTAACTTGGACTTTTCTTTTTTTGAGATGGAGTCTCACTCTGTCGCCCAGGCTGGAGTGCAGTGGCGCAATCTTGGCTCACTGCAACCTTCACCTCCCGGGTTCAAGTGACTCTCCTGCCTCAGCCTCTTGAATAGCTGGGATTACAGGTGTGCACCACCATACCCAGGGTTTCACCATGTTGGTCAGGCTGGTCTCGAACTCCTGACCTTGCGATCTGCCCGCCTCGGCCTCCCAAAGTGCTGGGATTACAGGCATGAGCCACCGCGCCTGGCCAACTTGTTGGATTTCTGTCACCTGCAACCTAAAGTACCCTGAACAAAAAAGATGAGAGCTGTGGTTCTTACAGTATGGAGATGTTTGAAGTCAAAACTATTTGTCTCACAATGCCAGGATGACATGTACCTTCTTCTCTGTGTTGAGCACTGCCCTCATGGTGCAAAGTCAGTGATGGGCTCAGCTCTCCGTGCCCAAGAGAGCCACGACATGGTACACACTGTACCAGCAGTCATTGTGTTTTTCACACACCTGCACTGGAACAACAGAAACAAAAACAAACCCCCGCTTCTCTTAAGAATGTCTTTAATGAAGCTGTAAAAATGACTGGTTTTATTAAATTTTGACCTTTGAGTAGACATCTTTCTAACATTCTCTGTGACAAATTGGGAAGTACACAGGAAGCATTTCTGCTGAATAGCTGAGTATGACTCAGGGAAATATTTTGGTTTTCCCAAGCTCAAAGTTCCTCCCCTGTAATGCAACCCACTGAAGATGCAGGTATCATCCCTTTTCAAGTTCCCTTGGTGGGGACTGGCGTTCAGCAACCTGTGCAAAACTGCAGACACTGTGGCCCCTGCTACCGCTGTTGCTCCTGAGTAATAGGCTGTGTTTTATCTCTGAGCCGATAATCTCTTGACTTCTGTTAACACCCATGAATCTGGGACAGGCTAATTTCTTAGCTTGCAGAGTGTAAACATCTCCGACTCTTGGCAGTTCTTTCCACAGGCCAGAAGTAAAGTACACTTGATCATCAGATAAAAATTAACTATTATTAATAGTGCATGGCAGGCATTGGCAAACTCCAGGCTATGAGCCAGATTCAGTCTGCTGCCTGTTTTTGTATGTTCCATGAACTAAGAATGGTTTTTATGCTGTAATGTGGTTGTTGTATAAATACCTACATACTATCCTCAATTTTGACTCGATCTACAAAACCTAAACGATTTACTATCTGGCCTTTTCCAGAGAAAACTTGCTGCCCGTCTATAGAGCCTTATCTGCGTTCCACATTCCAGCAGTTTGGATCTTCCTGTTCTTCTGTGGCTCTACTGTATCCCTATATGGTTTGTTAACGCGCCCCTGGGTTGGGAGCATATCACAAAGCCCAGACGGATAACAGTCTGCGCAGGTCTGCGGCGATGGCGACCATCTGTCTTTCAAAACATCTAAACAGATTCTTCCCAAGTGTCTTACATCGGGGTGATAAATTCTGGTCATGAAACATATTTTTGGGCTGCTGCTGGCTATTCTTCTGGAAGAGACAGTTCAAGTTCCAAAGATTCCTCTTCAAAGGAGGAATCCCATGGGCCGGCAATGTCCGTATGAAGTAATGAGTGCTGTTCTCATCTGATTCTGCCCGCTTGAACTCCTGCCAGCAGCAAGTGCTGGGCTGCCTTGGCAATTCCTCAGAGCCTCTCCATCATCTTGCTTTTCTAAAGTATGTTTTTTATGGCATAAAACTGTTTCCCCCATACCTAATAGGAAAAAAGGAACAGCTACTGAAGACAGAGGCTGACAAATGGTAGATACATAATGGTGTGGGGCTGCCGCAGCCTGGGGGTGGGAGGGGAACCGGAAGCACTCTTCCAATTTCAAGATGAAGTTTATTCTACGATGGGATGAAACCCACATCATTACTTCTTGTACTCGATTTTAGCAGTTATGTGTACAGGCTGTTGGGCTGGGCTCCCCAAGCTCAAATACCAGCTTTGTCACTTCTGGTTGTGTGACCATAAGTTACTTCACCTGTTTGTGTCCTAGTTGTCTCATTTGTTTTTAAGTGATATGGGGTCTTGCTGTGTTGCCCAGACTGGTCTCAAACTCCTGGGCTCAAGCAGTCCTCCTGCCTCAGCCTCCCATGTCTCATCTTTAAAATGTGGATAATAAGTCATACCAACTTCACAGTGTAATCATGAGGAGTAAAAATAATAATATGCATCAAATCTTTAAAATGTTACCCAGCACACACTACTATTATTATTGTCACAATTACTATTTTCTTTTTAATAAAAATATTTTTTGTAGAGATGGGGTCTTGCTGTATTGCCCAGGCTGATCTGGAACTCCTGGCCTCAAGTGATCCTCCCACCTTGGCCTCCCAAAGTGTTGGGATTACAGGCATGAGCCACAGCACCCAGCCTAGTACTACTATTTTCTAGTAAATGAGAAGCATTAGATATGAGATAGGAGTGCAGTTACAGTAAGACAGTAAAGACTATTTGGAGTGTTCCTCATCCTATCCCTTCATTCAACAAACTTTTAAAAAAATTGTCTACTATGTACCAAGCACTGAAGGACTAATAAGACACATTCTCTGACCTCAAGGTATATGCGGCACTCAGCAATACAGACAAATCCATTCATTCAGCAAGTACCAAACAACACATGGAGTGGTCAGTCCTTTGGTGAAAAGACATCAAGTCAACATGTCCTTACAAACTCTAAGCTAGCACCATGGCAGTGTTTCACACGGAGAGCCCATCTAGTTGTCTAGGGAGTGGTCAGAGAAGGCTTCTCTACGAAAGGGATAGTTAAGCTGAAATTAGAATTTTGTATAGGAGAAAAGTACTTGGAGGAAGGAAGAGCATTTTCAGTGGAAAAACTGCATGGGTGAAGGGCCCAAAGGAAGGAGGAGCATATGACTCAAATACACTGAAAGGCCAAAGTATCTGGAGGACAGAGAACAAGAAAGGAGGGCGATGGGCTGTGAGGTGGTCAGGCCGAGGCTATAGAAAGGAGGGTTGAAGCAGAAAAGGGGCTTGACTGGATTCCATGTTTTTTTGTTTGTTTGTTTTTTGAGACAGAGTCTTGCTCTGTCACCCAGGCTACAGTGCAGTGGTACAATCTCAACTCACTGCAACTTCAGACTCCCAGGCTCAAGCAATCCTCCTGTCTCAGCCTGCAGAGTAGCTGGGACTAGCGGTGCAAACCACCACGGCCAGCTAATTTTTGTACTTTTAGTAGAGACGGGGTTTCACCATGTTGCCTCGGCTGGTCAAGTGATCTACCCTCTTTGGGCTCCCGAAGTGCTGGAATTACAGGCGTGAGCCACAGTGCCTGGCATCTGGCTCCTATTTTTAAAAGGTCACTCTGGGTGCTGTGCATAGAATGGATTGCACTGGGGCAAAAATGGAAGCGGTGTGAGGAGGGGGAATTTCAGTAGTCAATTCCATCAGGCAAGAAAAGACTGCAGAAAGAGTTGGGCTGGAGAGAAGTGAATGGATTTGCGGTGTGTTTCGAAGGTCAAAGCAACATGACTTGCTGATAGATTGGATTGGATCTTGAGGGTGAGGAAAAGCAAAACTGAGAGTACACCTAGATTTTTTTATTAAGCCACTGGGCAGTCAGTGCTGCCGTTCACTGAGACGGGAAAGGTTAGGGAGAAGCATGTTTGGGGGTGTGTGTGGGGAATCAGTTGTTTTGGCCATGTTAGGTTTGACACACTGATTAGCCATGTATGTGACAACACCAACTGGATACTCAAGCCTGAGGTTCTGGAATGAGGTCCAGGTTGGAGATGTGGCTGCAGGAGCCGGCAGCACAGCATGGAAAGTCGCCTGGAGTGAGTGGATAGGAACAGGACGAGGAGAGTCTGGAACGCTCCACTAACCAGTGGTTAGAGGAGCAGGAGCTAGGAGGGGCCTGGGAAGGAGCAGCCAAGATGCCCTCATGAAGGAAAATGAGAAAATGTTTCAAGAAGGGCGTGGGCAACTGTGACGAATGTTGCTGGTAAGAACAGAAGTGCCATGATTGGATCTGGCAATATGGCAGTCATTAGCAGTTCCCCAGTGGTGAGAAGCGAAGCCTTATTGCAGTGGCTTAAGGAGAAAATGCGAGGTGCGAGATTGCCATTAGATTCTTGCATGAAGGTTTGTCATGAGTGCTGCAGAAAAATGGGCAATGGCGTCTAAGGTGTGTTCTTGAAGGATGAGTAGTAACTGGTCAAGTGAAGAGGTGGAGAGGTAGGCTCTCTAAGGAGGATGTATTTGCAAAGCCATTAGAGCAAGGGAACAGAAATGAAATAAGTGTGTATTTTTCTTGCAATATTTCTGGAAGTTCAAGAGTCAATTGCATGCATTGGGGTTGTGCTCTTACAGCAGTCTCATTTAAATCCTGTCTGCTTTATCGTTATTTGTTAAAGAGACTGAGGGAATGGCTGAGATAATCTGATCTTTTTCAACTCGTTGGTTTGAAAAGACATCTAGGATGGTCAAGCGGCTGGACTTTATTAGCTACATTGAAAAATTCAGAATGGGATAGGGGAAGCTTGTTTTTATTCTAAGACTAGCACATTACAGTGTATGGGGAAGGGAGAAACGATGAAAAGAGGAAACAAGAGGAAGTTTAAAAAGTACAGGGTAGCACTGCAGAATGCCGACACTGCAAAAGTCTGGCGAGCGGGGAGGTGGAGGACAATGTCTCACCTGGGATCCGAGCTGTGAAGTCTCAACTGTGCCCATATGGACTGCATGAGCTTAACAAAATCCTTATTCTTTTTTTTTTTTTTTTGCATTTGCTTTCCATACTCTAAACACGTTTAACGTCGTTTGCCTCACAAGATTGCTCTGAAGGTGCAGGGAGACCGCGGCAGCACACACAAGGCACGTGCGATGCCTACGGTGAGCTTCACCTGCCCGGCGCGTCTGGCGAACGGCTGGCCCCGGGCCGCGGGCCTCAGGCAGGTCCGAGGGTGCCCAGGACAGGGTCGGGGCTTGAATGCCTTTGCTTCCGAAAACAGCGGAGCCGTGGGGCCTCCCCCGCGCCGGCCCTGCCTCCAACCAGCCGCCCAATCCCGGCTCCCATGCGCGTCCACGCCTCCCTATAAGATAAAGCGCGGCCGACGGGCTCCGAGCGCGGCCCCTGGGTTCGAACACGGCACCCGCACTGCGCGTCATGGTGCAGGCCTGGTATATGGACGACGCCCCGGGCGACCCGCGGCAACCCCACCGCCCCGACCCCGGCCGCCCAGTGGGCCTGGAGCAGCTGCGGCGGCTCGGGGTGCTCTACTGGAAGGTACGCGAGCCCAAGCCTCGCAGAGCGTGCGGGCGACGCCGACCCCCAAACGCCGCGCACAGCCCAGCCTCCTCCAGGTGCCGGGCAGCGGCCTGGGAGCCGCGGCATGCTGCGCATGCTCAGCAGCGGGATTTGGGGGTTCGTGGCGGCTCCCGGTGCCTGGGGTGGGCTGCGCATGCTCAGCAGTGGGGCTGGGTGGTCAGGGCCTCCTGCGCGGCGCCTGGGTGTGCTGCGCATGCTCAGCAGCGGCGTTGAGGGGTCGGCGGTCAGCCCCCAGCGCCTGTGGTGTGCTGCGCATGCTCAGCAGCGAAGTTTACGGGGTTGGCGGTCGGCTTCCGGCGCCTGGGGTGGGCTGCGCATGCTCAGCAGCGGGGCTGGTGGGGGTCGGCGGTCCGTTTCTGTTGCCTGGGGTGTGCTGCGCATGCTCAGCAGCAGAGTTGGCGAGTCAGGGGCCTCGCAGCCGGGACTCGCTGCGCACGCGCAGCTCCGGGATTGGCAGCGACCTGAAGGGTCGGCCGGCAGGGCTGCAAGATTCGCCGGAGGCGGGCTGCGAGTTCGTGGGCTCGTTGGGCTTGTCCGACGCCCTGCCTGCCTGGCTAACCTCGGTCAAAGGCCCAGGGGTTTCTTCTATCGGAGGAAGGGGGACTCCGCTTGAAAGTGTCCTGGGGGAGGGACCGGGCGCCAGCAGATCGAGGCGGGGTCCTGCCGCGGTCTGTCGGGGATCCCCGGGGGGTAGCGCTCGGTGGTGGGGTGGGGGCGTCTCCAGTGGGCGGTGGAGCTGGCTTGGGTCCCGGCTGGGCCCGGTGTCAGCCCTGCCTCTGTAACGCTAGCTTTGCAAGGCGGGGCTAGGCTTTGCACCGGTGTCCCGTTGCTTGCACAGCACCAGTCCAGATCCGCTCACCTTGTTTATTTGCAAATGGTTTTGCAGTAACAAAGGTTTACTGCAAAAGAGAGGGCCAGGGTAGGCCTCAGGGATAGGCTGAGGGGTGACTGGATCTAATCTTCATTCATGTGATTTAAATGAAATACACAGGGTTACCTGGACACCACACTTTTTCCCTTGGGAAAGGATTATAGAATATTCCAGCATAATCTATTTGGATATCATCTTGTTCTATCCTAAATAACAGAAGAGGGAAGTGACAATTGGCATACCAGTGCGAAACAGGGCATGCATGTTAATGTTTACATAGTATTTGTCTTTTCCTAGGATAAGGTTTAACACTTACCTTGCTGGAGGGTACTTCTTCAAAGCAATCAAGTGGTTTATAGTTTTCCATTAATGAGAGGAGAATAAATTTTGACTTATTATGTTTATCCACAATCCAAACAACCAGAGGGTTCAAATTAATACACTTGGGGAGTTTCATTGTGCATTTGACGGTTTTAAGAACAAGAACAAGAGTGAGATTACAGGTCAGCTTCTTAATGTATTCAAAGAATAAAATAAGATTTATTTTAATAGACATCTTTTAGATTATTACATGGGCTCAAACATAGTTTTTCCTACCGTCTAGTTCTGCTCTGAGTCAGGGCTATCAAAATTAAATCATGTTTACTCTGTGGTTTTAATGTCCTGTGTGTTTTTATATTCTTCCTTTCTTTTTTTTTTTTGCTCTTTTTGCCCAGGCTGGAGTGCAGTGGCATGATCTCGGCTCACCGCAACCTCATCTTCCCGAGTTCAAGCCATTCTCATGTGTCAGCCTCCCGAGTAGCTGGGATTACAAGGTGCACAGCACCATGCCGGGCTAATTTTGTATTTTTAGTAGAGACAGGGTTTCTCCATGTTGGTCAGGCTGATCTTGAACTGCTGACCTCAGGTGATCCACCCACTTCGGCCTCCCAAAGTGCTGGCATTATAGACACGAACCACCGCACCCGGCCTATATGCTTTCTTAATATCCATTCTGGATCAGTGCTGTTGGAAGACAAAATTACAACAAATTTAGTTAAAGATCTAATTAGCTTTTATTCTTGATTTGTGAATAGGGCAACCTCCGTTCTACAAAATAGAATAAGAGCTCGATAGGGTAATAGCACAACAGTGGGTTTTGTAGGGCGGCAACAAAGAAACAGAACAATAGGTAGAAAAGCTGATTGGTTAACGTCAAGTTACATTAGGTTACTTTTTTCCTAAGGGTTAAAGCAGAAGCGACTTCCTTATTATTCTGACTCAGGAAGACTGGAATCTTCTGATCGCAGGAAAAGCTGGTCTGTTTGAGATGCACCTCCTTCTTTAAAGTTTTAGTTTGATCAAGTGGCATATGGCATGAGTGGCTGCATTTTGGTTTGGTCTCATCCTGGGGCCTAGTGCAGGGGCTCAGTCCAAAACAGTGACCTCTCCTGGGCCAGGCATGGTGGCTTCTGTCATCCCAGCACTTTGGGAGGCTGAGGCGGCAGATTGCCTGAAGCCAGAAGTTTGAGACCTCATCTCTAAAAAAACCCAAAAAACAAAAAAGCCACACACACACCCCATATTAACATTATATATATGTAACATCTCCCATAATTTTTAACAGAGGTAACACATGTGGACATGTTTGTGTATCTGTTTAATCAATCTGTTATTAGTGACATAGAGTTCTAAAAAACCTTTTGTCATACATACAAACAATTGGAAGATTATTTTAGCTTGGAATAAACTAAATACCTGCTGCTATAACAAAATGACAAAAATAGCTTAAACTGGGCAATTTATAAACAACAGCAATTTATAGAATTCTTATAGTTCTAGAGGCTAAGAAGTCCAAGATTAAGGTGCCAGCAGATTTAGTGTCTGATGAGGATCCTGTCCTCATAGACGGCCATTTCCTTGCTCTGTCCTCATGTGGTGGAAGGGGCAAACTGCTCTCTTACATCTCTCTTGCTCTTTTTTTTTTTTTTTTTTTTTTTTGAGATGGAGCCTCGCTCTGTCACCCAGGCTGGTAGCGCAGTCTTGGCTCACTGCAACCTCTGCCTCCTGGATTCAAGTGATTCTCCTGCCTCAGCCTCCCGAGTAGCTGGGATCACAGGCGTGGACCACCATGCCTGGCTAATTTTTGTATTTTTAGTAGAGATGGGGTTTCACCATGTTGGACAGGCTGGTCTTGAACCCCTGACCTCAGGTGATCTGCCCACCTTGGCCTCCCAAAGTTCTGGGATTATAGGTGTGAGCCACAGTGCCCAGCTCCATCTCTCTTACAAGGCCACTAATCCTATAAATGAGGGCTTGCCCTCATGACTTAATCACATCCTAAAGGTCCCACCCCTTAATACTATCACATTTGTGTTAAGTTTCAACATTCGTATATTTAAACTTATGACACGTGTCATATAATGTGTCATATTACATATTATGTGTCATAATATGGACACATTCAGACCATAGCAAATAGTACTGTGCATATCATGCAGTGGATAGGCTAAGTTTTAGAGTCAACTTTGTAGAAAATAACGTATTGATGACTAGTACTTTAATATGTTCTGGAGTATCGGGGGAACCCACCCCCAATATTTCAACATAGGTTCCATTTTCCATAAGTGTCGGCCAGCTGAGAAATAAAGAGAGACAGTATAAAGAGAGGAATTTTACAGCTGGGCCGCCAGGGGTGACATCACATATCGGTAGGACCGTGATGCCCGCCTGAGTCTCAGACCAGCAAGTTTTTATTAAGGGTTTCAAAAGGGGAGGGGGTGTAAGAACAGGGAGTAGGTACAAATATCACAGGCTTCAAAGGGCAAAAAGCAGAACTACTAATAAGGGTCTAACAAAGATCACATGCTTCTGAGGGAACAGGACAAAGGGCAAAAGCAGAACCACTGATAAGGGTCCAACAAAGATCACAGGGCAAAGGGCAAAAGCAGAACCACTGATAAAGATCTATGTTCAGTGCTGCACATATTGTCTTGATAAACATCTTAAATAACAGAAAACAGGGTTCGAGAGCAGAGAACTGGTCTGACCACAAATTTACCAGGGTGGAGTTTTTCCCCACCTTAGTAAGCCTGAGGGTACTGCAGAAGACCAGGGCGTATCTCAGTCCTTATCTCAACCGCATAAGACAGACATTCCCAGAGCAGCTGTTTATAGACCTCCCCCCAGAAATGCATTCCTTCCCCAGAGTATTAATATTAATATTCCTTCCTAGGAAAAGAATTTAGTGATACCTTCTCTACTTGCACGCCCATTTATAGGCTCTCTGCAAGAAGAAAAATATGGGTGTTTTTGCCTGACCCTGCAGGCAGTCAAACCTTATGGTTGTCTTCCCTTGTTCCCTAAAAATCGCTGTTATTTTATTTTTTAAGGTGTACTGATTTCATATTGTTCAAACACACATGTTTTACAATCAATTTGTACAGTTAACACAATTATCACAGTGGTCCTGAGGTGACATACATCCTCAGCTTACGAAGATAACAGGATTAAGAGATTAAAGACAGGCATAATAAATTATAAAAGTATTATTTGAGAACTGATAGATGTCCGTGAAATCTTCAAAACTTATGTTCCTCTGCCATGGCTCCAGCCGGTCCCTCCATTCGGGGTCCCTGACTTCCTGCAACACTGGAGTTTGTTGTTCAGTAAGTAGTGATGATATAATGTGCAGTTTATTGCAAAACATAAAGTGTGCTAGATTCACTGCCAGTAGTTTTAAATAAGAGTTCAGATGAATTCTGCCTGGAGCTTCATCAGGGAAGTGCTTCGTCAGGAAGGAACAGTAAAACTGAACCTTAATAGAGATAGGATTGTGATAAATGAAAATGTTGAATGGGAATTTTAGGCATAGAAAGCTGTCATGAGCAAGGTTGTGGGGATGTGAAATATCAAATATTTTTAAGATAGCCGATCATCCTATTTGGTTTAGAATGTAGAGTTCTTTAAAAAGTAGGAGATGGGAACAGATAGAAGTAGAAAAGTCAGCTGGGGCCAGATGATAGAAGGTTTCTCATTCCAGTTTAATTAACTTGAGTTTTATTTGCAAGCTGTGAGAGCATACAATGTTTTGGCTCATGGAAACAAACTGACCAAAGAGATGGCATTGAGGATCAATGAGACTCATGAGTGGGATGGTGGCAGAGAAACAGGGCACAGTGAGGGACCTGTGGAGTGGACAGAAAGGCCTGAGGTGGTGAGACTACCATCTCAAAATGGGAAAAAGAATCCCCTGGGATGGACTGTTGCAGAGAAGGGAGGCAGAAATCAAACAGAACTCCATTGTATGTATAGCTGGTGTTTTGGAGAATGGAAAATCCATTAAATGGCTAGAGGAGATGAAGAGAGTTAGTTGAGGGTTGAAAAAATAACAAATGATAAATTTGGAGTATAAAATCATATTGGAGATCCAGAAAGAGAATGTTTCTACATCTCCTTGTTAATCTGAGCTCTTGTTTTTGGTGGGTTAACTCTTTTAGCTGGATGCTGACAAATATGAGAATGATCCAGAATTAGAAAAGATCCGAAGAGAGAGGAACTACTCCTGGATGGACATCATAACCATATGCAAAGATAAACTACCAAATTATGAAGAAAAGGTAAGGGAGCCCTGGATTACCTGGAAAAGAAGTATCATTATATTCACTACTAATAGACGCAATATTTTCTTTCTTTTTTCTTTTAATGTCTGTATGAGGCCATTCTTGCTTTGCTATAAATAAATACCTGAAACTGTGTAATTTATAAGAAAAGAGATTTAATTGGCCCACAGTTCTGCAGGCTCTACAGGAAGCATGTGCTTCCTGTCACCACCATCTGCTTCTGGGGAGGCCTCAGGAAGCTTACATGGCAGAAGGCAAAGAGGGAGCAGGCTTCTCACATAACAGGAGTGGGAATGAAAGAGAGAGCAAGGTGCCACACTGTTTTAAATGACCAGATCTCACAAGAAGTTACTCACTGTAGTGAGGATAGCACCAAGAAGATAGTGCTAAGCTATTCATGAGAAATCCACCCTCATGATCCAGTCACCTCCCACCAGGTCCCACTTTCAATACTGGGGATTACATTTCAATATGAAATTTGGGTGGAGACACAAATCTAAACTGTATTATTCTGCCCCGGCCCCTCCCAAATCTCATGCCCTTCTTGAATTTCAAAATACAATAATCTCTTCCCAATAGTCCCCCAAAGTCTTAACTTCCTCTAGCATTAACTTAAAAGTCCCAAGTTCAAGTCCAAAGTCTCATCTGATACTCATCTCCTTTTACCTATGAGCCTGCAAAATCAAAACAAGTTAGTTACTCCCAAGATACAAAGCGGGTAAAGGCATTAGGTAAATATTCTCATTCCAAAAGGGGGAAATTGGTCAAAAGAAAGGAGCTACAGGACCCATGAAAGTTCAAAACTCAGCAGGGCAGCCACTAAATCTTAAAGCTCCAAAATAATACCCTTTGACTCCATGTCCCACATCTAGGGCACACTGGTGCAAGGAATGGGCTCCCAAGGCCTTAGGCAGCTCTGTCCCTGTGGCTTTGCAGGGGCTCCTGAGGTTGCTCTCATGGGATGGCTTTGAGTGCCTATAGCTTTTGCAGGTGCAGGGTGCAAGCTGCCAGTGAATCTATCATTCTTGGGTCTGCAGGATGGTGGTTCTCTTCCCACAGCTCCTAGGCAGTGCCCCAGTGGGGACTTTGTGAGGGGGCTTCAATCCCACATTTCCCCTCTGCACTGTCATAGTAGAGGTTCTCCATGAGGGTTTCTACCCTGCAACAGACTTCTGCCTAGACACCCAGGCTTTTCCATACATTCTCTGAAATCTAGGTGGAGAATCCCAAGCCTCAACCCTTGCACTCTGTGCACTCACAGGCTTAATAACACATGGAAGCCACAAAGGCTCATGGCTTGCACCCTCTGGAGCTGTGGCCCAAGCTGTACCTGGGCCCTTTTGATCTGAGGCCAGAACCCTAGCAGAACCCGAGCAGCTGGGATGCAGGGAGCAGTGTCCTGAGGCTCTGTAGGGCAGAGGGGCTCTGGGCCTGACCCATGAAACCATTCTCTCCTTTTAGACCTCTGGCTCTGTGATGGGAGGGGCTGCTGAAAGGTCTCTGAAATGCCTCTGAGGTTTTTTCCCCATTGCCTTGGCTGTGTTTGAAGTTATGCTGATTTCTCTAGGAAGAGGTCTCTGAAATGCCTTTGAGGTTTTTTCCCCATTGTCTTGGCTGTCAGCCCTTGGCTTCTTTGTAGTTATGTGAATTTCTCTAGGAAGTCGTTGCTCTACAAGCCTGCTTGAAATCCTCTCTCAAAAACTTTTTCTTTCTTTGCCATGTGGCCAAGTTGCAAATTTTCCAAACTTTTCTGCTCTGCTTCCCTTTTAAATATAAGTTCCAACTTCAGGTCATTCCTTTGCCCTTGCATCTGCGCATAGGCTGTTAGAAACAGGCAGGAAACATCTTGAACACTTTGGTGCTTAGAAATTTCTTCTACCATATACCCTAGGCATCACTCTCAAGTTCAAACTTCCGCAGATCCCTAGGGCATGTACAGAATGCAGCCAAGTTCTTTGCTGAGGCAAACGTGTGATGTTTGTTCCAGTTCCCGATAAATTCCTCATTTCCATCTGAGACCTCATTAGCCTGGACTTTATTGTCTGTATGACTATCAGCATTTTGGTCACAATGAGTTAACCAGTCTCTAAAAAGTTCCAAACTTTCCCTCATCTTCCTGTCTCCTTCTGAGCCTTCTACACACTTCTAGTCTCTGCGTGTTACTCAATTCCAAAGCTGCTTCCATATTTTCAGGTATCTTTATAGCAATGCCCCACTCCTTGGTACCATTTTTTCTGTATTAGGTTGTTCTTGCATTGCTATAAAGAAATATCTGAGACTGTGTAATTTATAAGAAAATTTATAATCTGCAGGCTCTACAGGAAGCATGTGCTTCCTGTCACCACCATCTGCTTCTGGGGAGGCCTCAGGAAGCTTACAGTCATGGCAGAAGGCAAAGAGGGAGCAGGCATCTTACATAACAGGAGTGGGAATGAAAGAGAGAGCAAGGTGCCACACTGTTTTAAATGACCAGATCTCACAAGAAGTTACTGTGTAATTTAGAAGTAAATTATAAGAAAAAGGTTTAATTGCATCTCAGTTCTTCAGGCTGTACAGGAAACATCTGCTTCCTGGCACCACCATCTGCTTCTAGAGAGGCCTCAGGAAGCTTACAGTCATGGCAGAAGGCAAAGTGGGAGCAGGCATCTCACATAACAGGAATGGGAACAAGAGAGAGAATGAAGTGCCACCCAGTTTTAAATAGCCAGATCTTGTGAGAAGTCACTCACTGTGGTGAAGACAGCACCAAGGGAGTGGCGCTGAACCATTCATGAGAAATCCATTCCCGTGATCCAGTCACCTCCCACCAGGCCCCATCTCCAACACTGAGAATTACGATTTAACATGAGATTTGGTTGGGGACATATTGCCAAACTATATCAATGTTTTAGTTTGGATTTCATATCAGAGTAATTCTGATCTCATAAAATGAGCTGGAAAGTAGTCCCTCCTGTTCAGTTTCTTGGAAGAGTATGTGTAGATAGTATTATTCTTTCCTTATGTTTGGAGATTCACCAGTGAAGCCATCTGGCCTTGTAGTTTTCTTTGTGGGAAGGTTTTTAACTGTGAGTTCAACTTCTTTACTAGATGTAGGGCTATTCAGGTAACCCATTTTTTCTTGAATGAGCATTATTTGTTTGTTTCTCTCAAGGCATTTGTCCATTTCATTTGAGTTGTCAAATTTATTGCCATAAAAATATTTGGAATATTTTCTATTATCCTTTTAATATCTGTAGAGTATGTAGTGCTGTCTTCTCTCATTCCTGATACTGATAATTTGTGTTTTTTCTCCCTTTCCTGAGTCTGGATAGAGGCTTATCAATTGTATTGATCCTCTCAAAAAACTTTAGGTTTCATTGATTTTTCTCTTTTTCTATTTTTTGTTTCATTGGATTCTGCTCTGACATTTATAATTTGTCTTCTTTTACATGTTTTAATTTGCTCTTTTTTCTAAGTTCCCTAGTTGGAAGCTGAAGTCACTGATTTGAGTTCTTTCTTTGTCATTATTATTATTATTATTCTAGAAACAGACATTATTATTATTATTACTTTGCTCTGCCACCCAGGCTAAAGTGCAGTGGTGCAATCATAGCTCACTGCAGTCTTGAATGCCTAGGCTTAAGCAGTCCTCCCACTTCGGCCTCCTGAGTAGCTAGGACTACAGGTATGTGCCACCATGCCAGGCTAATTTTTTTTTTTTTTTTTTTTTTGAGACAGAGTTCCGCTCTTGTTGCCCAGGCTGGAGTGCAATGGCACAATCTCGGCTCTCCGCAACCTCCGCCTCCTGGGTTCAAGCAATTCTCCTGCCTCAGCCTCCTGAGTAGCTGGGATTACAGACATACGCCACCATGTCCAGCTAATTTTGTATTTTTAGTAGATACGGGGTTTCTCCATGTTGGTCAGGCTGGTCTCAAACTCCTGATCTCAGGTGATCCTCCTGTCTTGGCCTCCCAAAGTGCTGGGATTACAGGCATGAGCCACCGCACCCGGCCTGCCTAATTTTTTTTTTTTTTTAATTTTTTGTAGCGTTGGAATCTCACCAGGTTGTTCAGGTTGGTCTTGAACTCCTGGCCTCAAGTGATCCTCCCTCCTCGGCCTCGCAGAGTGTTGTTTTTCTTTCCTTAGTACGGGGGTTTAGTGCTGTAAATTTTCCCCAGAGTACTGCTTTAGTGGCTTCACACAACTTTTGATAATTTCGATATACTTTTTATTTTCATTTCATTTTAAATACATTCTAATTAATTTACTTTTTAATTTTATCTTTGACTTGTGTGGATGTTTTGTTTTGTTTTTAGATATTTGTTAGTTTCCAATTATTTGAGGATTTTTCTAGATTTTTTTATTTGTTTCTAATTTATTTCTGGTGTAGTCAGAGAATAAACTTTGTATAATTTGAGTCTTCGTAAATATATTGAGACTTGTTTTATGGTCCAGAATGTTATCTGTCTTGGTGAATGTTTCATGTGAGCTTGAGAAGAATGGGTATTCCATTGTTGTTGAATGAAGTAATCTATGAATGCCAATAAGAACAGTTGATTGATGGTATTATTCAGATCAACTATATCTTTACTGATTTTCTGCTTGCTGGATGTCAATTACTGTTAGTATTGAAATTGCCAACTGTAATAGTGGATTTGTCTATCTTTCTTTGCAGTTCTATCAGTGTTAGCCTCACATATTTTGATGCTCAGCTGTTAGATAAATATGTGTTTAAGATTGTTATGTTCCCTTGGAAGATTGACCCATTTATTATTATATAATGTCCCCCTTTATCTCTGATGATTTTGCTGTTTTTAAAATTAAGATAGCTCCCTTGGCTTCTTCCCCTCCCTCCCTCCCTCCCTCCCTTCCTTCCTTCTTTCCTTCCTTCCGCCCTCTCTCCCCTCCTCTCCTCCCCTCTCCTCTCCTTTTCTCCCCTTCCCCTTCCCCTTCCCTTCCCTTCTTCCTTTTTTGACAGAGTATTGCTCTGTCACCCAGGCTGAAATGCAGTGGTGCCATCATGGCTCACTGCAGCCTCAACCTCTCAAGCTCAAGTGATCCTCCCATCTCAGCCTCCCAGGTAGCTGGGACTACAGGTGCACACCACCACAACTGGCTAATTCATTTTTATTGTTCATAGAGGTGGGGTCTCCCTATGTTGCCCAGGCTGCTTTTGAACTCCTGGGCTCAAGTGATCTTCTTGCCTTGGCCTCCCAAAATGCTGGAATTACTGACATGAGGCACTGTCTCTGGCCAGCATTTTTTTGATTTGTGTTAATATGGTATATCTTTCTCCATTCATTTACATTTAACCTATTTGTGTCTTTTTATTTAGAGAGGGCTTCTTGTAGATGACATGTATTATAGTTAGTTTTTTTAATCCATTTCGATGGTTTCTTTCTGTTAATGGTATATTTAGATCATTCATGTTTAAATTGGTTATTAATACAGTTGAATTAATGTCTACCATATTTGGGACTGTTTTCTATTTGTTGTGCTTGTTCTTTGTTATTGTTTTTTTTTTTTTTTTTTTTTTTTTTGAGACAGAGTCTCACTCTGTTGCCCAGGCTGAAGTGCAGTGGCACGATCTTGGCTCACTGCAAGCTCCACCTCCTAGGTTCATGCCATTCTCCTGCCTCAACCTCCTGAGTAGCTGGGACTACAGGCACCTGCCACCACGCCCAGCTAATTTTTTCGTATTTTTAGTAGAGATGGGGTTTCACTGTGTTAGCCAGGATGGTCTCGATCTCCTGACCTCGTAATCCACCCTCCTCGGCCTCCCAAAGTGCTGGGATTACAGATGTGAGCCACCGTGCCCGGCCTATTGTTGTTTTTAAATATTCCCCTCTTTTTCTGCCTTGTCTGGTTTTAATTGAACATTTTATATGATTCTGCTTTCTCTCCTCTTAGCTTATCATTAAAAAAAAATTTAGTGGTTGCCTCAGAGTTTACAGTATACATTTACCCAATAACTGAGTGTTCCCAATTCCTCCCTCCCATCTCTTACAATGTTGCTGTTATTTATTTTATTCTCCATATGTTATAATCACCTAATACATTGTTACTGACATTACTTTGAATAAACAGTTATCGATTAGATCAATGAAGAACAAAGAAATAAAAGATTTTAGTTTTCTTCTTATTTCTGTTCTCTCTTTCCACTTTACTTAGATCTGAGATTCAGACCTATATAATTTTCTTTTTCATTTGAAGAACTTCTGTAAACATTTATTTGCAAGGTAGGTCAGTCTACGGGCGACAAATTCTTTTCATTTTTGTTTGTCTGAGAAAGTCTTTATTTCTTCTTCACTTTTAAGGGATAATTCTGCTGGATACAGATTGCTAGGTTGGTAGTTTTTTTTTTCTTGCTTGCTTGTATAGTTTCTGAGGAACGGTCTGATGTAATTCTTTTTCTTTTTTCTTCTATAGGTTAGGTGCATTTTTTCCTTTGGCCTTTTTCAAGGTTTTCTGTCTTTTGCTTTCTGCAGTTTTAATATGATATGCCTAGGTACAGATATTTTGGCATTTATCCTGCTTGGTGTTCTCTCAGTTTCCTGGATCTGTGTGGTGTCTGTCATTAATTTTGGAAAATTTGTGGACAGTATTTCAAATATTTATTCACTTTTTTCTCTTCTACTTCTGTTATACCATTTATACATATGTTACATCTTTTATAATTGTTCCACAGTTCAGGGCTATTTTGTTCTCCCCCAATCCCTGCTCCCCATGGACATGTCTTCAAGCTTGCTGATTCTTCCTTCACAATTGTGAGTCAATTAAACTTCTTTCCTTTATAAATTACCCAGTCTTGGGCAGTTGTTTATAGCAGCATAAGAACGGACTAATACAAAGGGCTCTATGGAAAAAGTAGACAACATGCAAGAACAGATGGGTAATATAAGCAGAGAGAGGGAAGCTCAGAGAGAGTCAAAAGAAAATGCTGGAGATCAAAATCACTCTAACACAAACAAAGAATACCTTTTTTTCATTGTATTGCCTTTGGTCCTTTGTCAAAGATCAGTTGATCTATTTTTCTACTATTTCACCAGTGTCTCAGTCTTGACTACTATAGCATGATAGTAAGTCTTGAAGTCAGGTAGTGTCGGTTCTTCAACTTTGTTCTTCTTCAATATTGTGTTGGGTATTCTGGGTCTTGTGCCTCTCCAGATAAACTTCACAGTCAGTTTGCTGATATGTGCAAAATAACTAGCTGGAACTTTGAATTGGATTGTACTGAACCTATAGATTAAGTTTGGAAAAATGGACATCTTAACACTACTGAGTCTTCCTATTCATGAACTTGGAATTTCTCTCCATTTGTTTAGTTTTTGATTTGTTTCATCAGAGTTTTGTAGTTTTCTTGTAGATCTTATGCATATTTTGTTAGATTCATACCTAAGCATTTCATTTTTGGGGGTGCAAATGTATATGGTTTTGTGTTTTGAATTTCAAATATCACTTGCTGTGTTTCTGGTATATAGGAAAGTGATTAACTTTTGTGTATTAACCCTGTATCCTGCAAACTTGCCATGATTGCTTGTTAGTTCCAGGAGCTTTTCTTTGTTGATTCTTTTGGATTTCCTACCTAGACAGTGATACCATCTGCGAGCAAAGGGAGTTTTATTTCTTCCTTTCTAATCAGTATGCCTTATATTTCTTCATATTGCATTAGCTAGGACAGTCTCAGTCTTGTAGTCAGCCTGTGCCTCTGGGCTGTGAACTTCACCAGCGTTTCTCAGACTCCCTCCTTTAAGTGGGACATGATGGCTGGAAGCAGCTGGACTTGGGGTTTCCCTTCCTCTCCTGTCTTAGTCAGCTCAGGCTTCCATAAGCAAATACCATAAACTGGGTGGCTTAAACAACAAACATTTATTTCTCACAGTCTGCAGGCAGGGACGCCCAAGGTCAGGACACTGGCAGCTTTGGTGTCTTGTGAGAGCTGCTTCCTGGTTTATAGACGACTGTGTTTTCACATGGTGGGTGGGTAGAAGAAGCAAGCTCTTTTGGGACTTTTATAAGGACACTAATCCCATTCATGAGGGCTCCACCCTCATCACGTTATCTAATCCTAATTACCTCCCAAAGACACCACCTGCTAATACCACCATATTAGAGGGTAGGGTTTCAGCCCATGGACCCGGGGGAGGGGGATCATAGTATTCAGTCCATAACATGGAGTTCCGAAGGGGCTGGAGTTTCGTGTTTCCCTTCACCCAGGTCAGGCTCTCATGAAAGCCCAGCAGGCTGGGATCTGGCTGGCTGAGCTCTCCTGAGTTGAGGCCTTCATAAGAAGAGATTTCAGATGTATCCTGATAGACTTCAGAATGGCCCCCTTTCCCTCCCTCTGCCAGAAGCACAGGGAATTTTCCCTGATACTCACTGTTGGGACCCAGTAGAGCTTTTGCAGGTAAAATTTACAAAAGTGTGAGGCCCCTGATGACTGGGTCTGGAGTTTTTTTTAGCTCTCAGACTTGTCTACACTGAGCCCCCAACTGGTCAAGTACAGTTTGGGTTTCTCGACCCCAGCCCTGCTTCCCATAGGGGTTTCTGCTCTGGTTAGGTGTGGATCTTTCTGTCTGCCTGTCTCTCCAGTGTGAGGGGCTGTGGTTTGCTCTGTGACTTCGCTTCTCTTACAGATTTAAAAAGAGTTGGTTTTTCAGTTTGTTCTGCTTTTACTTGATAGGATGGAGTGGTGGCTTCTAAGCTCTTTAGAAAACATATGCAGGTGAACAAACAATATAAACATACGCAGGTAAACTGACAATACAAACATACACAGGTGAACCAACAATGCAGACATACACAGGTGAACCAACAATACAAACATAGGTGAACCAACAATGCAAACATACTCAGGTGAACCAACAATACAAACATACACAGGTGAACAGACAATACAAACATACACAGGTGAACAGAAAATACAAACATACACAGGTGAACTGACAATGCAAACATACTCAGGTGAACCAACAACGCAAACATACGCAGGTGAACCGACAATACAAACATACGCAGGTGAACCAACAATGCAGACATACACAGGTGAGCCAACAATAGAAACATACTCAGGTGAACCAACAATACAAACATACACAGGTGAACAAACAGTACAAACATACACAGGTGAACAGACAATACAAACATACGCAGGCGAACAGACAATACAGACATACACAGGTGAACCAACAATACAAACATACGCAGGTGAACCGACAATACCAGATAGAACTAAGAGCAGAAGAGCTTAAGGATGTGGAAATTGTTCAAAAATAGATCTGTCGTGTGAGTTCCTTTTCTCTATGTCAAATGATTCTTCCTGGTTAGAGTCCACATATTGTCTTTATTTCTCACTGAGTGCCCTACAGTTCATTAGATTCTGGTGGATGTAAATGGTGTGACTCTGACGTGGAAGTTGAGATGAGCCAGCCTCTTCTCAGCCACGTTTTATCTCACATAACAGAGGCTGGCCTGCTGCTGATGTTGTAAGTTACATTAGCTTCATCATTGCTGTTTTCTGGAATTACTTCTCTCCTGGTATAAAACCCTCTTGCTGATACCGGCTTATTCTTTGTTTTTCTAAAATAACCTTATTTTCTGACGATCTTGTGATTGCCACTGGTTTCCTCAGTGTTAGGTCGTGTGTTTGTAGCGGAATCCTACGCAGTGGTGTTGTGAGTAAGCGTGTCCGAGGGCCCCTCACTGCTGATGTCAACGTGCCCTGGGTGAAATCGGCGTCCGTCAAGTCTCTCCATGGGGAAGTTCCTTTTCTTTTCCTCTGTAACTAGTAAGAAATGTGTGGAAAGTTACTTTTAGACCATGAATATCCCATTTCCCCTCAAACTTTCACTCAACGTTTTTCGTAAGTCGTGATGATTCCTGCCTTTGTGGGCTGTGACTGTCATGGCCGTGCAGTGGCGCTCACCCGGGGGTTGGTTTTCACTGTCAGGAGGCATGTCCCCCTCTTCTCTGTTCACTCGGCATCCACTGGGGCTGGAGGCCTTCTTGTCTCACTTGTTGGTCTAGGGTCTATTCTTGCTGGGATTTATGTTGATCTTCACGTTGTCCCAGACCTCAGGCTTGGCAAGCAGCAGCCTCGTTAGCTGACTTCTGTCCCCTGGCGCATCCCCAGCCCATTACTTTCTGGACCTACAGCGTGTCCAGGCCCACCTCCTGCTTTTCCTGACCTTGTGCGGGGTCAGCTGCTCTTCCTGGCACTTAGCCCTGGCACTTAGAAACTCGGATGGGAGTGCCCTGCAGAGTCGCTGTGCTCAGGTGCTTTCTGTGGACGGGATGAGTACCATGCGAGTGAATGCACGTGTGTGAGTGTGTACGTGTGTATGTGTGCATGTGAGTGTGTGAATGTAGGCGTGTGTGTGTACGTGTGCATGAGTGTGAATGCACACGTGTGAGTGTACGTCCGTATGTGTGCATGAGTGTGAATGCACTCGTGTGTGTACGTGTGCATGTGTGTGAATGTGCGTGTGAGTACGTGTGTATGTGTGCATGTGTGTGAATGTGCGTGTGAGTACGTGTGTATGTGTGCATGTGTGTGAATGTGCGTGTCAGTGTGTATGTGTGCATGTGTGTGAATGCACATGAGTGAGTGTTACGTGTGTGCATGTGTGTGAATGCACATGAGAGAGTGTTACGTGTGTGCATGTGTGTGAATGCATGCATGTATGTGTGCATGTGAGTGTGAATGTACGCATGTGAGAGCGTGTACGTGTGTGTGCGTGTGTAGGTTTGTGTGTGAATGCTAGCATGGGAGTGTGTGTGCTTGTGTGACAGTGCGCCTGTGTGAGTGTGCATGTGTCCCTGTGTGTGTGACAAGTAGTTCAAACAGACACCTCTAATTCCAGTTACATCCACAGGGCTTTCCTTTGCCTTCCTCATCAGTATTTGTATCTTTCCTCTCACTGTGAGAGGCCTGGCTCCCAGTCATATCAATGTTTTTTCCCATCCTCTCAATCCCCACAACACACACAACAGCATCAGCATGGCAGCACCCAGACCATGACAAGCAGCAGGCCTACTGAGTGCAACCTAAGCTTGGGTTGCGGTTTTTCTGTCTTAGCCTGAGGATGTAGTCAAAATAATATGTTCAAGAGTTATTTCCGTTTGTCGCCGTGTGCGGTGGCTCACGCCTGTAATCCTAGCACTTTGGGAGACTGAGGTGGGCAGATCACCCAAGGACGAGAGTTCGAGGCCAGCCTGACCAACATGGAGAAACCCCGTCTCTACTAAAAATATAAAATTAGCTGGGTGTGGTGATCATGCCTGTGACCCCAGCTACTTGGGAGGCTGAGGCAGAGAATTGCTTGAACCTGGGAGGCGGAGGTTGAAGTGAGCCGAGATCGCGCCATTGCACTCCAGCCTGGGCAACAAGAGTGAAATTCCGTCTCAAAAAAAAAAAAAAAAAAAGAGCTATTTCCGTTTGTCTTTTCTTTCTGTGTGGCTATGAATAGACTGATTTCAAATTTAAGGTTTTCCTCCTAATCTTGTTTTCATTTTATTTATGATTTTGTAACACATAACAAGGTAGGCTGGGGGCAGTGGCTCATGCCTGTAATCCCAGTGCTTTGGGAGGCCAAGGCAGGAGGATCACTTGAGGCCTGGAGTTTGAGACTAGCCTGGGCAACATAATAAGACCCTGTCTCTAGAAAAAATTTTTTTAAAAAATTAGCCAGGTATGGTAGTGCACGCCTGTAGTCCCAGCTACTGGGAAGGCTGAGGCAGGAGGATCTCTTGAGCCCCAGAGTTTGAGGCTGTAGTGAGTCATGATTGTGCCCCTGCACTCCAGCCTGAGCAACAGAGTGAAACCCTGTCTCTGTGTGTGTGTGTGTGTGTGTGTGTGTGTGTGTGTGTGTGTGGAGCGGGAGGTGTGGAGATATGAACAGTGCAGGCAGAATCAGATTATAAGGGCACAGTCTTGGTGAAGGGGGTATGGATATTTACTGTAAAATACTCTCAATGTTTTTGCATACTTGAATATTTTTATTATAAAATATTAGGAAGAAAACACTTTCAGAAAGACACAAAAGTCAGACCAGGCGTGGTGGCTTCCACCTGGAATCCCAGCACTGTGGGAGGCCGAGGCAGGTGGATGACCTGAGGTCAGGAGTTTGAGACCAGCCTGGCCAACATGTTGAAACCCCATCTCTACTGAGAATACAAAAATTAGCTGGGTATAGTGGTAGGTACCTGTAATCCCAGCTACTTGGGAGGCACGAGAATCGCTTGAATCGGGGAGGCGGAGGTTGCAGTGAGCTGAGATTGTGCCACTGCACTCCAGCCTGGGCAACAGAGCGAGACTCCACCTAAAAAAAAAAATACACAAAAGTCAATGTGAAGACATAGAAAATGCTTGTGGAGTCTGTGCCTGCCTCCCTGCAATGTCCACTGGCTTCTCACTCACCCTGTGTGTTGTGATTTCATGACTGCTGTGTGCAGCACACTGGGTGGGTGTGAGCATGGGGCCAGGGTGTCTTTGGGGCAGTCTCGTTGTGTGAGGTTGGGCCAGTGACTTAGCCTCTCTGTGCCACCATTTCCACATCTGTAAAACGGGGCTGATAGAGCAGCCACCTCGTGGGGCCGTGCGGGTTGGGTGAGTTGGCCTGTGTGAAGTGTTCAGAACCTTTGCTTCAGGTCTGTTCACTTTCAGTTACTGCCCATTTGTTGACAGGTTTCATAAAATATTCTAGCTCTGGCCCTTGTACTGTTAGGAAAATAATTCTTAGCAAGTGTAGTTTCATTTTTATGGAGAGAAGTCCCATTCACCTCAGCTCTGGCCCACCAAAGGCTCAGGCTGCTGAGTGGGTGGGTGTGAGCTTGCGTGACAGGTCTCTGGTAGACTCACAGGAATGTTCCTTCTGCACTAGATTAAGATGTTCTACGAGGAGCATTTGCACTTGGACGATGAGATCCGCTACATCCTGGATGGCAGTGGGTACTTCGATGTGAGGGACAAGGAGGACCAGTGGATCCGGATCTTCATGGAGAAGGGAGACATGGTGACGCTCCCCGCGGGGATCTATCACCGCTTCACGGTGGACGAGAAGGTGGGAGTGCTGTGCTTTCTCCCCAGGCCCGGCCTGTGTGGTGGCCCTGGCCGTGGCATCTCTGCCGCTGAACTGCGCGGCTTCCGCAGACTCCAAGCGCGGTCGCTGGGCTCGGGACTCCTCGACCTGTGCTTCAAGGAGAGTCTGTGGAGCCGCAGGCGATGTCCGAGGTGACAGCTGTCCTTCCGTGGCAGCCTCCGTGGCCCCTGCCTGCGATCCTGGTGGACAGGTGTGCATTTCATACCCAGGCGGGGCAGGTACAGGCGGCGGCAGGTACATGCGGCGGCAGGTACACACCCACGAGCCTGGCCCTGCCCCAGCCCTTGCTTGGCGGTGAGGCATCTCTAGGGTTGTCACCCCAGCCCGTGTTTGGTGGTGAGGCGCCTGTAGGGTTGTTATGTTGCCATACTGTCACTTTTAAAAACATTTCAGTTTTGGAATTGAACAGTAACGCAGTCCAGTCAGGATTGGCAATAAACACAGATAAGGTAGTTTTGGGGTTCACTGGAGGCGATTGGGGTAATGCTGATTTAAGGGTAATTTTTGAATAAATACTAAATGCACATGGTTTAAAATTTAGAAATATGAAAGGGGACCTGGTGAAAGGTCTCCCTCTGACCCCTGTTCCCAGCCTCCCAGTTTCTCTCCCTGAAAGTAACCAGTATTCCACTAAAAAAATTATTTTTAGAGTGACTTTACACATATCCAAGTGCATGTCAGTCAGGATTCTTTTTTTTTTTTTTTTCTTTGAGATGGAGTCTCACTTTGTCGCCCAGGCTGGCATGTAGTGGCTTGATCTCGGCTCAATGCAACCTCCACCTCCCAAGCTCAAGCGATTCTCCTGCCTCAGCCTCCTGAGTAGCTGGGATTACTGGGGCACACCACCACGCCCGGCTAATTTTTGTGTTTTTAGTAGAGACGGGGTTTCACCATGTTGGCCAGGCTGGTCTCAAACTCCTGACCTCAGGTGATCCACCCACCTTGGCCTCCCATGGTTCTACATTTTACTTTTTTCTACATGATGTTCACTGGGGACTGTTTCATTTCAGTGTCTACAAGCCTCAGCCCTGATTACAGCTGCACAGTACTCTGGCGCTGGACATGCTGTACTGTATTTAACCATTAATTTATTTCAGTGAGTCATTGACCCCCAACAATGAGTATATACATTGTTCTCAATTTTTTGCTCTTGTGAACAGGGCTGTAATAAATACCCTTACATGCTTGTCATTTTGCACTTCTGTGTGTTTTTCTGTAGGGTAAATTCCTAAAAGTAAAAACTGAATTAAAAGGCACGTGCGTTTTTAGTCTGGACGGATGTGGCTGAATTGTCCTCTCCTGCCCACCAGCAACATGTGGGCCCTGATGCTAATTCTTAGGAAAACTGTAGCCAAATGAGGCGGAGAGGAGGTGGAGGGTACATGGGGTTGGAGCCAGTGCTTTTCCTGACTGTGTGTCTCTATAGAGAGCACGGAGGTGCGGAGTTCAACACCAAGCCTCAGCTCCAGATGCTCTTACCTGGCACGTGAGGACAGGCAGGGCCAGCTGCACCACCTGATACAAATTTTCCTTCCACGAATAAAATGTGGCCTAAATTGTTAAAGACGCAGAATAAAAATAGCAAGTAAAGTGTTTATAGCAATTAATGTTAACAAGTTGATATGTTAATAAATACTAAGTAGAAGGCCGGCTGGTTTAATGAGATGCTGGGTGTGTTTGTCTGTTTTCCAGAACTACACGAAGGCCATGCGGCTGTTTGTGGGAGAACCGGTGTGGACAGCGTACAACCGGCCCGCTGACCATTTTGAAGCCCGCGGGCAGTACGTGAAATTTCTGGCACAGACCGCCTAGCAGTGCTGCCTGGGAACTAACACGTGCCTCGTAAAGGTCCCCAATGTAATGACTGAGCAGAAAATCAATCACTTTCTCTTTGCTTTTAGAGGATAGCCTTGAGGCTAGATTATCTTTCCTTTGTAAGATTATTTGATCAGAATATTTTGTAATGAAAGGATCTAGAAAGCAACTTGGAAGTGTAAAGAGTCACCTTCATTTTCTGTAACTCAATCAAGACTGGTGGGTCCATGGCCCTGTGTTAGTTCATGCATTCAGTTGAGTCCCAAATGAAAGTTTCATCTCCCGAAATGCAGTTCCTTAGATGCCCATCTGGACGTGATGCCGCGCCTGCCGTGTAAGAAGGTGCAATCCTAGATAACACAGCTAGCCAGATAGAAGACACTTTTTTCTCCAAAATGATGCCTTGGGGTGGGGAGTGGTAGGGGGAAGAGCTCCCACCCTAAGGGGCACACACTGAGTTGCTTATGCCACTTCCTTGTTCAAAATAAAGTAACTGCCTTAATCTTATACTCATGGCTTGGAGTTACCTTATATTCAGGTATATGTGATATTTTGCCTGGTTTGTTAAAATTGCCCCATTTAGATTCCTTCTATAATTGTTCTTATAGATAAGTAATTTATATATGAGCTGTGTTAGTATTTTTTCAGTGTGAGATCTCTGGATTCTTTCACAATAAAGCTGTTGAATTTTAACAGGAGTATTAGTACATAAATTTTCTACTCAACAATTCCGAGATAGGATTATGCCTAGTTTGTCATATCACAGAAAAACTCCAAGTTAACTTCATGTTTTGGAAGGGCAGGTCGTTTTTAAAGTATTTCTTTTTTTAACTGGATGAAAAATCTTCATGTTAGGATTAATTTTCTTAATCACCTCCACACTGTACAGAGGAAACTCAAGCCTTAAATGTTTAAGTAAACTCTGTCTCAGTTTTAGGATTAAAATACCCACCGGTGGTGTGATGATGCCATATACCGCAGGGCTTGCTTCTGTCAAGTGTGACTCTATCTCAGTAATTAAAATAAGTGCTGATCTACTGATTTTTTTTAATGGATTCATTTCTAAATGGGCATTATAAATAGAGCTTGTTCATTTTTAAGAACGAAACATTCATATGATAAACTATCGCTTTAAATTGCCTTTCTTGCTTCATATAACTTTTCCCTGTCAGGATCCTTAGTGTTTGAAACTCCTCGTGCGGGGCTGGCCTCCTGCGGACTCTAGTTTCGCCTCCTTGATGTGGCGCCTGGGATTTCTTCACTTCAGAGCTGTATTTTTACAGGCAAGAGTAAGTTCCTGGGCACAGTGGCTCATGCCTGTAATCTCAGCTACTCAGGAGGCTAAGGTGGGAGGATTCTTAGAGCCTGGGAGGTCGAGGCTGCAGTGAGCTGTGATTGTGGCCACTGCACTCCAGCCTGGGTGACAGAGCGAGACTCTGTCTCAAAAAAGAAGAAAGAGTAAGAGCTGAGGCATATAATAGAATTCTGCTAAAGCACTTAAGGTGAAATCACATTTTCTTTTCCCAGGATGTTGCTCACATCTTTCGTTTTTATTGAGGTGTCATTTATATACAATAAAATGTACTCATTTTCAGTGTTTTTGAATTTTGACAAATGCAGCATGACCTCAGGCAGAACAACATAGGACATTTTCATCACCCAAAGAAGGTTCTCATGCCCCTTCTTAGTCCCCCCACCCCATCCTAAGCAACCTATGTGGGTGGGTTTTGGCTTTTCTAGAATTTGATGCACGTGGAATCCTGCAGCATGTTCACGTTTGTATCCGGCGTCTTGCGTTCCTGCTTCTGTTCCCTGATCCCTACACTTACACTGTCTCCTGGGTCAGGGCAGCCCCTTGTTAGTATCTTAAACAATGGAACGGTTTGAGGAGAGCTCGAGGGTTGAAAAACACTAAGCGAGCGGAAATGTAATGTAGTAAGAAACAGAACTCTAGGCGGGGAGAAAACCTAGGGAGGTAAAAGGCTGTTCTTCCCGAAGGCATCACTGTAAAGTAGTGGGGGGGTCTCTCTTCAAGCCGAATGTTAGAGAAGACGGATCCTTGGCTGGGCGCGGTGGCTCACGCCTATAATCCCAGCACTTTGGGAGGCCGAGGTGGGCGGATCACCTGAGGTCAGAGGTTCAAGACCAGCCTGGCCATGATGGCGGGTGCCTGTAATCCCAGCTACTCAGGAGGCTGAGGTGGGAGAATTGCTTGAACCCAGGAGGCGGAGGTTGCAGTGAGCTGAGATCTTGCCATTGCAGTCCAGCCTGGGCAGCAGAGCGAGACTCTGTCTCAAAAAACAAAAAAAAGAAGATGGGTCCTTTATAAACACATTCGTTAGATTCTAAATCAGGTATTTTTTCCAAGGAGCCCAACTGTTAGTTTCCCAAGCGGGACAGCTGTTGGTTTTCACTGTGTCCAAGTTCGTCAATTTAGAGCAGGCTCTGCCTGCTTGCTGAGTAAGATATTCCTGGACATGTGTTATTTTTCAAGTGTGCCCTCTTTTTACAGGCACAGATGTATTTATTGCCATGGGGTTTATGACTGGGATATTAATAAATCAGAATATGAATTATCGCACTTGAGTATGGCTTCAAGCTGGTTAATGTGTTGGCATTTTCAAGACACTTTGATTTTTCCTGCCGTCTTCCTACTCGAGGTAGATACCGCACTGCAGACAGCACAGGCAACCTGGTGAGAGGCCTGCTCGCATTGTGGGGACTTCACGCTTGTTTCTAAGGAGTAGGCGTGGATAATCCAGGAAATGTCCAGCCTTGTTCTATCTTGTTCCAGATTCAACATCTTATCCCAATGAAGTCCTGGCCCCAGGACGCTCTCCCGGTTTGGAATAGCTGTTACAGGCTTCTTCATTCCTGCGGCGGCTCATTTCCCTATTTGGTTTTGTCCTCACTTCCGAAAAGTGAATAGGATCATCTCCTTTCTGATTTTTATTTCTCTTCTTGCCATCCATCTCTTCATCTTGTTAACTAAAAGATGACACAATCTATACATTTAGAAGAGGAGACATTCTTTCTTTTTCTTTTCTTTTTTTTTGAGATGGAGTTTCATTCTCGTCGCCCAGGCTGGAGTGGAGGGGTGTGATCTTGGCTCACTGCAACCTCTGCCTCCTGGGTTCAAGCGATTCTCCTGCCTCAGCCTCCCGAGTAGCTGGGATTACAGGCGTGCACCACCACACCCGGCTAATTTTTTTTGTATTTTCAGTGGAGATGGGGTTTCACCATGTTGCCAGGCTGGTCTCGAACTCCTGACCTTGGGTGATCCATCCGCCTGGGCCTCCCAAAGTGTTGGGATTACAGGTGTGAGCCACCATGCCCACCTAAAGACATTATTTCTTGTAAAGAGTTACACTCTGCAAGGTGGCATCCCGCAGGCTGGGAAGCACAGCCTCCCGCAGAGACCGCAGACAGGCATCTTGGAGGAGAAGGGGCAGGAGCTTTATGCTGAATGGGCTGGAGGATCATACATATTCAACAGGTTACAGGAGGAGCTGTGAATATTCATGAAGTGGTCCTGACGCATGTGTATTGAACAAACATCCACTTACATACAACCCATGTTCACCTTGGAGAGGAGACTTAACATCTACGTGCATCCCAGGCAGGCTCTGCACTTCTAAAGGTGAAACAGGGACATGAAGGCTCCCAGTGCTCAGCCTCTATCAGCCGGCCAGAGCCCATCCATGGGCTTATTCTTGTCCAGAGGAAGTTACTGAAATCGGTCTCTTGTTCCATCAAAGCTGTAGTTACGGCTGGTGGAACAGGGCCAGTTAGCCAGCATCGGGTGGTGGATAAACTACGACTTGTTTTCATCTTGCTCATCTCAAGGCCAACGCTGGTTTAGCTGCTGGAGAAGAAAACCTTGGTGGTGGTGAGGACAGAGTTTCTTATTTAGGTTCAGGGTGCGAGACTTCGCTGTAGCCTGGCCAGGCCTTAGGTCCTGTGTGTGATTTGTGTCTTATTGCCACAGTCTGTTCTCTGGTCTCACCATCTCTATTTTAACATGAATGCTGGCCAGTTGTGTCTAAATCCCAAAAGGGAGGGGGTATAGTGGGGTGTGTCTGACCTCCCGTCCATCGTGCCTGGGAACTCATTTTTTTTTTTTTTTTTTTTTTTGAGACGGAGTCTCGCTCTGTCACCCAGGCTGGAGTGTAGTGGCGCGATCTTGGCTCACTGCAAGCTCCACCTCCCAGGTTCACGCCATTCTCCTGCCTCAGCCTCCCGAGTAGCTGGGATTACAGGCGTCTGCCACCACGCCCGGCTAATTTTTTGTATTTTTATTAGAGACGGGGTTTCACTGTGTTGGACAGGTTGGTCTCGATCTCCTGACCTCATTATCTGCCCGCCTTGGCCTCCCAAAGTGCTGGGATTACAGGCTTGAGCCACTGCGCCCCGGCTGGGAACTCGTTTTTTAAGGTTGGCCAACGGGTTCCATTCAGTCAGTTGGGGGGCTCAAGATTTTACTTTAAATTTGCGATCCTTATCATTCAAGTGTAGAAGGAAGAATGGAGAGCCCGGTGAGACGCTCCGCTGGCCTCTGAGCAGCGACTGTCAGCAGATGCCCCTCCTTAGCCAGGGCCCCAGTGATGGTCTCTGTGTGTGAGCTGATTAAAAATGACGATAAAGAGGCCTCCGCTATCAGCTCATGACCCTGAACTCTCCATTTTAAAAAAGCCTAAATTGACCTCTTACAGAAGGGAAGGACGAAGAGAGACTCACTCCTCATCGGACTGGAACTAGGTGGAAGCAGGGAGGAGCTAGGCTCACAGTGACTGCGTAGCTCAGTTTATTTCCTGCAGTCCCCATTTCTGACATTCTGTCCTCTGGCCGTATATGTACAGACCACATATTCTAATGTTTGATTAGAAAATATAGCTACTAAATTCAATTCTTGCATCAAAATTGTATTTTAAAATATAAGCATGTTTAATACTGGTCTACAGAATGAGCTGGTTGCTTTGTTTGTACACAGAGCTCACATTAAGCCTCACGTCCAATCGTGGCTTCCGTCCACTGTGATGGGCGGATTCTTCCTAGGGGCCTCCCCTGGCCGTCTCTCACTGTGAACGCCACCCCTGTCTCCCGCCCACACCACTGCAACCTGCCTTACAAACTCCCCCGCTCTCCTTCCAGCCCAGCACAAGCTCAGGACGCCAGACGTCCACACTGCCCAAGCTGCTGTGGTTCACCCAAGACTTTGGAGGAAATATTCCTTCTTAAATTTGTGTCAATAAGCCAGACAGCTTTCCAGCTCCTTAGAAGTAGTTATCCTGTGGAGTGTGGACTTCATTCTTTACCTCCTTAAATTAAGATGAAATTTAGAAAGGCAAACCGGGCTGCAGTGGGCACCTGACTGCACAGAGTGGCTGCTGATTTGCTGATTTGCAGGAGATTAAACCCAATCCGAGATGGAGGGGGTCTCATTTCTGCGCTTACATCGTCATGCATGTGGTTGGACTTGTGTGCATGCGTGTGGACCTGCGTGCCTGTGTGTGCACGTGTGCTTCTGCGAGCTCTTCAGAGAGCCTGTAGAGGCTGGTGGTTACGAACTGAGGGATGTAAATGAGCCACTGTGGGCTCCATGACCTTTCTTTCCCTGCCTGTCCCCCAAGGAGGGGCGTGTGAGGTAACCACTGCAGACGTTTTCCTGCGTGTCCACAAGGAGATCGTCTGGTTCTATTGATGGAGGTGTTTTCCCTAGTTCTGTGGTGAAGTTGGCAGCTTCAGACATTTTGTTCTCATGACGCAGCTCTGACAACTAAGATGGGCTCCCCTGCCTCGGCCGGGCTCCTCGGTTTCCCGAGAGTGAGGCCTCTGTTGGTCGATCGTGTTACCGGGTGGCTGTGAGTTACGCAACTCACGAAAACATCTCATCCGGATGGGCATGGGGCGGGAGGGTGACCCCAGGAGCTATGAGTAACTTCCCAGCATGCCGGCTTCTTGCGCGTTCCCAGAGCCTGGTGTGTGATACCCCAGGTGGGCGGGTGGATGGCTGGAGTCTGGTTCTAGTCACACAGACCAAGAATGCGACATTTAGATGTGATCTAAAAACAGCCATTTTTCCAAAAGCTGTTTACTTTGGAAAGTGTATCAGGCAGCAGTTTCTGGAGACCTGTAATCGTTTTATGATTTATGCAGTGAAAACCTAATTACAAAAAGGACGGGCGCGGTGGCTTACGCCTGTAATCCCAGCACTTCAGGAGGCCGAGGCAGGAGGATCACTTGAGGAGTTTGAGACCAGCCTGGCTAACATGGTGAAACGCCATCTCTACTAAAAATACAAAAATTAGCCGAGCAGGGTGGTAGGCACCTGTGGTCCCAGATACTGAGGTGCTGAGGTGGGAGGATCACTTGAGCCCGAGAGGCATGACAGGTGTGTACAGGGGCTGAGCGGCAGGTACTTTCTGAATCTCAAGGGAAGACCTGCAGCCCGTGGGCACTTCACGGGCCATGGATGGAGCGCCTGTTGTCAGCGGCGTGGGAGAACTCTAGGGATGGGGCTGTGCTGAGGCCAGCGGCCTGCAGGTGCACGGCCAGTGAGCTGGGCTCTTTCCAGCAACACCTTCAGGAGACTCTGGTGGTTTCTTTTCTCCCTCATTCTCTGACAAAGAAGACGCTGGGATGCGCCATGCATCCCACATCTGAGAAATGCTTGCCTCCTGTGTGCTGGACACTGGGCCAGGCGCTGGCGAAGGGATAGGGTGGTGGAGCCAGTTTATCCTGAAAGTCCCTTTGCACACATCTCTTATTACATGTGTGTTGAGACCGAAAATAAAGTCTGGAACCAGGGTGTCACAGATGAGGGTCACAGACACACAGCAGATATAGCATGGTGCTCCCAGCAGAGATGGAGCTCCCAGCAAAGATGCAGGAGAGCATGTACAGTCCCTGGACTCAGCCTATGTGCAGCAAGAAATTCATTAGGGGATCTCTGGCCCCGGGTGCCACCTGGGAGCATGTGTGTGCAGGGCCACCTGGCCAGCGAGGGCCCTAGGATGGCCTGACCCGTCAGGGATGCTGACAGCAGGGCTGGCTCAGTCACCGAAAGGGGAAACAAAGGCTCTCCGGGGCCTCCCTGGGGCTTGCACCATCCTGAGGTCTTCAGACCCCCTTGGAGACGGAAGGGAGGTGGCCGAGTGGCCTGTGGCGTGGGGCTCCTTTGCTGTTCCTTGCAACTTGGGGGTCTCTGACTCTTGGAGCTGGGTGACAGGTGGGGATTTTTGCTCCTCTAATGGTCTTTGGATGATAAACTCCCAACTGACGCTCCAGGCTGGTGTCTTTACAATGCATGCTCTGAGGAAAGCTAGTCTGTGAAGCCATGCATTGAAAGGGTTCTATTATGGGTTGGGAGTCTGAGTCCCTCTTGGGGAGAGCCGTCGTGCAGGGAGCAGCTGGAGGCCTCGGGGCTGTGCTTAGCTTTGCTTCCCCAGCTTTGCTGACCCCAGTGAGCTCTTTCCCACGTGGTACCTGTCAGCAGTGCAACGGGAAGTTCTGTGTGTGTTAAACCACACAGGGGGTTCAGAGCTATCCCCAGGGCAGACCTGGAGTTTTTTCTGGTGTTCCTTAAAAGCATCTGATGAATATTGGGATGAATTTCCTGAAGAACTTGGAGGAGACTTTCTCCTTTCTGAAAATTAAACGTTCAGATCAGCACATGATAGGAATCTGGGTGGTGGAGGAGAAGATGTGGGTCAGTCTCCCCAGTGCCCCAAATCCAGTGAAATGACAACAATTTTTTAAAAAATTAAGTGTGTTGTTTTAAAAAATACAACCACAAGTTTCTGACGATCTCCCTCAATTTATCCTCCCCTTCAGCATGGTCTCTGTTGGTCACTTGTTTCTAATGAGTAGGAAGCGGCTGAGGTGGCTGTGGGTGGCCTCTGTTGGCATGTAGTTTCCTGCTTGCTCTCAGACATTGCGCTCTGGGGAAGCTGGCTGCCACGTCCGCAGGACACTTGTGCAGCTCTCTGGGGAGGTCTGAGGCCTCTGCCAGCAGTGCTGCTGGCTCGGGGTGTGTGGAAGCAGGTCCTCCAGCCCCCGTTGAGCCTTCAGATGATGCAGCCCCAGCCGTCACCTTGAGGGCAACCTCAGGAGAGCCCCACACCACCCAGCTAACCCGGAGACTGCAGGCGAGAATGTATGTTCCTGTCATAAGGCACAAGTTTCAGAGCAGTGTTGTTACATGGCGTAGGTAACTGGTGCCTAAGTGTGACTCCCTAACCACAGTGCTCACCTCCACTCAAGAAACTGCTGACGGTGGATCAGACATCTTGACAAAGAGAAACCAATGGAACAGACATCTGAGAAATAGGAGAAGAGCTGTCCTAGTCAGGCAACGTCCGGCCTCGGAGTGGATGGGGAAGGATGGAGGCAGACAGGTGGGATCGCAGTGGGGGGTGCATTCTGTCCCCGCTCCCCAGGCTGTGCGGACCCACAGGGCAGAGGCTGCCGGCCTGCTGTTCCCTCCTGCACAGTGCCTGGGGCGCCAGGCTCATGGGGTGCTCTCAGTGGAGAGGTTAGAGGGACTAGGAAGGAAGACCTCTTGTCCCAGGCAACCTGCAGAGGCCGGGAGCCCTGGGGGGAGGTCCTGGGAGGAGCCCTGGGGGGAGGTCCTGGGAGGAGCCCTGAGGGAGGCTCTGGCCCTGCATCTGCCTGGAGCTTTGCCCAGGATTGCCGTTCTCGTCTTCCCAGGATTCCGACTCTGTGCTTCGAAATGTCGTTACACGATCTCTTCTGTTGTCTTAGTTGGGGCTCTTTTTGTTACAAGTGACAGAAGCCCAATGTGAAGGAGCCTGTGCCTGGGGGTGCCTGCCCTGGGGGATCAGGGACCAAGCCACGTCTGCTCACGGTGGGACACAGTGTAGACACAGTGTTGACGTCTTAAAGCCTTACTTCTCATTCCATTACGCAGAGGAGTGACTTCAGCTGCCAGCCCTGGTCCCCAAGGCTCCAGGAGAGGTTCTGTGGGACTAGACCCAGGTCAGCGGCTCTGACAGGGACAGGATCGCGCAGCGCAGACATGGCCGTCGGCTGAAGGGCCTCCTGTGGTGCGCAGGCCACTGCCGGCTCATGTCCAGGTCATCTCTCCCGCGCTGCAAATCCTGCTTGCCCAAAGTAAAAATGGAGCGTGTAAAGTTAGCACGGTGGACATTTGTGCACTTATGGGACAGAGGAGGCTTGAACTTCATTCCGAGGGGAAAGAAGCCAGCCCTGGCTTTCTTACTCTGTTAGATAACCCTGTCTCTCTAGGTTTCAAAAATATCTTCATCCCATCGCAAGTGACCAGGAGGGACTTCTGGGCCTCACCCAACTCACTACCGCAGTGAGTCGCTAGTACTGGTAAGATGACCTGTGGGTTGGGTCAAGGGCTCCCGGAGTCCTCTGCCTGCTATGATGCGTGAAGTTCTTCCATTCACCATGTCTCTCAGTGAAACTCGGTCCCACAAGCCCCTCCGGGAGAGCTGGTTTTGTCCCCTGAGTGCCGAGATGCATAAGAAAGTGGCTGGTGGGTTCCTCAGGACGCCACAGTCCAGTGAGGAGAGCAGAGGGTGCAGCAGCCCTTACGGCCGGGTGAGGGGTACGGGGGCTCCAGGCAGGCACAGCTGCTGAGAGAGAGGGGTCGGGGCAGTCGTCACCATCAAGTGGATGGCTGAGGCAGGACGTCCCTGCGGGCTGATTGTCCCTGGTCCTGACCAGATTTGCTGTGACCACCTGGCTGGGCCCTGAAGAGGGCAGAGGAATTGCTCAGGTGGGGCCAGGGCACAGGGCTGAGGCCTGCAGTCGGGCCGTGCCAGGTTGCAGATAACATCCGGGGCACCCCTGAGCAGGCGGCTCTTCTGAATCGCTCTGTGTTTTGCTCTCTGTTTTCTGCCTTGGGAAGTGATTATTTTTCAAAACATTCTCTTAAACGTGGCGGGGGCAGGGCACTAGAAGCATCCAGGCATGAAGACAGCCCCCAGGTCAGCAGGGCTGGGGAAGCTGGGCTGGGCGGGGGCTGGAGGACAGGAGGCTGTGCTCCTATCACGGTCTGTCCCTGGCGTGAGCAGTGCAGGTGTGACAGTTCTGGGGTGGAGCTTACTTTTCAACTGAAACCACTTTCCCATGGACGTGCTTGCCTGCCTGCCTTTATTATTATAGTTTAATGTGTTTCATTGTCCATGTTAAAAATGCTTGTGTTTATTTTGCACCAACTGTTCAAAAAAACCCACCCATTCTAAAATCCAAATAGGATTTCATCTGAGTTATAAACCCACCCATTCTAAAATCCAAATAGGATTTCATCTGAGTTATAAACCCACCCATTCTAAAATCCAAATAGGATTTCATCTGAGTTATAAATACAACAGCCTGGCAAAGGGCAAGTCAATGGAATCAATACGATCTGCCCTAGCGTCCGCGTATTTTCCAGCCTGCTCCATTGCTAATCACTCCTGAAGCCTCCTTGGTGCCCCGGCTTTATTGATTGCCTCTGCAGAAGAATGTGTGTGTGTGGGGTCCCCAAGGACACAAGGACGCCACTGGCAGGGCCAGAGACAGAGGCATGCTCTCCAGAGGCCTGTCCTGCTGCTGCTGCTGCTGAGCAGGACTTTGGGCCAGCGGCCACCCATGATGACATTGAAGCTGGCCCCAGAGATCCCAGGATAGAGGCCCCAGGGCAGCACTGCCTGCTCCACCTCCACAGAGAAACATCCCTGTGAGCTTGGGGTGTGGAGAAGACGAGGGAGGAGCCCTCCGTGGATGCCTTGGGCTTGGAGGTGTCTGCATGGATGAAGGCTCAGATGGAATCACCCCAGTTCTGCTGCTGCAGTAGCTGTGTGGCCGTGGGCAGGTTCTTCAAGCTGTGCCTCAGTCTCCCTGTCTGTAAAGGGGGACATCATGTACCCTTGGAGCAGGGTTGAGGTGAGGAGTCCACCAGAGCCTGTCTGTGAGGTGGAGGGGCTCGAATAACGTCCACTAAAAGTTCATGTCTGCTCGGAACCTCGGAATGTGACCTTTTTGGAAATGGTCTTTGCAGATGTAATTAAATAGGGGTTTGAGATGGAATCATCCTGGACTAGGGTGGGCCCTAGCTCCAAAGACTGTTGTCTCTGCAGGAACAGAAGACAGAGACACTGGAGGAGGCCACATAAACACAAAGGCAGAGACTGGGGCCATGTGGCCGAAAGCCAGGAGCACCGAGGACTGCCATGGCCACCACGGAGAGAGGCCTGGGACAGACGCCACTGCAGAGCCTCCAGAGAATGCAGCCAGCCTGCAGCTCGCGTGCAGCCTTCCAGCCCCCTGAACTGTGAGAAGATGCAGTTCTATTTTAAGCTGCTCTGTTTGGGCACCTTGTTACAGCAGCCCCAGGAAGCTACTCAGTGGGCGTTTGTGGTTGGCCGCTGAGCATTCCCAAGGTCACGGCCCCATCCTAAGCCCTGGGACCTGTGCACGTGACCTGTTTTGGAAAAAGGGCTTTTGCAGATGTAATTAGCTTAAGGATCTTGAGATGAGAAGATTATTCTGGATTACCGTGGGCCCCAAATACCATCTTAAGTGGCTCCGCAAAAGATTTGGCACACGGAGGAGGCTGTGTGACCAGAGGAGAGACCGGAGTGATGTGGCCACAAGCCAAGGGCACCGGGAGCCCCCAGAGGCCGGAAGAGGAGAGGAAGGAGCCTCTCTAGGAATGGCCTGCTGACGGCAGCCTCCAGAATGGGGAGGGAATCAAGTCTGTGCTCTCATACTTAGGAGTGTCTTACGGCAGCCTCAGGAAACAGACGCAGTTTCCCATTCACAGCCTGGCCTCTGTCCCCATCTGGGGGTTTCCCCACAGCCTGGCCTCTCCCTGTTGCCCAGGCTCTCCCCATAGCCAGGTCTCTCCCCATATCCTGGCGTGTCCCTGCAGTCTGGCTTCTCCCCACAGCCTGGTGTCTTCCCATAGCTTGGAGCCTTCTCACAGCCTGGAGTCTCCCCTGCATCCTGGGGTCTCCCTGCAGTCTGGCTTCTCCCCATATCCTGGGGTCTCCCTGCAGCCTGGGGCCTTCTCATATGCTGGGGTCTTCCCGCATCCTGGGGTCTCCCATATCCTGGGGTCTCCCTGCAGCCTGGGGCCTTCTCACAGCCTGGGGTCTCCCCACATCCTGGGGTCTCCCCGCATCCTGGGGTCTCCCCATATCCTGGGGTTTCCCCGCATCCTGGGGTCTCCCCATATCCTGGGGTTTCCCCGCATCCTGGGGTCTCCCTGCAGTCTACCCATGGTGCCAGGGCAGCTCTTCCTCCTGACATGTGTGGGGGGCCCTGGGGTGCAGAGAATAAACTCCACCCATCGGATGTGAATTCCAGCAGCCCTGAGGGTGGGTGAGTTTCCTGGAGCAGTGGGCGAGGGTTCAGGGATGCAGTTCGCTGACTGTCCAGCTCAGCACGCCCAGGGAGCTGGCAGGGTTCCCTGACCCCGGGAAGCAGGTGGAGGCTGAGACAAAGGCCAAGCCAGCTGGAGGCTTTAGGGAGACGCACTGGGTCCACTCCACAGGCAGCAGGACCCCAGGCTCACTGTGGGCATTTGAGGAGTGGGTGTCAGGGTGACCAGAAGGAGCCAGGGTGGAGGTCGCAGGGTGTCATCTCGGTGGGCAGAGCCTCGGGGCCCTGGGGTGGAGGGAGTGAGGCTGGAGAGCCTGGCTGGCTGTGCTGGACGCCTAACACGGTCCCGGAGATGGCACTTCTCCCACGGACGAGGGTGGGCGACGCGGGAACAGACTGCCCGTAATCGGGTTCCAGGTCCAATAAAGGTAAACCTCGAGGTGGAAAGGACCTAGACGCAGGTGAACACGGTCCTCCGTGTGTGAGTGCATGTGTGTGTTGTATGTGTAAGCGTGTGGCCATGTGTGTGGTGCTGGAGCCCAAAGCCTATCCACGGCAGCCCATTGGTGGGTCCGGCCCTGCCTGTGGATTCAGCTCTCCACTGCAAAGCAATATGCAGTGTGTGAAACGGCAACACAGATCGTGGCACCACCATGAGCCTCACTGTTAGATTTGGATTGGAATCCCTCCCTCTCTCCCGCTTTAAACTGTGGGTCCTTGGAAAAGTTACCTGACGTTTCTGATTTTCACATTCTTACCTGTAAACCCTCCCAGAGTTGAAATGAGCCGTGTGGGAATGGGGGTGGGGATGGGGAGGCGCGCAGTCACCCTCGCCTTCCTTTTCTTCTCTCGGTAATTGTGTTCTTCTATGTCAAAGGAAAAGAATAAAACTGGAAAATTATTTGGGGGAAAAAGAAAAAGACACACATGCAAGTGCCACAGGAACCTGCTGGGGGAGAGATGCTCTGTGGCCTTTGGTAAGTCAGCCTTCAGCCTAGCAGTTGTAGGACCCTCCGTGGTTCTGGATCCGCATCAACTAGAATTCTATGTTCCAGGGAAAACTGCTTTCAATGCTGACTTACACTTAACACTGTAAGGCCATGGAGCAGAGTAAACATCCCGTCCCATCATGCCCCACGCCCTCCGGAACACCCCGTCCCATCATGCCCCACACCCACTGAAACTTCCCGTCCCATCATGCCCCACGTCCTCTGAAACATCCCATCCCATGCCCCACGCCCTCCGGAGAGTGAGGGCTGCAGGGCCAGTATCTGCCTAGCCCGTGGCAACCTCAGCCCTCAGAGAGCAGCCCTGGTTGCCAGGAACCCAGAGGGCAGAACCCACACTGACCACTAACCATTGGCAAAGCAGCGGCTCCTCTGCAGGGGCTTTTACGTGTTGGTTTCTTTGGCACCATCCAACAGAAACAGAATGGGAGCCACAAATGGGCGCCACATACGTAACTTAAAGTTTTCTAGTAGCCACGTTAAAAATGTTCAAAGGTCATCTTAATTTTAATAATATGTTTTATTTAATCTACTAGATCCAAAATTACTATCATTTTAACAGGTACTCAAAATTATTAATGAGATCTTTTACATTCTTTTAGAAGTGTTTCATAACGTCTCTGCAGCAGCCACATTCCCCATGCTCAGCAGCGGCTCACAGCCTGGATGGCAGTGCGGTGTAGACACTTGAGCTGTGGGCAGGACTCTTCCCAGTCCTCATGGCTGAGCACACAGTGCCGGGCCAGGTGGTGCACGCTGGGGGACCATGGGCCGGGCTGGTCCTGGCTCTGCACTGTCCCTGTGACCCTCGGGATGTTCCTCAGCGTCTTTTGGCGATGGTTCCTTTCCTGTAGGATGCGAGGCTGACAGCATCTGCTGCTAGGAGTTGTGAGGACACGTGAGTTCATTTCAGTTGGGTGCAGCGCCGGCCTAGTAATCTCACTGACCCTTGGTCGCTCAGCCAGTGACTGTGCCCACCTGCCACCATCAGAAGATGGCGGACTTGGGGGTCAGGAGAGCCCTTCCAGGACTGCAGAAGCTGGTCCTTGGGGGTCTCGCAGCAGATCCTGGGGGCGTTCCCAGTATGGGTGCAATGTACATGGGGGGCTCAGGACGGGAGGCCCATGCCAGCCCCTGGGCCTCCAGAGCTGGCAGAAGGCACAGCCCTGCATGGCCAAGGGCGCTGGGCTGCGTGGAGAATGTGCGGGTTCTGTTGTTCTGCCAGCTTAAGCAGTTTACCAAACCAAACAAAAAAAAGGATATGCAACAGGGACAGCATGTGGCCCACGAGGCCTCAAATATTGCCTCTGGCCCTTCACAGAACACGTGTTCTAGAAAGGAAATCCTATGCTCGCGGGCTAGGGGCTTGCTGGGTGGGGAGAGGGGTTCAAAACGTGGTTTGTCACTTCCTATGAGGGTGATCCGACAGGACTTCGTGGAGACGGTGGCGTTTAAGTGGCCTAAGAAGAACTGGAAGGATTCAGAGGAGCGGAGGGACGTGGCCTGGTGGGCAGAAGCCATGGCTGGGTGTCGCAGGCTCTGTGCAGCTCTGACAGCTGCAATGCAGGCAGGCACCCCCCCACCCCATGCTTTACGGCCATCGGGTCTGCAAGTTATAAACTTGGTTACCCCCAGAACGTTGTTTAAACAGTACTGTGTTCTAGAACATGCTGAGATAGCATTTATGCAACTGATGCCAAGGTGTGGAACAGGTTAGTCTGGCTTTTTCCTCAACAATCCAGGAGGAGGACAGGGAGAAGGCAGCATTGCTCCTGAGCGGGTGAGGCCAATTTCATCCTGAGTGATAGTGACAGTAATAACTGATAAGAAATGAAATCACAGCTTTTCACACGCAGAGCCTGACAAATGGCTGACCCTTCCTCCATCTCTGGGTGCTCATGCTGGAGAGCGACGGGCCCTCCCTCCACTGCCGGGGGGGGACGTGCTGGAGAGCGACAGGCCCTACTTCCGATCCTTGGTGCTTTTGCTGGAGAGCAAGGGGCCCTCCCTCCACTCCTTGGTGCACGTGCTGGATAGTGACGGGTCCGCAGTCCACTCCTGGTGCTCCTTCTGGAGTGACAGGCTCTCTCTCCACTCCGTGGTGCACGTGCTGGAGAGTGACGGGCCGGCAGTCCACTCCTCGTGCTCCTGCTGGAGAGCGACAGGCCCTCCCTCCAATCCTTGGTGCTTCTGCTGGAGAGCGACAGGCTCTCCCTCCACTCCTCGGTGTGCGTGCTGGAGAGTGACAGGCCCTCCCTCCACTCCTCATGCTCCTGCTGGAGCGCCGCAGGCCCTCCCTCCACTCGTGCTCCTGCAGGAGAGCGACAGACCCTCCCTCCGGTCTTCGGTGCGCGTGCTGGAGAGCGGCAGGAGCTCGGCCTTCTTAGGGTGTTTGGGACCCCATCCAGCGTGGTTTTGCTTTAGTTCCCCGCCCAGGGAGAGGAGCTCGGCAAGCAGCACCGGGTTTATTCTTGCTCATTTATTCAAAAGAAAGGTACTGAGTTTGAAAATGCACCAAGCACTGGAGAGAAGAGAAAGGTGAAAGGACCTCGGGGCCTGCCTGTAAGAGGCTCAGGATGTGATGTGGCTGGGGATGAGGCCCGGTGGCACCTTCAACGCAGGAGAGGAGGGGGTCTGGATCCCACCGTCAGAGCACGCACGCAACCTGTCCACTCCCTCAGGACTGCAGAAAAGGTCCATTCTTGTATTTCTTTTTAAGTTGAATTAAATCCATCTCTAGCCCCTGCCTCTGAACTGATGGAGTCTGGCTGTCATTGGGCCTCCCTCACCCGCAAGGGGTGGAACCAGAGCTTGGGGCTGAGGCGCTCCTGGAGTGTTTAGCGCCTCTGCTGTCAGGACATCCTGTGGCCACTGGCACGCTGTCTGCCCACACAGTGCCCCCGACCAGCAGCGGAGCCACCCACTCTCCACAGCCAGGGTTGGGAGCCCTGGGGCCCGAGTCCCCGGTCCCACGTGCCACACAAGGCAGGACATTCTGGGTGCTGTCGCATCCCCGGAATCAGGGCCTGGACCCTGGTCAGAGCAGGACCTGCAGGTGACCCCGGGTGGGGCAGACTGTCTTCTGTCCTTGGTGGCAAAGCCGGTGTTCTCGGCGTCATGTCTGCACACGTGTGCCTGAAGCCACGGGAACGCAGGGGCTACCTCTGGGCCTGGGCCTGGACCTGTGGAGCAGGATCGGGGAGGACACACAGGTGGGCGTCTCAAGAACTGTGGTGTACACAGCTGAGCCCCTGCAGCTCTGCTTTGCCGGGCCTCACCCTCGGTGCTGGGTGCAAGACGTGACAAGATGGCATGGGAAGCTTCCCGGGGAACGCTGGAACTGGGTGTTTGAAGGAGGACCTCATGGCGGCAGCTCCAGCCCAAGTACTGCAACTGTGGGGCCGTGCCAGGAGCAGGTGCTGCGGAGCCTGTGTGGGTCCAGGACAAGAGGTAAGGGGAGTGTGGACGGGGCTGCACTGTCCTGGGGTTGAGGGCAGGCTTCAGGGGGTGACACTGAATAGGGACTAGGAAGGTGCATGCCAGGAGGGGTCCAGGCAGAGAGAACAAGTGGGGGCACAATCCTCGAGGGGGCATAGAAGAGGCCAGCAGTGTAAGGCAGGATGGCGATGCCCATGGGCTCCAACGCCTGCTGTGTAACTGGAATTCTGTCTGTGGCCTCCGGCGTCTGACATGCGTTCTCACACCTGCAGGAGCACCAGAAGCTCCTGGAGGGCGGTGCAGACGACACTGTCGGGCCGGCCCAGCCCAGGCCCCAGCAGTTGACTCCTCTGTGATCAGAGGATGTGGCTGAGGATGTGCATTTCCGTCAAGTTCCCAGGAGAACCTGGTGCTGCTGCTTCGGGGACCCCACTTTGAGGACCACTGATCTAACACTGCCCCTCGTGGCAAACGCGGAATGACTCAAGATTCAGCTGGATGGATCATTCAGGGAGCAAATCCACCCTTGCCGCCTGGCACACCCTGGCCATTCGGTAACGATGCCATCAGGGTTACTGGCTTCTTCATTCTCCACTGTGCATTCCAGGGTGGGCATTTCCACAGTTGTGAGCCCATCATCAACTCAGCGAGTTCCCATTTTCCAGTTAGAAAATAAGCTTTCTGATCGTTAGCCATTCACTTCAATTGGCTCTAGAAAAGATTTCTGGGATGTATAATTTATTTTTAACATAAAGAAAAGCTAAGTGTAAACTAGATAAGCTACAATTGTCCCAGACGTTATAGACACTCACAGCACCGTTTTCCTCTTCTAGCAAAACAAAACAAAAAATTCTGCAATCATACAGGCAGTAGGAAAAAAAAATTAGCTGGACACCATGGCTCACACCTGTAACCCCAGCACTTTGGGAGGCCGAGGTGGGAGGATCACTTGAGGCCAGGAGTTAGGGACTGGCCTGGGCAACATAGTGAGATCCCATCTTTATAAAAATAAAAAAAATCTGGGCGTGGTGGAGCACACTTGTGGTCCTAGCTACTCAGGAGGCTGAGAGTGGGGAATCGTTTGATCCCAGGAGGTTGAGGCTGGAGTGAACCATGTTTGCACCACTGCACTTCAGCCTGGATGGATGACAGAGTAAGATCCTGTCTCAAAAAAAAAAAAAAAAAAAAAAACAAAAAAACCAGGAAGAAATAATCCAGGCAAGAAACGAGGCAATGATACTGTCACCTGGCCTGGCCTCATGCCAGCAGCATGGGGGTGGGGCTTGGGAGGGAGGGTGGATTTAGGCTTACCAGCTTACTAGGGAACTTTGATCTCTGTTTCTGATTTGCCGGGCTCATGTCTAGCTGGAGCCTGGGCACTGCTGTCTGCTTTCCCGCACAACTGGCCGGGGACAGCTCTGAGCCCCGAGCCTGTAAAGGACGGGCTCCATAATCCTCTGGCAAATCCTGTAAGATGCCTGCAGTAAGGTGCCAGGTTGGAGCAGAGGAAGAGCCTTACACTTCATCCCTGAAGTCACATTTGAAGGAAGACCCTCAAGGTGGAGGGCTTCTAATTACATCTTCATCTTTCTGGGCTTAACAATAGTTTCAGTTCTCTTTTTGAAGAGAAAGATCTTGAAACCTCCTTGGTGTCCAACAGTCCTTTTGGCTGTCTCACCTCTTTTTTCTTTTCTTTTAATGCATAATTAATCTAGATGTCAGCAAATGGGCTGAGACTGTCTGGTAGATGCAGTGTTTGTATGTTTCTACTCTATTACAAAAATTAACAGAAATATGGCTTCGCTTTGTGCAAATGTTTATATCACAGTCTGTAAAATGAATTATATTTAAAACTATCCACAAAGCTAGATATTTAGAGAACCCTTGGCAGAGTTCTTTCGTAAAGTGAAGACATTTTCAGGTACTTTAAGTTCTTCAAAAGCAGGAATAACTGTGTAAACGTAAGGGCAAAAGGCCTTTCAGGCATGAGAGAACACATGAAAACACGTGTCTGGCTTCAAAACCACCCCCAGCCCCTGCCTGCCTGCGTTTTACGCGCTCTTCCTGTGCTTCATTATGCGTCGTGCTTCCTGTTCCACTCAGCTCACTCTCCACGTGGACGTATAAACTATGGGAGAAACAGTGATGGCCTCTCCTCCACCGCCAGGCTGGCAGGGGTCGTTTGGCTGGCATCAGGCTGGAGGAGACTCGGATGGGTAAGACCAACGCACTTAGTTTTGGGTGTGTGGGGAGGGCAAGAGGAGCATGAGCGGCGATCTGTGGGGGGTGTCTTCCCTGTTGTAAATCTCCCTGTACGTGCAGGTGCACGGCGAGAGGGTCTCCACACCTCCCAGCTTTTCTCTGAGGATGTCCAGAAGGAACGAGCAAAGCAGGATTGGCCTCCAGAACAGAGGCCCCGAGGCTGACTCCAGATTTCCTGTCTACGAGCTGTGTCCTCCCAGCACGCCTGCCCCTTGCATTCATGAACAGTGACCCAGCTGCAGGGACTGCGTGGCTGAACGCCGACCAACTGCGGGGAAGTCCTGGGCTGGGCCGTGGCTTGGGACCAAGAAGACACGCAGCAGACACCAGTGAAGCAGGAGTTTTATTGAGTTCCTCCATGTCACATTAATACATTAGCTTCAAGACACAGTTTCAAAGACCCGGGTCCTTCTGACGTAGTGTGTTGGAGGCAGCTAGGCCAGCTTGAGGCACTGTGTGTTGAAGCTGTCCCCCTCCTTGCCGGCGACAGCCTCCAGCAGGGCCTGTTTCTTCTGCATGCTCCGTGAGGACTCCAGCTCGTACATGGTGGTCAGGTTGAAGAGCACGCTCTCGTGCAGGTAGTGCCTGGGGTCCTGCTGGACCATGGCCTCCAGCTGCCGCAGGGAGTCCTTGAGCTTGCCCAGGTAGAGCAGACACACGGCAGCGTTGTTGTTGGCCTAGGGAGGAGCACACGCCCAGGGTTGGCCCACACAACCAGGACAGACGCCCGCCCATTCCAGGCTGCGTGCTGGGCCGTGTTAGGGGCCTGGGGGTGGTGCAGAGCTGCTGGGCAGAGCCTAGGTGGCCCTGTTGGGTCACTTCCCCTAAGGGCCACAGCCACTGCCTGGAGCTGGTGGACTGGAGAGAGAGAGCGCAGGCCCCTGCTGAGACGTGTGTGGGTGTATGTTTCTAGCGTCTGTGAAAGGCAGAGGATGGAGGATCCTGCAGCTTGGGGATCTTACCACTGCGTTTCTTGGATCCATCCTTAAGATCTCTGTGAAGAACCTGTGGGCTTCTGCAAAGTTATTCTGCCCGAGGTGAAGGAACGCGCTGTAACACAAGCAACGGTGGCAGTTAGCGGGGAAAGCCCAGGAGCTGCTGTCCCCCAACACAACCCACAGGGGCTTTGGATCCCACAGAGACCCAGCGTATGGCCCTGTGTGGCCCGGGGTTCCTGATCTCCAGGTAGAGGCGGTGAGCTGCGTTTTGCATTCAGGCTCGCACATTAAAGCCACTCTAGTTTTTATTTATTTTTATTTTTTAGATGGAGTTTTGCTCTCGTTGCCCAGGCTGTAGTGCAGTGGCACGATCTCGGCTCACCGCAACCTCCGCCTCCTGGATTCAAGCAACTCTCCTGCCTCAGCCTCCCAAGTAGCTGGGATTACAGGCGACTGCCACCACGCCTGGCTAATTTTTTGTATTTTTAGTAGAGATGGGGTTTCACCATGTTGGCCAGGCTGGCCTCAAACTCCTGACCTCAAGTGATCTACGTGCCTCAGCTTCCCAAAGTGCTGAGATTACAGGCATGAGCCACTGCACCCGGCCAAGCCACTCTAGTTTTTGTTAATTGAGATAGAGTAACTTCACCTAAATGACTTCCTGCTAAAAGCGGACACCTGCTTTATTTACGCTTTCTGATCCTGGCTGCAGGCTTTGTCCAAGGCGTGTTTCCTCCTCACGAACGTGCACTCGCACGACGCTGTGCGTTCTACCACAGAACACCAGAGCACGGGATCCAGACACAGAACACCAGAGCACGGGATCCAGACACAGAACACCAGAGCACAGGATCCAGAACGGCCGCTACGCCAGCAATGGTGACCTTTACACACACATACGCTGAAAACGGGGGCAATACAAGCGCTTCTCTGAAGAACAAGGGGGAATAGCTCCTTAAAAATCAGCTTCTGTGACTAAAAGAACATCACTGCGATTCAAGAAAACACCTGTATACTCCTTGGGTCTCCGCTCTGAGAGACACAGGGCAAGAGGAGATACAGGGAGAAGCGCCTTCTCTAGGGAGCTTTCCAACTCAGTAAGTGGGGCTTGAACGCCTCTGGGAAATTTGAGAAAACATATATTTAGTTTTAAAATATTTACCTGTTCATCAAAACCATGATTTTACCCTGTAGTCCATCTAATTTCTGTGTTACTTTCTCAACGTCTTGAAAATACTTTTCAGCTGTTTTTATGTCTCCAATCTGCTTTGACAAAATTTAGTCAGTTTAGTTGACAAAAGAAATATTAAGTCTATACTCATATATTTAGTTCCCTAATATCATGTTAGAATATGAAGACATTTATATGTCAGGCAGAGGAAAACTTCAGTAACCATTTAATCATTTTTTAATAAAAAGGCAAAAGACATTTAAGATACAGTGGAATGTTAATGTTCTATATGTCAGAAACTAAGTTGCTAATATACACGCCTTATTTAAGAGTCTTATAGTTTAGTAATTTTTACCTTTTGGAATGAATTCTGGCAGAGCATTAGATAAAATAAAATGAATAACTAATAAGATGAAACATAAAATACTTAAAATATTGGTATAATATGAGCAGGTCCTACGTCAACTTATGAGTTACTTGTGGCTAGTAAAATGGTAGGTGCCACCACATTTGCAAATTGCAAAGTAATATTTTGACCAAATAATATAGAATTCAACTGTAAAAAACAAGCCAAACCAAACTCAAACCCACTCTTATCACGCATGTCAGGAAACCCACCGGCTGCCCGACTGAAATGCAGCCGGATGCAGCAGGCCTGTGGCAGAGGAGGCCTGGGGGGTGGAAGGCTGAGTGCCCCAGCCCTGACTCCTGAGGCCACAGCTTGGTTTTACAAAGGCAGACTTGGGTTTTCTTTCACCTCTAGAAGTGTAAGGAAGGGAATAAATGATCTAAGGCTTACAATAAGAAATAGATACAAATGAAAGAAAAGTCCTATTATGGCCCAAGCCGCGCTCACGAGGGTAAAGACAGAGTTGCTTTGTGTCCGGGGCACAGCCTGCGGGAGCCAGAATGTGACAGCGAGCTCTGTTATCATGGCAGCAGCAGAAACTTAACAGAATGCTGTCCTCTGTCTCGATGAGAAACAAGCTGAATGCGCGCGGCTCACCTCCATGAGGAGGGCTGGGGCACCCATCACTATCATACTGAGCAGCCTAGTTAACTCTTAGACTGTCCACGCCAAGCATCTGTCCAGCATTAAAACAAGCCTGCTAACTTCTCAGATGACTGGTGGGGAGATGGTTCTCCATGGGTGTCATGTTTCTGCATGTCTTCCAAGCACAGACAGTGACAAGGCTTTGTTCAAAGCATTTACACAAGGATGCCTGTTTAGAGGACAGCCTTGTAAGCTAAACTGCATCCCTCTGGGGCAAAGGGCAGGCAGGCTCGCCTCCCAGTAGCAAGGATTTGGGTGTTCTAAGTTCAGGATTCCTCTCCAGCCACACAGCCCACTGCAGGCCTCATGAGGCCCTCGGTGAAGACCCTGAGGAATCAGGGCCCCGTGGCTGGTGGGAAGAATGCCACTCTGGCTGTACTGCTGTTGCTGTGTAATAAATAGCCTTCCTCTCTAACGTAGGAATCTTACATTTTTTGCCAGCATCCATGAAAGTGGCAGCTAACTCCACAGCTTGGAAACAGGATAACATCTCAGGCCCTTCACAACTGTTGCTGTTATCCCACAAAAGAAATACCATACGAGGAGGAAGAAAAAACAGAATGAAACAAGAGAAAACACAGGCGTGCACACACACCACACACTGAATGGCATCTGTCCATCGCTGCCCGTCGTCTGCACAGTCCGAAGCCGTTTGAAGTCCACTACTATCGATTTCCCACTTGCGGACTAAAAAGAAACCGAAGGCAGCATGGGCTCCGTGACGCGGCCCTCAGCTCGAACGCCTGCATCTCCTGTCTAACAGGACCGTGTGAGACACTGAACTGAAGATGATTACAGCCCATCATCAAGACCGATCAAGATTAACGTGTGCCGGCGGCCGTGGCAAGCGCTTACAAGCACAGCTCGCCTGACCCTCGCGACAGCCTGGGATGCAGATGCTGTCGCTAGCTTCGCTTTCTAGATGAAGTCGTCGGGCTTGGAAAGATGAGACAATTTTCTGAGGTCACACAGCTAACACAGAACACTGTGGTCAACACCCAGGCTGTCCAACGCCCAGACCGTGTGCTGATCCTCCGCACTGCAAGGCCTCCTGAGGCTGGCATGGGACTTTACTCAATGTCTCAGAGGAAGATAACAGAGAAATCTTGGGATATTCTTTGCTACCCACTGACTTTCCTGATGATTAGAAAGTAACTTGACATTTTCAGAATTATTAAAATGTAATTAGGATACAAAATCCTACCGATTTCTAAAAGTTAGGAGCAACTGAAAAAATTAAACATAAAAATGCAATTAAAAGTATTCCAGAATATGTAGAAAACAAATCAGTAAAAGACACTATTAAAAAGGAAATACAGTGGCTGGGCATGGTGGCTCACACCTGTAATCTCAGCCCTTTGGGAGGCCGAGGTGGGAGGATCGCTGAATTTCAGGAGTTCAAGACCAGACCGGGCAACAAAGTGAGACCTTGTCTCCATTAAAAAAGAAAAGAAAATTAGCCAGGTGTGGCTGTAAGCACCAGGTGTGGCCGTAAGCACTGTGGTCCCCAGCTACATGAGAGGCTAAGGCAGGTGAATCTCTTGAGCCCAGGAGTTCTGCAGTGAATCATACCTGTGCCACTGCACTCCAGCCTGGCAGACAGAGCAAGATCCTGTCTCACAAAGAAAAAGACAAAAAACAGTGTATAAACTAATCCAGAAAAAGGAAGCATAAACAGAAATGTAAAAGTAGAAATAGCTACAGGCAGAACAAGGAAATGGAAATAATGGTAAGAGCACTGTCTTTTACTCTGTGCGAATCCACGAGAAAACAGGGACCAAACAGGTGGCTTTCTAGAAAACTCTCAGTTACCAAAATGGTTCCCAGAAACACAGAAAAATCCTCAGGCACACAACACTAAGGCAGATTCATAATAATAAATTAGGAAAAGCACACAGCACACCTCATGTGCTCAGCAAAGGCAATTCTTAGGTGAATACTCAAACCTTCAGGGAATAGATCATTCCACATTACTCAAGTTTTCCAGAGAGAGAGAAAGCAAGCTTCTAACTTATATGAAGACAGAAAACAGCCACCATATCCTTTTGAGATGTCACCTGTGCACACGCAAACCAGATACTAACATCACTTATAAACGCAGAAACCCGGGGAAACGCCGCCCTGGAGCTCCGACCTTAAGAGCAACACATGGTCAGTGTTTCCGTGGCAGAAACTGGAACTGTGCGCTGGGTCTGGCCCTCCCCTCCTTGGGCGCTGTCAAGGTTAATACTGAGTGTCAATTTAATTGAAGGATGCAAAGTATTGATCCTGGGTGTGTCTGTGAGGGTGTTGCCAAAGGAGATGAACACTTGAGTCAGTGGGCTGGGGGAGGCCGACCCGCCCTTAATCTGGGTAGGCACCATCTCTTCAGCTGCCATCACAGCCAGAATAAAGCAGGCAGAAGTTGGAAAGAGCAGACTTGCCGAGGTTCTGGGACTTGGACTGGCTTCCTTGCTCCTCAGCTATTGTGGGACCTCACCTTGTGATCGAGAGTCAATTCTCCTAATAAACTCCCCTTCATAGATTCATCTATTCTATGAGTCCTGTCCCTCTAGAGAGCCCCAACTAATACAGGCACTGAGGGGTGGGGGAGAGCTCCAGTTCTCAGCTCCTTCACCTGCTTCTCTGTCACAGTTTTGGGATTCCTCATCACCTTGGTGGCACGGAAGCCATTACAGATGGGCAATGGCCATTTTAAAGTGTTCTCAAGGCGGAGTGTCCTGCAGTCCATGGCTGTGAGCTGTTGACTGGAGAGGAAGGCAAGAATGATTCTTCTCTGTGGTGTGGGAGTCAGATGATTTTAAACCATCCAAAGACAGAACAGCTATGTTAACAGCCACATAGGTTGCTAGATGATATTAAATCTGTAGTCAGCTAGAAAACCCAGTTCTTTTCATATTTACCACTGATCAACTTTAGTCACAGAAGCATAGGTCTGCAATTGATACAGAAAACTCATTTCAGCTGGGCCCAGTGGCTCATGCCTGTAATCCCAGCACTTTGGGAGGCAGAGGCAGGAGGATTGCTTGAGGCCAGGAGTTTGAGACCAGCCTGGGCAACATGGCAAGACCCCCTCTCTACAAAAAACTTAGCTGGGCATGGTGGTGCATTCCTGTTCCCAGCTACTCGGGAGGCTGAGGCGGGAGGATTGCTTGAGCCCAGGAGGTCAAGGCTGCAGTGAGCTGCATTTGCGCCTCTGCACTCCAGTGTGGGTGACAGAGCGAGGCCTCGTCTCAAAAACAGACAAAAAAACCCACCAGAAAAACCCTACCCAAAAACCAACACGGAAAACTTTAGTCTAAATTTTTATGTTATAAAACATTCTTGTATTTTAAAGCTTATCAGAAAAACTGTTCCATTCCAACTGGGCAAATCCCCCCAGGCTAATGTACATAAACGAATAAAAGAAAGATGCGATCTATTTCAGAGTACCCTAGCTTCTCTTCCATGTTTTTCTTGAGTTCTCCTTCACCAGCTCCTCTTCCCGTCCCGGCGTGAGCACAGCAGAGCCGGCCCCAGGGGTGCTCTCCTTTCCCCTGACCCCCCCTCACCTGCTCTCTCTGCAGAACCCGAGGGCCTGCTGGGAACCAGGCAGGCTGTCAATGCATAAATTAGGCTGCATCCGTGCAGAAGCCTCCTCTACCAGACAAGCTTGACCTTGCCTTCCTTCTCTGTCCTTGTAGAATCCAGTGTGAGCAAGAATCCTGCTAAGTCAGTTTAAGAAAAGTCCCCGCCCTCGGTGTCTTAGCACCTGGAGATCCTACCACCCTGGCCGGCTGTCAGCAACGATCCTATCAAGTCTGCTTGGCCAGAAACCCCTTCTTGAAGCTTCCTCTGGGTGATTTTCCAACCAGGGACGCTGACCCTGACCCTGGTCCCTGGTTGTCAGTTCCCACCTGTCCTCCGTGAAGTCAGAGTTGAGTCCAGTCTCTCCCCTGCTGCATGCTAGTGCCATGAATCGTTTTTAATTTAGCAGCTGTAAGAGTTCTTCATATATTCTGGATGTAAGTCTCTTATCAGATACGGGATTTGCAAGCAATGTCTCCCATGCCATAGGTTGTCTTTTTACTTTTTCTTTATGGTGTCCTTTAAAGCACAACAGTTTTTAGTTTTGGTGAAATCCCACTTACCTACATTTTCTTTTTGCTTGCACTTCGGTGTCACATCAGCATGATGAGGCCTCACAGGGTGGCAGGGGCTGGAGGACGCTCTCCCCACTCTTTCCCTGACTGTAGCCAGCACACTCCACGGCTCAGGCTGGCAGCCAGAAGTCAGTCTCTTCTTTTTCTATTTGAAGGTCTCTGTTGAGCTATGGCTGATGTACAGGAACCTGCATGTCTTCAGATCGTACAACCTGAGGGATGCTGGTACGTGGCTGTGTGCGTAAAACCACCCTCCTCGTCGAGACGGTCAAGGTGCCCGCACCCCTCCTGGAGCCTGGGGTCGTGCCCCTCTGTAAAACGTGCTCAAGTCTTTCCCAGCTTCACAGCGCTTCCCTGGCCCTTCCTTCCCTTCTTCCACCTCAGCGTCTCCCCACCCTGCCCTGGGTTCCTGCTCTCTGGGAACTCGGTCAGAGGTGACCTTGGTTCTTGCTGAGGTCCTCTCAGCCATAGCGGTGAGTGGTCCTGCATCCCGTCCCCCTTCGTCCTGCCTGGGGTGGCTGGTTTATCCCAACTTCCCACCACTCCTGCAGTGGCTGAGGCTTTCTCCTGCCTGATCACCTTGGGCTCTGACCTTTGGTCCAGGACACCGAGGCCTAGGACTGGCCACAGACACTGCAGAACCACCCTGCGCTCAGCTGCCCCAATGCCAAGCACAGGCCCCTCGTCTGTGCTTGGCTGCTGGACTTGCACCTGCGCACCACAGCTACTTTCCCAGTCCAAGTGAGGATCCTCTCAGACCCAAGTCCAAGTGAGGACCCTCTCAGTCCCAAGTCCCAGTGAGGACCCTCTAAGACCCAAGTCAAGAGATTCTGAGGTGGAATCTAAGTTGGAGTGAAGTAATTCTAAGAAGTATGAATATAATGCTTCTTCTGTTTGAAGATCAGTTGCTTCTGCCCCTCCTTAATTTAGATTATGTGAGAAACTCCTCTGGAATACAAATGACTTCAATCTTGCTTACAACACAGATTTCCTTCAGAACTGGAAATTCCCACTGGGCCCCATTCTCTCTCCTCCTAACCCCCAGCCCCCTTGCTGTGTGGAGGCCCTGGTGCTCTAAAGGAGGCTCTGTGTGATGAAGATGAAGGGACTGTGGAAATGATCACAGCAGGCATGTGAGTTTTGAAACACGGCTGTCACCTGTCTGGCGGGTGCGCTGACAGTTGGCAGGGAACGTGGCTATGATAGTTCTGCCTGCGGGACGAGGCCGAGGGGGGAGATGGATCCTCCCTTATATGCAGGCATTAAACCCCAAGTACAATTCTGTAATTTGAGCCAGGGTTTCCAGCTGGAATGTGAACAGCACACAAACCGAACAGGTGACCCTTTGCTCAGTGCCCAGAATTATGCTATGAATTTCTTGGAAAGAATAAGGATTGCTATTCAAAAGTAGAATACGTTTTGAAATATTAAAATTGAAAGTCAGCTCCTCGGAGGCCTAACACAAAGTGAGGGCATCTGTGCCATCCTTGTATTCGCCAGTGTATCTTCTCGTGTGACCGGGCAACTGTTGGTGTGGTCAGTGAGTGAGCTTCCTATTTTTAGCTCGCATATTTCAGAGGCACCTACATTCAATGCAAAATTTTAAACACAAAGAGGAGGTGCGGTGACAGTGTTCTCAGCCCAACTGTGTGGAATCATCTAGAACCTTGCTGTCCGTCCACCCCTTTCACCTCTGTCCGGCTGGGTCATCTCTGGAGTTAGCATGGTTCCTTTATAGCACGTTTTCCCAAAGGTGTCTGCATATTTTGTTTTAGCAAAATCATTTTTTTCTATTTCCACTCTTTAGAATTAAAATGGAAAATACTTCCTTTTTGATTAGTGTTTGCATTTCAGTGCTCTTGTTCAAATTTTCCCAAGCTCAGAAAAGGAAGGTGGCTGTATGTATCTTTCTCAGACTCTGCTACACACACTCACACACAAACAGAAGAGAAAGCTGAGGGTGGAGGTGTTCGGCCCACTCTTTTGCCAAGTATTAGATGACCTAAACATTCAGAAATGTTTGAGGTTGCTCTGTGTTACTGATTTGGCGACGGCACTGGTGGAGGCAGGATTGGTCTGTTGTCCATGAGAAGATTCACACTGCAGTGCCCACTATCAGCTGAGAGGGTGATCAGGACACAGTGCAGAGAGTCCAGCAGGAACAGGGCGGACAGCACGCAGTGCAGGCCATCGTTTGCCGGGGCTGCGAACCACGCACAGCAGCGCCCTGGGACGCTGGCCTGGAAGAATGGCCTTTTGGCGTGGGTCCCTGGGGAGGGGCACGTCAGCTTCCTTGTGGAACAGGGTGTTCTTAGGAGCTGGAAATCTGCCTTCTCCGCAGAGAAGCTCTGCTTGTGCTCCCTCCTCGCTAGGGTTGACCCGGAAAACCACAGTTCTTGCAGTAGTGCCAGGGCGTGAGCAGAATGGGCCCAGCTATGTGGGTCCCTCTGCCTTTGTGCTTTGCCAAGCGTTTCCCTACCTGCTGGGGACATTTCCTAGCTTTCTCCCCGAGACTCAGCATCGACGCGATGCCCACCTCATCTCCCACCTTCAATGCTGATGAAACCCAAATCCTCCCTGGTCTGGAGATAACATTCAAGATTGTAGAAAATGCCGAGCCTCCCTTGTATCTCCATGCACATAAGAGTAGAAACTAATCTCAGAGAAACGAAATCAATCTTATTCCACGCGCGTTTAGCTTTGTGTTACATGACTTCAGATGTTACAATGTGATTTGTAAGGGATGCTCATGACTGCTGCTGGCCCTGCCTTCCCCGATTCTGTCCATTTCCCACCTGTCAGGGGTCCTTTCAAGGAGGAACCAGGAGGCCTACATTCCTACTCTTGCAGGAGGGGCAACCCCGCAGCCTGGGCCCCCAGAGAGATGCACGCACATAAGGTGACATGGCCTGAGGAGGCAGCGGAAGCAGGAGGCCGTGTGGGGGACCTGGGTCTGCAGGGTGGGGACAAGACTCTGAGATGCCAGGCAGAGCTGGCAGTGCTATTCTTGCTGGAGGGGCCTGTGACGTGCTACGGCATCCTGGCTTTGTGGCTCTAGAATGGCCTGTCTCTGGGCCCTCATGAAGATTCCCTGTACTACTGTCCGTGAATAAACTTTTTCTGCTTATAGCAGCCACTGCGGATTCCACTGACTGCAACCAAAACCTCGTCCCGTACTTTCTAAGCACCTGCAGTATTATTTTACCATTTGAGGGACAGTTACTAATATACGTATTTCTTATGAAATTTACCCCTCTGACAGCACAGCACACAGGTGCTGACAGTGCATGTGATACTTCTTTGCTTCCGTAGTGGCACCAACTCATTTCAGAATGGCTCACACACAGCCAGTTTAGAGACCGTATAATTAAGATACAGGTACTGATGAGGTGCTTCAGGGAGAAGAACACTGCAAGAGCTGGAAAACACACGTGCTTTCTTGAAAGTGACTTCTCTGAGGGCTGTTTCTCCAAGAATCTAACCGTGGCTGAACACTCTGAGTTTAAAGTAGGCATTGAGCGCTACGTCCCTTCGGAACAGAGCTCTCTGCTGGCTTTTACGTGTTCATTCCATTTGAGTTCTTTCTCCTTAAAACAGAGCGCAGTCAATTCTGTCTACATTTAGTTCAGGCGTTTCTGCTGGACTCGAGTCCCCGTTCAACCCCATCTTGTCCTGCACCACTGACCTCTCATCGACTGCAATCTGACTCCGTGTGGCGTCCTCCATCCCGTGCTGAGATGCGGCATTGGGGGTGAGCAGGGTGCGCCAGCAGGAGCTCTGAGGCTGGCGCGTGGGGTGTGAGTGTCCGGATACGTGCGTGGGGACACGGCTTTTGCCCCTTCCTACAGCCCATCCTGGAGGGCCTCGTGCCCACGTGTGCACTGGAGTCACTCTATGGGGTGGCTGCCCCGCCGTGGGAGTGGGGCTTCCAAGGGCAATTCTGAGCACACGTACTTTTGCTGAGACCTGGGAATGCCGCCCTTACACTTGGATCTGTGAGGAACGGAACAAACACAACCCATCCTCAAGACATAGGAAAGACAGCAAGTTACGCTTACAGCGCTCCTGGCATGTCCCAGGCAGGACACAGAGGATTTCACATGGATAAACTTTATCATCTACACACGACGATGATGACTGCTCACGGCAGGCGGTTGTATGGGGGGACTGACACCATGAAGGTGAGATAAACTGCTCAGAGCCACGCCAGCCTGAGCAGCTGGACCAGGGTCGGGGTCTGTCTTGTTCCAAACCCCAGCTCCTGAGCCCTGTGCTTTTATCCCCCGTAGATGCCTTGGGGAAGAGGGAAGGGAGAGCTTGCTGAGAGGGCTGGGGTGACTTTAGAGAAGTCCTTCCAGTGAGCCCTCAAGAATGGGCAGGGTTTGCACAAGCAGAAAGAGAAGGGAGTTCTGAGCAGCAGGAACAGCCCACGAGAGGTCAAAGCAGCAAGTGTGGTCCCGTTTGGGCAACAGCAAATCAACTGTCTGGTGGGACTAAGGACATGAGGCGAAGAACACTGGGCTGGAAAAGGTTAGCTAGGGCTCTGAATGTGAGCTTTAAGTGTGGGCTCACCTGACAGGCCACAAGGCCCTAGCAGGACCTCTGACCAGAGACGGCAGGGTGGAGTGTACTCCCGGAAGGCTAATGGCAGCTACGCGCAGGACGGGGGACGAGGGACGTGCTGAGATCTCTGGCAGCTCAGCACCACGTGTACACACAGGGTCCCGCCTCTGCAACCCTCTGCTGAACCCAGCGGAGATGAGGAGAGGTCCCAACACAGGAGAGGTCTGGAGAGGGCGGGTCCAGGTGCACCCAGGAGTGTTTCAGAACTGGGTGGGGGTCTGCTGTGTGCTCGGGCATCCACTGGGCTGATATGTGGTCGTTCTTGCTGATCACAACGGTGCTCTCGGGCCTTGACTCCCACAAATGGCTGTGTTCTTCAAGGGCAAAACCTGCCTGCTTCATCCTTCTTCCCAGATCCAGCATCTTCAGACAACACACTGACCTGCCCAAGCCGGAACTTACTGGGGCTGGGTTTTCTGTATGTGCAGATGGCAATGCAGTCGTCAGCTGCGCGAGGCTGTCTGAGAAGTTCTGTAGCAGCCACGTCACAACGTCTTCAGAGATATCCCAAATAGCTAGGTATTGCAATCTCCATTTCCTTTAGAAAAACAGAATTCAGAGACCTTGCTCTTCAGCAACAGTAAAAATACCCATGAGCGAGGCCTGATAAATAATTTGCAAGAGATGCAGATCGAGGCACTTGTGTGGGGCGTCGGTGAGTCCAGTCGGCCTGGGTGCTTCCGTCTTTTTCTCCATTCTCCTTTGGCAAAAGCTCTTGCCCACAGCGCCGCTATCACCTCCCCGTGTCCTCAGAAAAGCGAACACCGAGGGCTTCCCTTGCAGCCTGGTTAGCACATTCTGTGCGCCAGATGGGGCTTAAATCACACTGTGGAAGCTGAGCCTCCCTCCTGAGACTCCAGCCTCATTGCCAGAGCCCTCGCTGTGGTCAAGCCAGTGGCTCCCCCTGGAAGGAGAAGCACTTCCAGACGCAAAAGCAATTCAGCATCTACTTCTCAAATTGTGCAAAATATGACTCTGAAATAAAATTTCCGAGATTGTCTCCAGGGTAGTGAGGAATCTGAGCAGGCCCAGCGTACTATTTTACTATGATAACCAGGGGATAATGTTACACATGAGGCAGCCTGGAGATCCTGGCCACACAGAGCTTTCTCACACAGGTAACGAGGGTTGCTGCAAGCATCCCAGTGCAGGCAGGAGCCGATGCCCATGGTGGCAGCTCACGCGTCACGCATCTGTGCCTGCCTGGGGTTATTCAGTGACAGTCATCTGCTGTGCCCCACCACAGGGGCCCATGGACAGGGCTGTCCTCCAACACTATCTGGTGTCCCATGTGGACTTCCACAAGCAGGCGGCGTGCAGGAGATGGTGTGTGCACGTGTGCCTACGTGTGTCAGTGCATGTGTGAGCAACTGTGTGGAGGGGGAGAGGACCAGCTGTTAGCTGAGAGTGCAGGCCCTGAGTTCACAGAGGCCCTGTTCAAATTCTAGCTTCCCCATTATCTATGTGGCCTCCTGTAGCTGGATATCACTTAACCAGGAGACCTCAGTTTGCTGATCTGTAAAACAAGCCAGTCACACCGTGAGGTGAAATGCTCAGCGCAGGGCCTGGCTCACCGTGAGTGGGTGCCTGTGGAAGGTCTGTGCTGCTTCTCCCCGCTCAGCCATCCCTTGCTCGTGCCTCCTTTCCCTGGCCCAGGTTTGGGACGTGACCTAAGACTGAGGGTGAGAGGGGCAGAAGCTGCCCTGTGCTCCGCCTGCAAGGGTGGGATTGACAGGGATGTGGGCGGGACTCATCACTCCCTGTGACCTCCCTGTCACCAAATATTCCAGGAAAATGCATTCCAGCTTCAAGGACATTCTTAGCAAAGGGGGTCCTGCCGAGCTTTGTGCATTACTGAGACCACTGTTCAGTCTGGACTTTGTCTGTCCAGCAAACATGATTCAAGGGTTATTTCAGGCAAAATATCAGCGAGTGACTATTACGGGATAAGCTGAACTGAGATTCCTCACGGTTTAGTCAGTGCTTTCGTAACTGCAGCAGGACAATGTCTAGAGTAACTCATTTCAGTGTGGCTGTGATGACACTTTCTGTGGGTTCACATTTAGCAACAGGCACAAAAGCCAGCAGGGCCTCCCACAGTCAAACCAGAACTCCTGGAAAGAACCCACCCTTTTCATGGTCACATACATTTGAATTGGAATATTTTCTGCAGTCTTTCTTATATTAAAATGATTAAAAGCAAACAGTCGCCCATCTGAGCAAAGAACTATCATAAGGCCTTTCTGGCTCATGTCTGACCGTGCACAGGTACCTGCAGGGAAATCCGGCCGATGCCGCTGAGCAGCTGGGGCTCTTGCTCTGGGTAATACTTGATAACCGAATGATACGCCTCCACGGCCAGCACATAATCCTGTGGGAAGAAAAACCCAACGTACTTTAGAGCTGAGAACAGCACTGTGGGTTTCACACGTGTAGAAGAGCACAAGTGTATACAGACGCGGTGTAGAGAGAGGACACGCTGACGCAGGAGCTGGCGGGGAAGCTGGAAACCAGCACGCGGTGCTCGGCTGCCAGGGGGCGGCTGCTCTCCCGACTGCAGTCGGGCCGGGATTCTGAGCTGTGCGCATCGCAACGGCGGGGTCCTGCCTGTCACCGGGGGCTGTCGCGGTTTAGTTGGGCCTGAGGGTCTGTTTCCTGCTTCCATCTTCTAAACAGCGATTCATATTTCACTTGGACTGCACCTAACTCTCTTTCCTGACAAAGTTATCATGTGAGTTGGCGAACGCTGTCTCATCTCCATCCTCCAAATACATAGGCCAAATTTTTAAAGTGTCTCTTAAACGTTTTCTATGCTAGAAATTAAGGTCAAACCTTTACATGTAAAGAAAAACCACAAAACAAGTTTGCTGAGGCTGAGTATGTGATGGAGGTCGGCCTTGCAGAGTGCGTGAATGTCGTGTGCTCCGTGCGGCACGCATGAGACCTTCCCGTTTTAGAGACAGCTACGGGGGAACATGTAGGAGCGCTGTGCCAGCTGCCGTGCTCAGGGCATCTGGTTTCTGCCAAAGGCCTTTGCTGGATTCCTCATCGCTCTGCCCTGCCTGTGGTGGTCTGGCCCGTGGCCCCTCCTCAAGGGCAAGGCCTGGCAGCACAGTCTCACTGTCCATCTGCCCACTCATGCCGGCCCATCACAGCCACTTGCTGGACGCTGAGCGGACCCAGTCACCCTTTCCAGGTGTGAGCAACGCGGTCTCCGTGCAGGAAGGTCTTGCCAAAGTCACGTGGGACACAGTGGTAGCTTGTCTCAAGTCCCCAGCAAACCCGGGCTCTCTCCAGGATGACAGTGATCGCCGCATTTATTGAGCGAGCTGTGTGCGGCAGGCCCTGCACTAAATGCTCCCCTGCATTCTCGCACTTAGCTATAAGCACGCGGTCAGCAGTAACTATGGCCACCAATGGTGTTTTTCTTCTTACTTACTCATCGTATAATCCCAGAGGTACTTTTATTTCTTTATTCTTCTACATGTTCCATTTCCTCCAAACTGGGACTGGAGTTACTGGCTTGCTAATTGGGATGTTACAAAGAAAGACAGACAAGTACAATTCCAGTTTGGTAGGAAGGAAAAAACAAAAAAAACCCAAAACGACTCTCTCCAGTCTAGTACCTTCGAGTACAGCTCATTAAAACTAATTTTATTCAAGGCCTGACGCCCATGACGAGCCAGACAGCACATGCCTCGGTCTCCTTTCCCACGCCTTCCTGCTGCCTGTCTCTGCTGTCTAGCTGTGCGAGTGCGAGCATGTGTGTGTAAGCGTGTGTGAGCATTGTGTATGAGTGTGAGCGTGTGTGTGAGCATGTGTGTGTGTGGACGTGTGTGTGTGAGCTCCCTCACACAGGGGAGGGCTTTGTGACCTGGCATGGGGGCACTCGGGGCGGCTGAGGTTGCAGCTGGGACGGACATGGCACCCCAGATGCAGCTGTGGGGCCTGCACACCCTGGGCTGGCCCTGATCTGAGAAGTTTAGGGGAGCAGCCCTGCTTTCCAACAGAGGCTGCACTCACCAGCTTGCACCAGCTCGGGGAAAAGTAGCAGCTGCCCCCCTAGGCTTCTCTGGGGAAGGAAGTAGGCTTCCGAGCACCCATCATGCTGGGCAATGTCTGTTCTAATCCCACACATGTCCCACCTTTGGTTTCAAGTAAACAAAAGGCAGGCTTTGACTTTCTTGTTATCAGCCCGGCAGTGTCACTGGGTCATTCCAGTGCCCCACTCACGCCACTGATGCTCCAGGCTGAGGCGGCCACCACAGAGAGCGCAGGGTGGGGGCGTGGTGGGGGCGCAGCACTCACTGCTAGTGGGCGATGCCGTGGCCAGCCGCATCACCCTAACCGCTCTTTCAGTGCTCAGGGCCAGGGGTCAGTGTTTCTGAAGATAATCTAGTATGACAAAAGACAGGTTTTTACGAAACCAAGCCATGCTCTTTGATGGGAAGTTACTTTAGGCATGGCTCTTCCCAAAGAGCACGTGCACAGGCCTGGGAGCCGTGTGAGAGGAAGCTGGATTCCAGGCCGGGGGCAGGCGCGGCAGAGAAGGGATCTCGGGGGCCCCTGCACCCGCCGGCAGCCACTCCCACCAGCTCAGCAACAGTAGCGCTCGCCAGTCCCTCAGGTGTGAACATGACACGTGTCTGTGTGTCCGGGCTGCAGTTGGGGGAAGAATTCTGGGGCACTTCAGGGGGCCCATCGTCAATACAGCAGATGAGGATTTGGGATTGTGTTACAAAGTTTCCTTAGGTTGACGGTTACTTAATGACTTTATTTACTGAAGAGGAAACAGCCCTTCACAGGTAAAATGGCCAAAAGAAGCTCCTCAAGAGAGCTTAACCTACTCTCCAGATCCTGTGGATTTGGCTTTTGTAAAGGACATGAATGACTTACTTCCAGGGACAAGTCTATTTTAGCTCAATCTTCACCATTTCTTTTCAGCAGCCACACGTGTTTACAGGCCGTGAAACTAGATTTACAACCATTCTGCAACCAGCAAGGACTTCTGCAGTCTAATTTCAGCAAGACGGAAGGTAGCTGATGCAGCTGCGTGCTCCTTTCCATCATGTGCGGAGCCACGGCGGGTTCTGATGTGCATACTGGCGAGCTGTGGGGACACCAGGAGGGAAGTGGCCTCCCAGGGGCACCCGGGGGAGGGGGGGCCCAAGCCACCTAAGGTGGCAGGCACCTGCATCCATATGGTCTGCCAGTGCAGGTGCCCTAAGGCTACAGTGAGGCCTAAGGAGAGGAAGAAGTATTTAAAAAGTGAAGATAGTGACATTTTCAATGCTTTATAATACATGCCACTGTGCATTATAGCATATCATGCAGATTTATCCAGGGCTAAAACGTATGAATACATTTCATTGCTAAGAAGTTAAATTGGTATTTATTTCACTGTAATAAAAATGTTATTCAAGATAATTAAATGGCTGATTAAATAACTCATTGTTAGCCCATATACATAATTTAATTAACAGGATACCCCATATTATTAAGATCACACACTGTTGCAATACCCTGTATGCTCACTAGATGGCAAGAGAGTGCATATGCTTGGCTTGGCTTTAATTGCAACATTTTTGCCTCCTTTTTTTAACTCATGAAAATGAAAGCTTAAGCTGAACTTTCAAATTAAATCATGTCCATTGTAAAAGTATTTTTGAAATGCAATAATATGTTCTGTACTGAGTCCCAGCAATACAGGAAGAAGACTCACATTCGGAGCCTGGTGGTGGTGTTACTACCACAGTGCCACAAAGAAAAGCCCATTCCGTCGTTTTCTATTAATGTGTCTTAAAATGCAAATGAAAGCCCGCCAGTGGAACAGGGAACTTTCCTCCCTGGGGAGTTTTAGCCCCATGATTAGTGAAACGTCAGTCCTGTGAATTTATAATTGATTCTTCATGTCTTTGCATAAGAATGTTCCGGCAAGCTGGTGACTTTCAGGTGACGCTGACAATGCCCTCAGCAGGTGGAGGCCTACTGCGGACCGCCCAGACCGCCAGGTGGGGGTGTCAGGGCTGGCCACAGGCAGCACAGGGAGAATGGCCTGTTTTGGGAGGCAGAGGGGTCAGGCCGGGTGCTTCGGGGTCACCTGGTTGCTGGCCAAGCCTTGGGTGGTGAAGAGGCCACCAGGGCAGGGGAGCAGGAGGGCCTACTTTTCACTCCCACTCAGAGGTGGGCAAGCCCTGCTGCAGAAGCCAGAGGGGGCTGGAGAAGGGAAGGGGGCGGGTGGGAGGAGGGTGAGGACCAGAACAAAGCACCTGTGCGGGCCACCTGACCTCAGTGGGACTATCTCAGGAGTGGCAGCGGAAGAAAAACCTGCTCTGAGCAAAACCACAGAACTTGAAAACCGTAATTTCCTTTATCCAGTGTGTTGAAGGAGAGGAGAGAGCTGTGTGAATGTCAGAGCTGGGAGGGATTTCAGAGATCTCAGATCTATGCCCTTATTTTAAGGAGGAGGCTGAGGCTTGCAGTAGTGCGAGGCTGCGTCACGGTCGCTTGCTACCGAGGATGAACAGGACGCCGAGTCTCCTTGTGCGTCCAGCCTGACGTAGACGCAGAAGCGCAAAGGCAGCGGCCCCGCACTGGGCACTGGGGCTGCGCTAAAGCCGGGGTGCGGGCTGCACGTCTTCCTGATGGAATGCCTGAGCCACTGATGGCTGTGAATCTATACCCGCACCCAGCCTGCTCGGAGCAGTGCCCGGGGTCACAGTCACCTCTGGGGATGCTGCAGGGTCCGTGCATAAAGCAGGGCTGCCACTTCAGGGTTCATGACAGAGCCCGTGAGCACAGTTCTCCGCTGGTAAATTGCCTGCTCTGCCTTGCTGAAAATCAAGCTCAGGAATGACCTTGGCCCCATGAAAGCCGCATGGGTGTGGGAGTTAAGGTCGCTGTCTTCGAACAGCCCAGGAGGTGTTACGAGCACTGCTCCGGAGCGCCTGCTGCTAGCTGATTCCTGCAGTAGCTCTCAGTACGCACAGCTGGCTGCAGGGACACTAGCTCCACACAGGGCACCCTGATGCCCAGTGTGGGAGGTGAGCCAGGTGTGGGGTGCGTTCCAAACAAAGAGAGGAGCCAAAAAACACCGTTGCACAGGCTGGCGAGAGCCAGGAGACACGGAAAAACAGATGACAGCCTCAGTTCAGCTCCTTGATTTCTAAGCTGTTTCCCTGCGGGCTGAGAGCTCTGGGGTGACGTCCTAAGAAGGTCTTGTGGGGAAGCCTGTCTTCAGGTGTTGTAAGCATCAATCATAAAATCAAAACCATGAGGTGAAAAAAACACCCTCCACGAAGATAGGGAGAACAAAGGACACCTTCTGGGGATGGAGTTCAGAGAAAAATGGGGGAAAATGAACAATACTTTTAATTAAATCATTTAGACCCACATTTCAATAATGAAATCTGATCATCTAAATTCTACATTCTGTTGAAATTTCTTGCAGTAGAAATAAAGTACATATAGCCCCATAATGTGTCACTGGGCTCCCTGTTAAGCCAGTACTTAGCTGGCTTCTCTGCACGGCCGGTCCCTGCCAGCATCTATTATACCAGCGGCTCCCTCGCGGCTCCCACTGACCCCGCTCTTCCAGATCACATGGCAGCCCTGCTTGGCCACCCACGTACCTTCATCAGGAGCAGACAGTTTGCCATGGAGTACATCACCCGGCCCAGACGTGACCTCCACAGCCGGATAGAGGCTACAAGGTAAGAGCAGCCTGTAAGTGCACAAATAAATTCGAGGCTCTTTCTAGCCCTCAATTACTGGGTCCTGTGAATTCTAATTTAACTTTAAAAGATCCCTCTTGTTAACACCACTGGATTTCGGCCTGGAATGCTGAATATGCTGCAGGCTGCACTGAGGCAGAAAATACAGCACTCGCATTGGGACCAGAGGTGGCTTTGGGAAGAGACCCTCGGCATCAGAGAACCAGGAGGGTGGCTGCTCAGCATCAGCCCAGACACAAGGCCAAATGGTCCGACCGGGGGCCCCGTTTCCAAAGCCAGAACCCTGAGAAAAGGAGCAAAGCTGACAGAAACGACGACATTGCCTGCAGCTCGACAAGGCTGGGAGGGCCACTGGCCAGGGTGGCCGCCAGCCTCTCGCAGTTGACCTATGGGAGGCCACCCGGAGGGCCCCACCCATGCCCAGCCATGAGGCCTCCCCTGCCTCCCGACCATGGGCTGGTGCAGACGCCGGTTCCCCCAAGGAGTGCTACACCGTGTTCCAGAACTCAAGTGGCTGGCACATTCCGCTGGGGACTCGGCACTCCCCTGCAGCTGGCTTCCTTCCCTAGCACCTGCTGCCACACGGTGGCTGACCGCGACCCTGAGCCTGGCCCGTCCCTCCCTGCTCTCCCCTGCACATTATTTAGTTAGCAGCCATCCCTCCACTGATTTCAAACCTTCAGGGCCCATCTCTTCTAGTAGTTTCCAAACTGGCTTTGTGGCCTTCTTGGGGTCTGCAAAGGTCCCCTGGGAGCTGCCCTGGGGGGAGGGTGGGCTGACCAATGGTGCCTGTTTATCATTGGGATGACCAGGAGGAAGGCGCAGGTTGAGGACTGAGCTAATCTGAAATGAACATATTATTGACAGGCAGGCTGAGGTCCACAGAGGCCAGGGACGCTTCCATCTGACCCCTTGTCCAGCGCTCCTTGCGCCTGTGCTGTGTCTACTTCCTCGAAGAAAAGTCCACACTTCCAACTGCAAAGTGCCAAGATGCCACCCTGGGCAGCACCAGGCCCTGGGAGTGCTCCTGGCCTCCCTCATCGCTGGGCACTGGGAGCCGTGTGTCCCTGGCTGCCTCTGAGGCTGTGATTTAGGAGGCTGAAGCTGACCCACCGCTGGCACCAAGCGTCCACTGTGAGATAACAATCACCTAGAAATGATGTGCATTTACGGTGTGCTTCAGGAGAACACACAGAAACTTAATTGCTAGAATTAAAAACTTAACTCACTTTGCCTTTCAGCAATGAAAAACACATTAGCTGCTTATGTTCCCCTTATACCATTATTTTTGTGAAAAGAAATTCTGAATATCTTCTCTTAATGGATGTAAAATATGGATTGTCTCAATGAATTGCATATTTATTCTGATGATCTTTGCAGATTCCTTTCCTGCTCTAAATCCTCCCCTACCCTCCTTATAAATGCTCATGGGTGTGACCTTCTGTTAGATTTCCAGGAACAGCCTTCTGCTCTCTGATAACTACATGCTCATTCCCACCAAAGCAGGAGCCCAACCAGGGGTAAAATGACTGGTTGCCAAGAATGCTGAATGGGACATCCATGAGCAGACAGTGCCGTCTCTCCTTCAGACCTTGTTACTCTACCTGCAATTAAATTACTGAAAAGAGAGTGCACAAGTGCACACACATGCACACACCACACCCACACCACATGCCACAGCATGCACACCCAACATCCACACACCACACACATACACACCTCACACACGTTCAGCTCACACCAGCCAGCAGTTCCCCAGAAACCCCAGCACACCTGCGGAAACGGAGACCACCCGATCTTGACTTGGGCTGCACATCGAGTAGGACAGAAGCTGTGGGAAGGAGGAGATGACCAGGCCACCAGGCCTGTGGGGAGATGCTGCCACAAGGAGTGAGGGAGTGAGGCTAGGGTGGGGCTACCTGGGAGGGAGCACTCAGGCCAGGTTTCCAAGCATGATCGGAAGCTTGCTCCTGGCTAACGCACTCCCCGAGCTGCAGCTGGCATGGCCTCACTGTGCAGATCAGCTCATGTCAACCCACCCAGTCCCCCAAGGGGTTTCCAATGCTCCAGGGAACTGCCCAGGTCCCTCAGCCTGCCCCAGGCTCTGGGCCTTCCTCTCCAGCTCCTCCTGAAGCACCCTCCCGAGCCTCTGTCCCCGACGCAGAGGCCTCTGTCCCCGACGCAGAGGCCTCTCTCCCCGACGCAGAGGCCCCTCTGGGCCCCTTCGGCTGGGCTGGGCTCCTTCCTCGCGCCCACTCAGACCACTCAGCGTGGCAGGTTCCGGGCCGTGTGCTTTTGTGGTGAAGGCGTGTCTTCTCCCCGGGCGCAGGGTTCGGGTCTGAGGCTGCACGTTGCACCCACAGCATCACCCAGTGATGTGCTTGGCTTCCCCAAGAAAGGAGTGAGTTGCAAATGCACGAGTGGACACGTGCAGTGCTGACTACAGAAAGGAAAGGAGAAGGAGAGGAAGCGAGAGGCTTTGGGCTCAGTCTGTCAGTGATGTCCGAGAAGCATCTAGTCAGCAAAGTCCGGCCGACCCACCTTGTCTGCCCTCCTGAGTCACGCTGCTCATGCCGCCGTCTTCTGCTAAGCCTTGCTCCAAATTGGCCAGGATCTGCAATCATTCCAAATGAGAAGGACAAAATCATGGGAACCAATTTTTGTCTAAGACTTTGTTATAATATAATCTCAGTACAGCAAATTTCTCTGGATGAAAACAATTTGTCAAGGGATGTTCACACATACTTTTAAAAAATATTAAAACATTTGATATTTTATTTATTTTAAATTGCAACTTTATTTTAGATTCAGGAGGTATGTGTGCAGGTTACCTGGGTATACTGGGTGATGCTGAGGTTGGGGTACGATTGAAGCCATCACCCAGGTAGTCAGCATGGGACCCAACAGATCATTTTTCAGCTCTTCCTCCCATCCCACCCTCCCCCCACTGGTAGTCTCTGGTCTATTTTTTGTCCATGTGAATCCAATGTTTAGCTTCTACTTACATGTGAAAACATTCACTATTTGGTTTTCTGTTTCTGTGTTAATTCACTTAGGATAATGGCCTCCAGCTGTATCCATGTTGCTGCAAACAACATGATTTGGTTCTTTTTTTACGGCTGCGTAGTATTCCACAGTGTATGTGCACCATCTTTTCCTTATCCCGTTCGCCCACAGGGACACACTGTAAACATCACCAAGTCCCTATGGCGTGGGGCGACAGTGAATGGGGAGGGACTCTGCTCCCAGCTGATGGTGAAAGTGGTGTTTATGATGTTCTTGAAGTATCTGCAGACATCATACATGGGGAATATGTTTTTTAAGAAAAGCATCAAGCCTGTAATCCCAACACTTCTGGGATTGAGCGGTGGCTCAAGCCTGTAATCCCAACACCTTGGGAGGCCGAGGCAGGTGGGTCACTTGAGCCCAGGAGTTAGAGACCAGCTGGGGCAACATGGCAAAACCCCATCTCTACAAAAATACAAAACATTAGCTGGGCATGGTGGTGTGCGCCTGTGGTCCCAGCTACCTGGGAGGCTGAGGTGGGAGGATCACCTGAGCCTGGGAGGTCAAGGCTGCAGTGACCAGGGACTGCACCACTGCACTCCAGGCTGGGTGACAGAATGAGACCCTGTCTTTAAAAAAAAAGCATGGAGAATGTCACATGAGACTGATGATGACCTTTTGTGAAGATGTCAGTCTCATTCCTACAGGGCACCGTGCTTCTGGCCTTTTTAACGTACCAAATACGTTTTGTGCAACGTGTCGCTTCCCGGTTTTACCACTTGCTTTTTAACTTTTGGGCACTTTTTTTTGTGTTTTCTTCTCTGAAAGCAAAGCTGCTGTAGCCGCTGTGATCTGGGTAGAGAATTTAGATCGTCTTGCCAGTTAACACTCCCCACACGGCCCACCCCAGGAGGTGAGGATTTCCGCTGGTCCGACTCCCCGGTCTCTACCTGCTGAGGATGAAAGCAGCCTCTCCTCACCTGCAAGGGACACTACTTAACAGAAACTGGAGAACAATTTGCTGCCAACACAAAGGATGTTTCCTCTTAACCGTTATCTTGGGCTACCTCGATGACTCAGGGGACAAGGTGGGGTTCAAAATTGTAACCTTGAAAAGAATCTAGCCAGTTTAAACTAGGTAAAACGACATTCTTCAGTGAATCTGCCTTCTAATGAATGATCATAAGAACAGAAACTGACAAAAAGGAAAGGCTTGGTGTTACCATGAAATTAACTTCCCTCACCCCTTGTCCACAGTTGGTGGGAATGTACATCAGTGCAACCACTAGGGAGAACAGTTTGAGGTTTCTACAAAAAAACAAAAAATAGAGCTACCATACAACGCAGCAATCCATGCCTAGATATATACTCCAAAGAAAAGAAAGGAAATCAGTCTATCAGAGATCACTGCACACCCGTGTGTGCTGCAGCACTGTTCACAACAGCCAAGACTTGGAAGCAACCTAAGTGTCCATCAGCAGACAAGGGGATAAAGGAATTGCCATATATACACGATGGAGTACTCTTCGGCCATAAAAAAGAATGGTATCCTGTCATTTACAACAGCATGGATGGAACTGGAGGTCACTGTGTTAAGTGACATACGCCAGGCACAGAAAGACAAACATCGTATGTTCTCACTTATCTGTGGGAGCTAAACTTTAAACAACTGAACTCATGGAGATGGAGAGCAGGAGGATGGTTACCAGAGGCTGGGAACAGTAGTGGGGGATGGAGTGGGGATGGTAATGGGTACAAAAAAAAAATAGAACAAATAAGACCTAGTGTTTGCTAGTACAAGGGTGACTACAGTAATTTAAGTGTACGTTAAAAAAATAACTAAGGGAGCATAATTGGATTGTTGCAACACAAAGGATCAATGCTTGAGGGGATGGATACTCCATTTACCCTGATGGGATTATTACGCATTGCCTGCCTGTATCAAAATATCTCCTATAACCCATAAACACCTACTATGTATCTACAAAAATTAAAATTTATTAAAAAAAGGAAACTGACTTCCCTTAGGCTAGTGTAGAGGGAGCACAGGAAGAAAGAGGGACGGGACACCTATCACAGAGGCAAAGCCGCTGCCCGAACCAGACCTGACAGCGCCCTGGTCAGCGGAGCCTCGAACACGCCCACTGGCGGTCCCCGGGGTGTGGCGCACCAGGTCAGCAGACTCCTGAGCTTGTTCTGCGCCTCCGCACACCACGGGAGCCCTACGGGCCTGGGTGACCTCCTCACGTGGCGGGGTCTAGGGGTCTGGGCAAATCCTCTATGCGGCGAGGTCTCTGTGGGTCTGGGCCATCTCTCCATGCCATGGGCGATCTCTCCACGTGCTGAGTGGAGGAGAAAACCCTGCAGAAACACCCCAGACCTCTGTAGTGAGCACGCAAGGCCTGAGAGAAGACCCGCACCACAGGGCCATGGTGGTCTCAGCACAAGCTGCGCTGGGGCTGACGTTCCCTGTGGACTATCACGGCCAATGAGGGGAGAAGGGGGAATGAGGTCCTTCAGAAGGGCAGCAGGAAGAGAAAGGTCTAGAAAAAAGGAAACAGAGTTTCCCACCCCAATGATGCATAAATGCAGAAACAGAGGCTCCATCTTAGCAGAGGCATCAAACGCAGAGCATGTGAGTGACGGGAGCTCCACCTGCAGCAGCTGCTTTTGGCCCAGACCCACCTACCCAGCTGGGAAGGCGCAGGGGTAGGAGACGGAGACACCAGGCAGGCTACACCCCTCCAGACCCATCTACCCAGCTGGGAAGGTGCAGGGGTAGGAGACGGAGACACCAGGCAGGCTACACCCCTCCAGACCCACCTACCCAGCTGGGAAGGCGCAGGGGTAGGACATGGAGACACCAGGCAGGCTACACCCCTCCAGACCCACCTACCCAGCTGGGAAGGCGCAGGGGTAGGACATGGAGACACCAGGCAGGCTACACCCCTCCAGACCCACCTACCCAGCTGGGAGGGCACACAGGTAGGACACGGAGACACCAGGCAGGCTACACCCCTCCCTCTGCAAAAAGCACTCTCCTGGCTGGGGCAGAGGGACACACAAAACGACGCCAAGTGCCTGCAGGGATCTGGGTCACTGAGGTGCTTCAGCCCGAGAAGGGGACAGCTGGAGAAAGCCCCTATTGTTGACAGGAACATAGGCATATCAGACACAACCTTCTGACCCTCAGTGACTATTGTTTTATTTGTAGGGTGTGTCATTTAATGTCAATTGATAGGTCCCAGTGTGATGCAGAAGAGCATCCATGAGTGAAAGGAAAAGAAACAGCAGTTCACAGTTGGTAGCTTTTATTGCTGTCTATCTAGAGACAGTTGTCTGGCTTTATAAAGTAACAGTACATTAATTTACAAAAGGTTATTTCTATAAAGGAAAGTGACAGACACGTTCTCAATCCAAAGACTGAATTATTTAGGAAATGCAGTTATTGCAAAAAAAGCCCGACAGTGTGTCGTTTGCAAATGTGGTGCGGCTGGAATTTCCTCCTTGGTTCCTTTTGCCCCAGACAAAAGGAGCAGACTCCAGGGTCTATATCAGAGACCAATCAGCAGTCCCGTGTTTGTGTCCCAGAAGAATAAAGGCCCAGCACGCCACACCCGGTTCGTTTGGGAAGAGGCTCTGAGGAGTAGGGGCATGATCCAAATCACTGCACCCACACCCTCCCTGCTGGAAGCTGCTGAGGGCCCAGGCGAGGGCATAGGAGGAAGAGGACAGAGATGAGGCAACAGTGCCAAGTGCTTCAGGAAGATGCACAGAGCAGTAAGCGACCAGCCACAGGGGCAGAAGGACTGTGGAGGGCAGAGTGACCACAGGGGCCGAGGGGCAGAAAGGGCCGGGTGTTGGAGGCACCTTCCTGCACATTCCCTGGGAGCTGTTCCCGACGGGTTGAAGCTGGGTCAGGAGCTCCATGGAGCTGTCTGGTCAGGCGCCGGCAGTGTGGGTGGTGCTTAGCGCCTGCTGGGAAGTACCGGGGACGATGTATTTTACAGATGGGGGCGCAGGATGGTTTTTAAGCACAAACAGTATTCTGTTTGATTTCACAAAAATAAACCTGTGGAGGAGGCAGCATCATGTCCATTTGCAGGGGCCCTTCACGCTTTCCACACACAGAGCAAAGTGCCGCAGTGACAAGAACAGGGATGTCCGGTGCCAGAAGACGTGGGTTCAAGTTCAGGCTGACCTTCAGCGTACCTTCAGTGTACCTTTTCTGAATTCCTATTTCCTTAGCTTCCCATTTTTTCACATGCCTGTTTTACAAATCATGGAACTCCAATGAGAATGTACTTGAAGCATTTTGTAAGCTTTAAAGATGCTGAATGGATATTAATTACAAATAAGAGGAGAAGCAACCAGAAATTAAACAATTCCACTGCCTCGGATTTTCCCTGTGGTTTCTCTTTCACCATCATCCCTGTACTAAACTGTGAAAGGTTTCGATATGTGGGATCGGGGAGCAATGAAATTAATGCTGCACTGACTATTAAATATTAAGTGGGTCTTTGAAACGTCCAGGAGCTTCCACAGCTCTGAGGTTTGGCTGCTGGGCAGTTTCAAGGTGCCTGGAGGTTGAAGGGAAGTCCTCTCGGAGCCCATGGGCCTCCCAGTACAAGCCGCATCCTGGCAGGGTTAAGTGCGGCTCACAACCACCAGGACGGGCTGGAGTGGAGGCAGGGGAGCCTGTCCTGCAGGGCCAGGAGAGGCCTGTGGATCCTGAAGTGGAACAGACCCAGCTGACCGGCCACAGTGTGGCAGTTTAAATGCGGCCATGCATTCCTGAGCACTCCTCAAAAGGCAGAGTCTCATTCCCATCCCTTGCGTGTGGCCTGGACTTAGTGACTCGTCTGACAAAAAGAACCAGGTGGAGGGGACATAGAGACCTCTGAGACCCGGCCGTGCAAGGCACTGTGGCTTCCTCCTCCTCCCTCCCTCTCTGCAGGGAGCCAGCTGCTATGCTGTGAGACGCACAAGAAGCCCTACAGAAAGAACCATGAGGCCAGGAACCCAGCCTCTCACCAACAGCAGCAGAACTCAGCGGGTGTATGACGGAGCCTCCCGGAGCCCAGTTCTCCAGCCCCAGCTGAGCCCTCAGGTGAGACACTGCGGTCACCATCTTAACTGCAACCTCAGGACAGACCTGAGCCAGTGCGACCCAGAAGCTGTGCTGGACTCGAGACCCACAGAAATAGGAAGGTCATACATCCCTGTGGTTTTAGCCCACAGAGCTGCAGATAATCTGTTAGGCAGCAACTGATGGTCAACACACAGGCAAATCCAAGTTACCCAGCACTTTCAACTGAAGGCTTTGCATGAGGAATAGTGTATTGAGGCCACTGTACTGAAACATGTTGGAGGGTTAGTTTTGTTTAATTTGAAAATTCTGGGCTGGACATGGTGGCTCACGCTTATAGTCAGCTGTAGCACTTTGGGAAGCTGAGGTGGGAGAACTGCTTGAGTCCAGGAGTTCAAGACCAGCCTGGGCAACAGAGTGAGACCCTATCTCTACAAAAAGTTTAAAAATTAGCCAGGCTTGGTGGTGCATGCCTGTAGTCCCAGCTACTCAGGAGGGCGAGGCAGAAGAATTGCTTGAACCGGGGAGGTCAAGGCTGCAGTGAGCCACGTTCATGCCACTGTACTCCAGTCTGGGTGACAGAATAAGACCCCCTGTCTCAAAAAAACAAAAAAGAAAAAAAAAGAAAATTCTGAACTGGGTTCTTCATTGGGTATCAGCATGAGCTCATCTCTGAAAGTGACTGTAATCATGAGAAGACGCTGCTTGGAAATGCAGGGAAGAGGAGTTTGGAGAAAATAACAGATGGAACAGCTGTAAGGCTGAAGAGACGATTCCAGACTCAGACTGCTCTGTGCATAGTGTGGAGGGGCTGCTGCCAGCCCCACCGTGGGGGATACTGCACTGGGCATGTCATGGCCGGTCCAGGGATGAACAGGCTTCAGGCTAACAAGGTGGGGAACCATCAACACCTGCCCACAGTATGGGAGGGAAGATCAATTATTCAAAATTAAAAACCTGCTTGTGTTTTGTCCAAAGAATGAAGAAAATTACACGCCTTGAATGAATATCCCAGCTGCTTGACTCCATATATAACCACTACCACTTGATCTCAAGCAATATTTAAAAAGGCAATTTGTAACCTATTCATATTTAAAGAGACCCAAATCTATGTTCTCATCCTATGCAGTTATCCAGGAGGTGGTGAAGCAGGTTTTCTGGCTGGGTCACTGACACCTTCAGTGTGGAAAGTGCTGTCTGCAGGGGGCCTTGAGGAAGGAGCCTTTGCGTCTGTCCCTTTGGCAGCTGTCACGGGTCGTGGGTGAGCACGGGATAGGTTTAGGGAACTGGTTTTATTCCCAAGGCATCTAGTATACAAACTACTGGGAAGCTGGCACTAAGCCAAGGACCTGAGAACTTACTAAGTGGACCCTTTTGAGTGGAGACTAAAGCTTGGAGCAGCTCTGTTCTGGAGAGACTTAGATTTTGGAAAGTCCTGCGACCTTCCAGTCCCACCACAGCTTCCCAGGGGACCTCTTCAAAGTAAAAGAGTCTTCTTGGAGCTGCTCCAAAGCTCTCAAAGAATCATGAAACACGGACCACGTGCCTGGCAGGCACCATGCGAGGTCACTGACGTGCGCCCCCTCGCCACCCCGGGGGGATCAGCAATGCTCTCACTTGCACAAAGAAGGCCGAAGCGGACACAGGCTGGAGGGCTGGTCATGCAGCCGGCACTTCAGAGCGGACCTGGAAGTTTCCAGACTGTCAGCCTGACTCCAAAGCCACTCTCACAACCACTGCTTTTGGGACAGTGTCCTCTGGGCCCCTCATACCTTGAAAATACACTTTCTTCTTTCTACTCAGATCACAGATTGACAGAACACATACTGCCGAGAAAAGCAAGGCAAAGAATGCACGATTTAAGAATCATCTTACATCAAAGGCCTCTTCTCTGGGCTATCATGCCCGCTTCAGGGCTGGGTCGCTGGCAAGGGCTATGGCCTTCGAGTTCACATTTGGTGCATTTGGTTTTGAATCGGGTTGCCACGGCTGGGTGGCGGGGTTGGGCATTCCTAAGTCCATGTCCCAGGATTGGCCACGATGAACTCTAGAGGTTTCTGAAGGTGTGAATTTCCACTGCCAGCCAGGTCAAGACATTCCCCTGGAAAGCCCTGATGCCCAGTGCTTTCCGCTCCCTCTTCTTCTTCTGCTTGCACATTCTGAACACACACGGGGTTCCAGGAGCATGGGCTTCAATGGCAAAGAGCAGGGAAGTGGCCTCGATGGATGGCCATCCTCACTCGGCCTTTCCTTTCTTCTCCCCACCTGCCAGTCATTCCCATCTCATCTGATTAAGCCACAATCAATTTGTTTTCTGTGGAAGCAGCAGAAAAGAAGGGCAACCAAACCCTCTGGGTCAGGCACGGTGATGGCAATAACTGGCCACTGTCGGTGTGCGGGTGGCCAGGCCCTGAGTCCTGGCCCTGACAGTGTTAGAGGCCAGCCACGCCTGTTCTCACTTATGTTTCTAACTTTGCTTAACAAATAAGACAGCAAAACTGAAGAATGTCCATCTGTCAAAAAACCCTTTTAGAAAAGATATTAACTCTTCCTACAAACAAAGCTCTCACTACCACATTAGCAATTATCAATAGAGAAGCAAAAGCTACATGGACATTGTTGAATACGTTTCTTTTCCGGAGTGCACGAAAATGTACCTTACCCTCTGCCTCCTCCAGCTGGGAGTGAGTCTGTAAAGAAGCACTTGGATGAACGTGAAACTCTCAGCCAAGCTGAGGTGGGGAAGCCGGAGGCTGCGGAACTGCAGGGAGGGATGGAGCTGAACTCAAGACTGGGCGGGCAGATGCAGGTCACTGACGAATGAAACTACAACCGAACAGTGCATCATTCCGTATGGATTATGTCTACTTATGCAAATGGCTTGCAGAAGTGTGTTTGCTTGGCTCTTTCCCAAATGGTCTGTGAAGCTCTCTCGACCCCAGAGGGAGACAGCCTGCAGGGCGCGTGGGAGGAGCAGGGTCAGAGGATGGCGGCACTGATTTTTCAGCAGCACGGGAAATTTATTTTAACTCGTGGTATATGTTCTTCTTCACTGATGCAATCACATTTGCAAACATTTACTAATTCACTCAGTGGCTCAAAGACAACAGATAAAACGAAGTACCCTGAACTCGTTTGTAAAGATCCTAAATGATGTCCTGCTAAAACTGGGCCCCATATAAAAATTCTCAACACTGTTCTAATCTAAAACACACATGCTGAACACAGACTCGAATCAGTCTTTGATGAATCTTCAACACAGGGGAAGTCGGCCCCCTAAGAATCCGTGGGGGATCAGCTTCCCGCTCTGCTCCCTTACCAGGAGCCTCGGCCCGGATTGTGCTCCCGGCACACGCCCTCCGCCCTCGTGTAACCGCGTAACCGGCTGCTCTCCACGCCCTACCCTCGCGTAACCGGCTGCTCTCCACGCCCTACCCTCGCGTAACCGGCTGCTCTCCACGCCCTACCCTCGCGTAACCGGCTGCTCTCCACGCCCTACCCTCGCGTAACCGGCTGCTCTAGACGCCCTACCCTCGAGTAACCGGCTGCTCTCCACGCCCTGCGGGAGGAGGAGCTAATGGAAAACGGCACCAAAGGAAATCATGTTTAACATTCTGGACTCATTTCTTTTCACTCTGTTTGACTCTCCTCACCCACTGGAAGAGTCCACAGTTCCCTGAATCTACTGAGAGCAATTTTTGGCAGGAGCAAGTGCAGTAGAGATTGCTAAAATTTCTGGAACTGTTCAAGTGACGCTTAAGACCAAACTTTAGAGCCCCTGCTTTACAAAGCATCAGAGAAAAGTCTGTATTTGGAGGAAAAAACCACAATCCTGATGGTCTAATTTCACAGAGAACCGCAGAGTGGTGCTCAAGGGTGAGGCTTCTGGAGCTGTGTGATGGGGCTCAGCCAGGCTCCATCGCTGCCTCACTGCAGTTGTCTGGGGAACACTTCACCTCCCTGAGGCCACTTTCCTCATCTGGGAACCGAGGATAATAAAATCACTTGCAGCTGCTGTGGGCATTAGTAGGGGGTAATCAACATAATGCATTCAGCACCTCACACATCCATGCAGCGTTAACACGTGACTGCACCTCAGTGCTGGGACACACAGCACGTGTCCTGAGCAGAGCTGTGTGTGTGCGTGTGGTTTGGGGCAGGTGTGGTGAATACTTTAAACAATGCAGCAAAGGGCAGTCCACGGACCGAGAGGTCTCACTAACACATCCTTAGTTTAAGACTTCCTGAGGATTTCCTGGAGTTGTGAAGGTCTGGGAAAATCAGAATGTCATGCTGGAGAACCCTGGAGTCTCTGGTCTGACCTCTCTCTTTACTCACCAGTGGAGAGCAGAGGGGATCAAAGGCCACACCAAGCCGTTCACTTTAATCCAGCAAATCAACACCGGCAGAATAGTGGTGGGCTGGCTTTTAGTATTTTTAGATTTTGCACTATGATATAGTTTGGACATTCATCCCCTCCAAATCTCATGTTGAAATGTGAGCTCCAGTGTTGGAGGTGGGGCCTGGTGGGGGGTGTTTGTGTCCTGGGGGTGGATCCCTCATGGGTGGCTTGGTACCGTCCCTATGGCAATGAATGAGTTCTGGCTCTGTTAGTTACCTTGGGATCTGATTGTCAAAAAAAGTCTGGTGCCTCCCTCCTCCTCCTCTTCTCTCTCGCTGTCTTTCTCACCATGTGACACACTTGCTTCCCCTTTGCTTTCTACTATGATTAAAAGCTTCCTGGCCAGGCGCAGTGGCTCATGCCTGTAATCCCAGTACTGTGGGAGGCCAAGGCGGGTGGATCATTTGAGGTCAGGAGTTTGAGGCTAGCCTGGCCACCATGGTGAAGCCCTGTCTCTACTAAAAATAGAAAAATTAGCCAGGTGTGGTGATGGGCGCCTGTAATCCTAGCTACTCAGGAGGCAAGGCAGGAGAATCGCTTGAACCTGGGAGGTGGAGGTTGCAGTGAGCCAATAGCGCCACTGCACTCCAGCCTGGGTGACAGAACGAGACTCCGCTTCAAGAAAAAAAAAAAAAGCTTCCTGAGGCCTCACTGGAAGCAGATGCTGACACTGTGCTTCTTGTACAGCCTGCAGGACTGTGAGCCAAAATAAACCTTTTCTTTATAAATGACTCACCCTCGGGTATTCCTTTATGGCAAAGCCAGATGGACTAATACACACTTCTTGAGTAAAGAAATTCTAGCATGAACACAAACTGTCCCTTTTTAAATTCTGGAGGATCATGATGTATTGGTGATGGCTGCAAACCTAAAAGGAACAGGTGAAACAAGCATCGTCTACCAAACTGTAAACTCACTGAGGGCGAGGCTGCGTTCTGTTGAGTCCCGAACTGCCAGTGTGCAGTACTCAGTAGGTGCTGAAAGGGCATTTGCTGCATGAACAAATGAACAAGCTCAGATAGAGCTGTTCTGGACAGCGTGGAGACGCATTGCTCCATGTCCCCGCAGTGCCCACTGTTCACATCCAGATAAAAACTGCTTCAGTTCAACACTGAACCAGCCGCAGAAAGGTCAAGAATGCCCACATGCGGCCATGAGCCCCTAACGTGCAAGGAAGTGAGCGAGGAAGTTGGCGACGGTGCTTCTTCTCCTGCCAAAGGTGGCGGACAGGCAAGGCTGACTATATGGTCATGCCCTGGGTCTTTCCCTCTTGGTCCAGGCATCCACCAGCTGTGCCACAGTGCAGCTCTCTCTCTCAAGAGGGTGTCAAATTTTAAGTCAGCACATAAAGGAACACATAGTAATTACATATTGAAATTAACGGTGAAAATCCTTTAAGGTGAAGACCAACACACACCTTTTCATAAATCCAACTGCTTGTTTTTCTTCCAGGATTAGAACGAATTGCGATTTCCTCATTTAAGTACCATAAGGAGTGTTGGCTTAGATTTGGATCATGCCATGGAAAAGATATGTATCTTTAAACATGAGAGATACCTGAAGTGCGGTTATGTATTCACAAGATGAGAGGCAGGTGGAACTGTAGACCAGCGGAGGGAACGAGAAGCATGAGTGGCTCTCTCACTGACGGTGGCCCCACGCCCAGTCAGCCTGAGAGAAACGTTCCTAGGATGTGACTGCACTAACCCTTCTCGTTTCTCCCCAACCCTACGATGCTTAGCTGTCAACTGCTGTTGCTTGGAAGCCCCCTCAAGAGTCTCAGGAGGGCCCAGCCCAGCAGAGCACAGGCTCGAGCCCATCTCCAGGCATCAGTCAGGGGGAAGGGGCAGGGCCCCATTCAGCACAGGGGTCTTCTGAGCAGATGTCAGTTGACCCCGGACAGCACTGTCCTTTCTTGGAGCAGAAATGCTGGTGCAGGGTGGAAGAGAGGACTCTCGGTCCTTCTGTCTTCAAACGGGACATGTTATAGTGATGAAGCCAGGCAAGTGATGAAGAGCATGGACTTTAGAGCCAGATGACTTGGGTTCAACTCATGTGATCCTAAGTTACCTAACCTATCTGTGCCTCAGTTTCCCCATCTGTAAATTGGGATAATAACATCTCCTTCATAGGGTTGTGATAAGGATTAAATGAGTTAATATTGGAACTCAGAGCAGTGGCTGCCTCATAATGAATGCAACAAAGGTGTCTGTCAGGTGGAGTAAGTGCAGGTGCCCAGAGCAGCGGTGTGGGAAGCTCCTGCTCTCTGCTCCACCGTCCCTGCTGCTTCATAGCTAGTGCTAAGTGGCTCCTCTCATCGTTACACTGTAGTATGCAGTTTTTCTTTTTTTTTGAGACAGAGTCTTGCTCTGTTGCCCAGACTGGAGTGCAGTGGCTTGATCTCGGCTTACTGCAACCTCAGCCTCCTGGGTTCAAGCGATTCTCATGCCTCAGCCTCCCAAGTAGCTGGGATTACAGGCATGAGCCCCTGTACCCAGCCTGTAGTATGCATTTAAGGAGCATAATTCTGAAATAGGACATAACAGGACCAGGAAAGCTGACTTGCAAAACTACTTCAACTAACTTGGCTTTTCCATCCACAAATCACCCTATGGCCCAGAATTTTCTCTCTCAAATACTATAAAGATTTCCTACAATGTGACATGGAGGATAATGAAAAATTCGTATAGTTTAGAAAGTCACTGATTTAGAACTTCTCAATTTCAAGTTATGTGCTTCCGATTTCTGTAAATAAAATTAAACCCCGTTTTAAGATTCAAGAAAAGTGTTGAAATGTAAAAAAGTTGGTAACATGATTCTCCATCAACTGATATAGTACAGAAAGCAAACAATTTTTCTTTTTATCTTTTAAGTTATGGTAATAAAAAAATGGAAGTGGGTACAAAGCCCAGGACAACAAGGGGCCTAGAAACGCCTGTTTTTTCTCCACAGATAAGGATAAAGAGGGCCCCTTCCTTCCTTACTAGGAACACTGTTAACACCATCATCTTGGAACTCCGCAAAACTTCTACCACAACAGTTAGGAAGTGAAAGGAGGAATCTGACAAGAAGAATCTTAGTTTTCCCAAAAATTATAATATGCTGCTGCTCCTAATAACTGCTTGTTGTTGTAGTTTTCAAAGTACTTCCGCATACCTTATGTCACTGAACCTATACAGGAACACTGTGACGTGGGTAGAAAGGCAGGATCATTCCTAATCTGAGATGAATACTCTATAACAACCTGTAGACAGCAAAGTCTCTGAGTCCCACATTTCTTCCCAATGTCAGTTAGTGTAATAACGTGCCACTTTGGTGGCTCCCACATTAACTGTGACTTCACAACCAAGAATGAGTCCGAAAACACTCCGACTCTGCCTTTGCAGTCAGGATCATGAGTGACAGTTGCCATAATGCAGAAGCACTTACTTGGATTTGAAAGCTTAAACCATGATTGCTTTCAGTACTGCTCCGGTACCTCTGTCTGCACGTGGCAGGTGCGTGTGGGCACTTGTGGGACACAGGGGTGGTCTGGCACACTGACCTTGAAGCTTCAGCTGGCAGCCTTGGCAAGAAAGATGTCTCTGCCTTTCAGCTTCCCATAGTACCAGGCAGTAAGAATTACAGGACTCAAGCTCTGCTAGAAACTCTTACCATCCCTAAAAAAGATTTCAGCAAGAGACACGACTACCAGGCCACACAAACCGGGTCACCTAGCCTTCTGAAGGCAGAAGCAGCGATGGTGCATGGGGCAGGACGGGCAGGGAACAGCACGGGCATGTCCTGTGGGGAGGGCGTGGAGGGCATGTTCTCCCCGTGGCAGGGAAGAATGACAGCGCCACCTACCTTGCTGCAGACAGTCTTCACCTTGTGCAGTCTATCCAGCGACTCCTGTGGGTTCCCCAGGTACTGCTGAAGCTCCGCGTGCAAGATGCGCATCGAGAAGGGGACCATGGAGCCTGGAATCCAATCAGTGCTGAGTGAGTTTGTTTGCCATAACTGAGCACGCATTCATACTTGGCACACTTGAAGGAGGCGTCGCAGATGTCCCAGCAGAAGTGATGACAGATCCCTTTATTTCTTGTGAAGTATTTAACGGTGTCAACTATAAAATACATGCTGGTTTTCTCTATGGAGCTCTATGTATGTATGTCTCGACAATTATCAGAGGAGACAGGTGGATGACACCACAATTTCCAAAGCTACACTGCAATCATTTAGAAATGATCCCAAAATGAATGAAACAGTAGAGACCGCCAACCCCTCCTCCAATAAAAGAAAAACCAGAATGCTCAGATATTCTTTAATATTTCTTTAGTTTAGCAAGCTCGAATGGTAGGTTGCTTAGCTTGGGTTCCCCAGAAGGAGACCCTGAAGGGAGAAGCCGTAAGCCAGCCAGTGGTTCCGGAAGTGCTCCCGGGAAAACCAGTGGGGAGGAGGCGAAACTGAGCACAGGTGCGTCTCAGGCCTCGGCCCTGGGGATGGGCCTCCCACTGGATTCCATGTGGCCCTGGAGCCTGCGTTCCACCTCTGACAGGAGGCAAGGGAGCTGGACTTGAAAAATCCATCACCCAGAGCTGCCTGGCTTTGCGTGCGCTAAGAAGAGGAAGAAGCTCAGGAGAAACCCCCTTTATATCGTATCACCTGTGGCTGCATCATCTCTCAGGGTAAGGTCAACTTTTTGTTAATATTGTGTTCTCTTCTAATAGGATTTGGAATTTGATCTGTAGTATGTATACTAAGTAGATAACAATCATCAAAAAATCAAATAGCGTGCACTGATTATAAATGAGATAAAGAATAGAGAAATGCCAGAGGGCAATCACATAGATTCAGTAAAGTGCTTTTCAAAATAGGCCTAAGCGATGAATATTCGGATCTGGAATATAGTCTGAAAGATGGTGAGAAAACACGCGTATGACTTCTGCAAGCCACTTAATGTATCTGTGCCTCAATGCATCCATCTGTCTATTCATTAACCATTACTGAGAATGGGCCGTGACCACACTGAAATGAGCTTTATGTTTATGGTCTTTAATAACAAAGGTCCAAAAAGAAGACAGTCAAAATTAAGGAACACTATGGAAAACAGTTCTATTGTGATTATAAGCCTGGAGAAAAGAAAGGTAACAATTATTGAACTTAAAATGTTTAAACTTTCTTTTTTGATGCCACTAAATAATTTCTGTATCTCAAGAGAATATCTGGCCGAGCTTAAGTTACAGCCTGAGTCACTTCGGTTTTCTAGAAATAAACATTTCTAGACCATCCGCATAATGACACAGGGGACTGGCCTACAATTAAGTCATATGTAAGTCATGTCACTGTGGAACCGGCCCAACATGGTAAGTTATATGTAAGCCACGTCACTTCCATCCTTCTGTCTCAAGTAGAGAAGGGGCCAGAATCACTCCTGTGTGGTTTATCACTTACCACAAGGGAGAGAATATCTCAAGAACCCTTCAAGCTCTATAAGATAAGCACAGAAACAAACCTCTACTGGAAGTTCTCAAACCCAACTTGGGACTAGCTGTTAATACTCCGATCTCAGTTTACAGACTAGCTGTTAATACTCCGATCTCAACGTACAGACTAGCTGTTAATACTCCGATCTCAACGTACAGACTAGCTGTTAATACTCCGATCTCAATTTATAGACTAGCTGTTAATACTCCGATCTGGAATACAGTTTGGTGGATGGTGAGAAAACAGGCTGTGTGACTCCTGCCACTTCACCTGAGAAGGTGGCAGAAAGTTAGCTGCCCCTTATCCTGACAACTGCCCATGGACATGGGGGTGCTTCTGGATGTAAAAGCACATGTGAAAATATTTTGAACTAAGTGAAAATAAAAATACAACTTATCAAAATTTGTGGGATGCAGCAAAAGCAGTGCTGAGAGGAAGCTTTTTAGCATTAAATGCATATATTGGAAAAGAAAGATCTGAAACCAGCTTCACCTTTGAAAACTAGAAGGAAAGAAAGAGCAATATAAGCCTAAAGTAAGCAGTAGAGAAGAAAATAATAAAAATATTATTTTATTATAAGAAAATAAAATATTTTATTATAAGAAAATAATAAAAATATTATTGTATTATAATAAGAAAATAATAAAAATATAATAATAAAAATTAGAGCAGAAATCAGTGAAACTGAAAACAGGAAATCAATAGACAAAATCAACCAAACCAAAAACATATTCTTTGACAAGACCAATAAAACTCTGACAAGACCAATAAGTCTCTCCCCAGGCTAGTCAAAAAACAGAGAAGACATAAACAACTAGTACTAGAAGTGAAGGACTATTACTATGGATCCTATGAACAGTAAAAGAATAGTAAAGGAATATTATGAACAGCTCTATGTCCATACATTTGGTAACTTGGATAGAAAAAGAAAAACCTTTCCAAAAAGCAAGCCCCAGACCCAGATGGTCTCACTGTGAATTCCACCTAACATTTATGGAAGAAATGCTACCAGTTCTCTACAATCTCTTTCAGAAAACAGAAGCAGAGGAACGCTTTCTAACTTCTTATATGAGTCTGGCATTACCCTAATACCAAAACCAGACAAAGACGTTACAAGAAAAAAAAACTGTAGACCAATATGTCTCATGAACATAAATGCAAAAATCTTCAACAAAATTAGCAAACTAAATCTAAGAAAACTGAAGTCAACAAAAAATTAGCAACCAAATCCAACAATGTATAAAAAGAATTATGAACCATGACCAGACAGAATTTATTCCAGGTATGCAGGGGTGATCTAACATTCCAAAATCAATTAACATAATCTACCACATCAAACAGGCTAAAGAACAAAAATCATATCAATAGATGTAGAAAAGCATTTAACAAAATCCAGCACCAGCTCGTGATAAAAACTCTCAGCCAACTAGGAATAGAGGGAAACTTCCTCAACTTAATAAAGGACATCTACAAAACAACTGCAGCTAACAACAAACTTAAGAGTGAGAAACTCAGTGACTTCCCCCTAAGATCATGAATAAAGCAACAATGTTCCCTCTTATCTCTTCTACTGAACATTGTACTGGAAGTTCGAGCTAATGCAATGACAAGAAAACCAAAGGTACACAGACTGGGAAGAAGGAAATAAAACTACTTGTTTGCAATGACATAATTATAAAGAACAATCTCAAAGAACAAAAACACTTCTAAACTAGGAAGTGATTAAAAGTCACAGGATACAAGATCAATATGCAAAAGTCAACTGGCTTCCTAGATACTAGCAATAAATGATGGGAATTTGAAATTAAAAACACACTATCATTTCTACATAAATAAGTGAAATACCCACGTATAAAATGGACAAAATATGCACAAGAGCTATAGGAAGAAAACTATAAAACTCTGATGAAAAAATTCACAGAGCTGAAGAAATCAAGAGATATTCCACATTCATGGACAGGAAGACAATACTGCTAAAATATCAGTTCTTTACAACTTGACCTACAGATTCGATGCAGCCCCAATCAAAATCTCAGCAAATTATTTTGTGGTTATCAACAAAATGATTCTGAAGTTAATATGGAGAAGGAAAACACCCAGAACATCCAACACAATATCAAAGAGAGCAAATCTGGCAGGCTGACACTACCCACCTTACAGAGCTACTCTAAAGCTACTGTAAAAAAGACTGGGTGACTGTGTGGTCCTAGAAAAAGAACGGACAAATAGATCAGTGGCCCAGAGCAGAAAGACAAGAAATTGGTCCTCACAAATATAGTCAGTTTGATCTCTGACAAAGGAATAAAGGTAATTCAATGGAGAAAGGACAGGTTTTTCCAAAAATGGTGCTGGGACAACTGGACGTCCACATGAAAAAAAAAAAATGAATCTAGACACAGATCTTACATCTTACCCCAAAATGAACTCCAATAACAGACTACATGTAAAGTGCAAAAACTATACAACTTCTAGAACAGAACACAGATGAAAATCTGAGTGACCTGGGTTTGCTGATAATCTTTTAGATACAACACCAAAAACACCATCCATGAAAGAAAAAAATCAGTAAGTTGGACTTCATTAAAATTAAACACGTATGCTCTGTCCAACGTAGTATTAAAGTAATGAAGAGACAAGTCACAGATAGGAAGAAAATAGCTGTAAAACACCTATCTGATAAAGAACTTGTATTCAACATATATGAAGAATTCTTAAAAATCAACAACAGGCCAGGTATGGTGGCTGATGCCTGGGATCCCAGCACGCGGGGAGGCTGAGGCGAGCTGATCGCTTTTTTTTGTTTCTACAAAAAATACAAAAACTAGCCAGGTGTGCCTACAGTCCTAGCTACTCCATTGGTTGAGGTGGGAAGGCTGCTTAAGCCCAGGGGCTTGAGGCTGCAGTGGGCCATAACTGCACCACTGGACTCCAGCCTGGGTGACAAAGTGAGACTCTGTCTCCAAAAAACAGACAATGAGAAAACAACCCAATTAATAAATGGGCAACAGATCTGAACAGACATATCACCAATAAAGATTTATCAATAACAAGCATATAAAAAGATGCTCATCATCATATGTCATTAGGGAACTGCAAATTAAAACAATGAGGTAACACTACACACCTATCAGAATAGCGAAAAATCCAAAAAATGACAATACCAAAAGCTGGCTGAGGATGTGAATCAATAGGAACTCTCATTGATTGCTCTTAGGAAAGCAAAATAGTATGAAAGTTTTGGAAGATGCTTGGCAGATATTTACAAGGCTAAGAATACTTTTACCATAAGATCCAGCAATCACAGTCCTAGAGATTTACCCAAGGATTGGAACTGATAAAGGTGATAAAACTTGTATCTACACAAAACCCTGAAAAAGAATGTTTATAGTAGCTTTATTCATAATTGTCAAAAACCAGAAGCAACCAAGATGTTCTTCAACAGAGAAATGGATAAATAAGCTATGGTATATACATAAAATGGAATATTATTCAGAGATAAGAAACGTACTATCAAGCAGAAAAAGACAGCGGAACCCTAAATGCACATTCCTAAGTGAACGAAGCCAATCTGAGGACCACATACTGTATGATTCCAACTATAAGACCTTTGGAAAAGGGGAAACTATGGAGACAATGGAAAGACTCCAAGCTCCCAGGGGTGATGGGGGATTAACCCAGGGGGATGGGGGGATTAATCCAGGGGTGAGGGGGGATCAATCCACGGGTGGTGGGGATTAACCCAGGGGGATTGGGGGGATTGATCCAGGGGTGGCGGGGGATTAATCCAGGGCTGGTGGGGGTATTAATCCAGGGGTGATGGGGGTTAATCCAGAGGTAGTGGGTGTATTAATCCAGGCGTGATGGGGGATTAATCCAGGGGTGATGGGGGATCAATCCAGGGGTGGAAGTATTAATCCAGGGGTGATGGGGGCTAACCCAGGGGTGATGGGGGCTAATCCAGGGGTGATGGGGGTTAATCCAGGGATGGTGGGGGGATTTATCCAGGGGTGGAAGTACTAATCCAGGGCTGATGGGGGGATGAATCCAGGGGTGGTGGGGGATGAATCCAGGGGTGGTGGGGATTAATCCAGGGGTGATTGGGGGATTAATCCAGGGGTGGTGGGGGGATTAATCCAGGGGTGATGGGGTATTAATCCTGGGGTGATGGGGTATTAATCCTGGGGTGATGGGGGGATTAATCCAGGGGTGATTGGGGGATTAATCCAGGGGTGATGGGGGGATTAATCCAGGGGTGATGGGGTATTAATCCTGGGGTGATGGGGTATTAATCCTGGGGTGATGGGGGGATTAATCCAGGGGTGATTGGGGGATTAATCCAGGGGTGGTGGGGGGATTAATCCAGGGGTGATGGGGTATTAATCCAGGGGTGATGGGGGATTAATCCAGGGGTGATGGGGGGATTAATCCAGGGGTGATGGGGTATTAATCCAGGGGTGATGGGGGGATTAATCCAGGGGTGATTGGGGGATTAATCCAGGGGTGATGGGGTATTAATCCAGGGGTGATGGGGGGATTAATCCAGGGGTGATTGGGGGATTAATCCAGGGGTGATGGGGGGATTAATCCAGGGGTGATGGGGTATTAATCCAGGGGTGATGGGGGGATTAATCCAGGGGTGATTGGGGGATTAATCCTGGGGTGATGGGGTATTAATCCTGGGGTGATGGGGGGATTAATCCAGGGGTGATTGGGGGATTAATCCAGGGGTGGTGGGGGGATTAATCCAGGGGTGATGGGGTATTAATCCAGGGGTGATGGGGTATTAATCCAGGGGTGATGGGGGGATTAATCCAGGGGTGATTGGGGGATTAATCCAGGGGTGGTGGGGGGATTAATTCAGGGGTGATGGGGTATTAATCCAGGGGTGATGGGGGGATTAATCCAGGGGTGATTGGGGGATTAATCCAGGGGTGGTGGGGGGATTAATTCAGGGGTGATGGGGTATTAATCCAGGGGTGATGGGGGGATTAATCCAGGGGTGATTGGGGGATTAATCCAGGGGTGATGGGGCATTAATCCAGGGGTGATGGGGGGATTAATCCAGGGGTGATTGGGGGATTAATCCAGGGGTGGTGGGGGGATTAATTCAGGGGTGATGGGGTATTAATCCTGGGGTGATGGGGTATTAATCCAGGGCTGATGGGGGGATTAATCCAGGGGTGATTGGGGGATTAATCCAGGGGTGGTGGGGGGATTAATTCAGGGGTGATGGGGTATTAATCCTGGGGTGATGGGGTATTAATCCAGGGCTGATGGGGGGATTAATCCAGGGGTGATTGGGGGATTAATCCAGGGGTGATTGGGGGATTAATCCAGGGGTGGTGGGGGGATTAATCCAGGGGTGGTGGGGAGATTAATCCAGGGGTGGTGGGGAGATTAATCCAGGGGTGATGGGGTATTAATCCTGGGGTGATGGGGTATTAATCCTGGGGTGATGGGGGGATTAATTCAGGGGTGATGGGGTATTAATCCAGGGGTAGTGGGGAGATTAATCCAGGGGTGATGGGGGTATTAATCCAGGGGTGGTGGGGGGATTAATACACAGGGCAGTGAAACTATTCGGCATGACAGTACAATGAACACGCAACGCCATTAATTTGTTGAAACCCACAGAAGGGACAACACCAAGAGTGAGCCCTAAGGTAAACTATGTACTTTAACAACAATGTACCGCTATTGGTTTATCAATTATAATAAAAGTTCTACGCTAATGCAAAATTTTTATACTTATTAATAATAAAAATGCAAGATGTTATTAAAAACTGTGCAGAAGAAAAGAGGGTATATAGAACTCTCTACTCGATTTTTCTGTAAATTACAAAAAGGGAATACATATATTCTTTAGTATACAATAAAGATGGTGTCTCCAAGGTATTAGATGGAAAATGGAGTTTTTAATGAGCATGGTTCAGATATGGGGATTGCCACATGAAAAAAGATAAAATCAGATCCATTTCTTTGGGGTGAAGGACTGTGTTCTTGGGATCTCAAATTGAGACTTAAAATATGTATTTTTTTTCTCAGAAATACTATTAAATATAGTGGCCAGCTGTAGCTGAAAGAGTAATATTAATACTTGATTAAAGGTACATTCTGACCAGCTGCAGTCTTATCACCTGTGCCCTTGTTAGAACTTCAGAGTCTCAGGCCCTGCCCAGACCTGCTGCATCAGGGCCTGCCCTCCACAAGAGGCTGGGTGACTCCTGTGCATGCTGAGATGGAGAAGCACTGCTCTAAAACAGTACCTTACTGATGTGAAATTAAAATTCGCTAACTCAAAGGTTATCAGGTAATATCAACTATATTTTTATAATGCCTCAAAATGCACATTGACCTTCCTTAGGATCAAATTAAAACAGGTAATCGGTACTATACAGTGCCTTCATTATAACAGGTAATTAGTACTACATATAGTGCATTCATTACATATCACACAGGAAAATGTCCCTCATTAGATATATATTGTTTCCTTGCTACTTCTACCCTTTTAAAAACCACACAGGCGTTTAAAACCTAAATGGGGGTTAAGGGAAAAGAAAGTGATGAAATTCTGCCTGAACTTCTGTGAGGCCTTGGGGACCAAACACCTGCTTGTACTCGTGGACTCTGCGCTGCTGGAGCAGGTGGAGCTGAGCTGTGCTCAGATCCTCCTCCTCCAACAAACCCAACTTCCGGGCTCTTTTCAAATCTCCCCCGTGCTATGGCACTCCCATTTCTACTGCTTTTGGGAGGTGGGGAGGATATTTTTGTGAACAAAATGTACCAATTTCTTCCTTACATTTGGGGGACATATTGAATAAAATCACAATTAAAACTAGCGCTAATGTAGCAAAATTCTTTCAGAATTAAATTTTAACATTTTAAAAATGTTAATGTTATTTAAAAAAATGTTAATGAGCCATTCCCCTGCCCCCCCAGTAACAGTTAACAGTAACTCAGCTGGGCGCGGTGGCTCACGCCTGTAATCCCAGCACTTTGGGAGGCTGAGGCGGGCAGATCACTTGAGGCTGGAAGTTAGAGACCAGCCTGGCCAACATGGCGAAAACCCCGTCTCTACTAAAAATACAAATATTAGCTGGGCGTGGTGGCATGCGCCTATAATCTCAGCTACTCGGGAGGCTGAGGCAGGAGAACTGCTTGAATGTGGGAGGTGGACATTGCAGTGAGCCGAGATCGCACCACTGCACTCTAGCCTGGGCGACGGAGCGAGACTCCATCTCAAAAAGAAGAACATACAAACCACAGTAACTGGAACTTCTGGGCATCCTCGTTGCCACAGAGGGTGATCGGCTCCTCCTGCTGCACCGGCCAGTCCCTCGGTCCAGATGGAAAACTGTAGCCTGAAGGGGACTGCCTGGGGTTCTGTGGCAGGGAAGAGATGGCTGGCTGTGTCCTCATTATGGTGGCACTATTCCCTCACGCTGCCACCTCTCCTTGTAGACACTCGGTTATCAAGTAAACAAACATTCCCTAATCCCAATTCATCAAAAACTGCCAACATACGGCCACCAGGCCACTTGGCAGCCGCTCTGCAGAGACTGTCAGCTGGAAGCTCTGGCAGCATCCCCCAAACAATCCTCTCTCATGCTTCCCTCAATGGGAACCTAAAAGCTGGGCTCTCCCAGGTAGACGCAAAACCAAGAAAGACAGCAGCGGTGACCCAAGCCGGCCAGGTTCTTCCTTAAATATGCTGTCATTGTTTGTGCCTTTCTTAGCAATAGCTGGAGCAAAGTGAAGACTGAAGTGGAAAAAGATCTTCATCCTCCTTGACTTGTATCATTGAAAAAGTCTTGCACAGGTTAAAAATCTTAAAGAATAAAAATCCGAAGGAAAAACATTATCTGCAACTTCATATGAAAGAGAAAAATGTAGGGAATTAAATCAGAAAGAAAAACACCCCTTCCTAGAAAAAATATATAGATCACAGAATTAAAACAATAAATGGAAGCAGCTGGAGAAACCATCTGTGAGCTCCAGGTAAGGTGTGTGAATTTCACTGAGCTGACATTTACTCAGCAGCTCCTAGCGCTGCGCAGGAGGGCCTGCACTGGGTGCACACAATGACAGCCACGAGGTCCGTGTCCTCAAGGAAACTACTCCCCTCTTCAACAAGATGCATACAGAAGCTGCTTTGGTGTAATTCATACTTTTGTTCTTAAGTAAATGCACATAAAAATACCTTTAAGCTGATTCTCTCAGTGGCCAAACCTAGCCCCTGTCTCTGAAGAGCTACCCTGGGAATCTCACTGAAATCCTCCATGCTGAGGGTGGTTGTCAAGCGAGATAAAATATGCAAGGCTTCCACACCAGCCCTGAGGCCCGTCTCTCTCCTGCAGGGAGAAAGAGCATTGGAAAGGAAAAAAAAAGGAGAAGCTAGTCAAAATCTGTAAGGAAAAACAATTCCTAGTGGATCTATTTTTCCGGAAGATTCCCATGTATAGTTGTGACCTGCCAAAATCTAGGTTGGTATAAATACTGTAGAAGTGTTCTCATTCATCATTTAGAAAACATTAAATGAAAATACTCCTACAAAATTTATTTCAGACCGTCCCTTGTTGTGCTGAAAATCCGTGCTGCCACTATAGAAAAGAGAAATGTGCCAGGAATTGCCCGGGCCTTGGTGCTGGGCAGTGAAAAATGAAAGGGAACAAAGATGACATTTCAGCTTCCCTTCAGTGGGGTATGCTACCTTCCGCCACTCACTAGCTGTTTGTGCTGGGTGGCTCACATCCTCTCTGCAGCCTTCTGTGTCACTGCAAACTAGGGCGGGAGGGCCCAGAGGCAGCTAGGTTGCCGTGAGGCCGCAGCAGGTGTGACATGATGCCTGGACGCCTGTGCCACCTGCCTCACAGAAGGGTCTGCGGGAGCCTTCCAGACCCTTTGCCCAATTTTAACAGCTTTCTTCAGTAAGGCACAAACTTACAAGTTTGCCCTGGCATTTCCGTCTCATTTTCAAGTTACGCGAGTGCTTTGCTGGGAAGACTGCTTTGTATTTATTTCCCACTGTCTCTGCCTGTCTGGGTGTGTCCTTCCCTATCCTGACCTCAGCAGGCAGGATAAGCCATGCCTTTGGTTTGCCTGTGCTCAACGCTGGGGATACTGCTTGGTGTCTGTGCCCGGCCAAGCACACAGTGTCACACTTACAGCTCTCAACAAGTCATTTTTGACTTTAATGTGGCATTGTAAATTAAAAACAAAACAAAACAAACCAAACACAAAAACAGTGAGAAAGTCCTAAGAGAAAAAAATACCTTAAATATTTCTTATTTAAATGATTTGCTTAACTAAAGCCCTGAAGCATGAAGACAAACTGAGGCTTGGGTCACTGCCTCTGTACGCGTCTGCCACAGTCATGTGCAATCCACGTGTGGCTTCAGCTACAGCCCAGTGACTGGCCAAGGCCTGTATCTTGTGCAGACAGGATAAGGAGAGGTCTCCATTTGGGTGTTCTCATGGTAGATACGGAACCCCAAACTGAAAATTCCCCTATTTTTAGTAGTTTGTTCTAAGAAAAGACTGAAAATGCCAGATTTCATAAAAACGGTGGGCAAAGTGAAAAGCAGTAAGATGAACTAACGAGCCTTCTCCGAACAAATAAAGCAGCGATCACATGTCCAACCATCAACGCTCGGGAGTTCTGATGCAAAGCATTGTGACCTGGAAATCTAAAGCAGAACGTGGTCACTCTGCAAGGTGAGGTAATTTTGTCATGAAAAATAAAATCCGACACTGGAAACATGCTGAATATTTAATTCTGAGATATCACATATGGTTATGTGTTGATAAAAAAAAGTTTCAGAATTTAATTTGAGAACTCAAAATGTGAATTTCATGATTTTGGAGGGAGGATGAAAAAGGAAGAAAGATCCAGTGACAGTGTGCCTTTATGCACATAGAGGAGCAGACAGCTGATGGAAGAGTAGAGAGATTCGGCATCCGATTAATGGAAGTGTTTGCCCCATCCACTTTAATTTGACCTGATGGTAATCCGCACGGATTAAGTTCTGAAGTACCATTTCCTGTGACGTCATTACAGCTCTTGTAACTTAGTCTAAACATGCAGATCTGAATTTAGTATTAGAAGCAGCACTATACTTCTTAAACTGCATAGTGAAGATAATCAAGCTGCTTTATTTCCAGCGGGAAGATCTTTTGGGCTCCTATTTTCCCTCTAGTTGCATGGAAACTTGAAGTGAGCAATCTAATGCAGAATGTGGTACTTTAAAAATTCAAAGCACTATGAAAGTTTACATGCTCACTGCCATTGTGAATGTTTCTTTGGAACGAGAGGGGTAATTCCAAACAACAGATTAAAAAGATGGTGGTGGGGGTCTGGAAAAATTTAACTGCCTGAGAGAGGATGAAATTAAACTTGTCAGGAATGGACATTTAATTTTCTTTAACATAGTGAATATGTACAACACAAGAGTGAACCCAAGTGTAAACTATAAACATTTGTTAATAATGCTGTACCAATACTGGTTCATCAATTGTAACAAATGTACCACACCAATGCAAGCTGTTAATATAAAATGAATGAATGTTCTAGAAATATTTTCATGGATATAATCCCTATCAACACTTTTCATGACTGCAAACCCTATAATGGGAGAAACAATCTGCACTAGTGTAACAATTTAAAAAATAAAAAAAAAAATCTAAAAGAAAATTAAAGAAAGAAGGCTAGTACAGGGATCTGAAGAATGGCTCTCAAAAGAGAAACTTTGTAGGATTTTGGAAAGGTATTTTAAAGCCCTAACGTAAATAGTTATTATGAAGTTATCAACATTTAAGACAAACAAAAACAAAAATACTTTTAGTGCTGGGTAAAGGCTGGCATCCATGGCGACGGCGACCCTGCCGCCCTCTGGGCTGGATGATGTTTCCTGGGACCGGGATGCTCCCTGCAGATGCTGAGGTGCCAGTGAAGGCAGACGGCTGTGCTGTGGGGAGATTACAAGATTACAGAGACTGTCTGTCTACAGGGCCAAAGACTCTGTGGGATGAGATCCCGGGAGCACTCACGTTAAGTGCATCCCACTGTACTCGATGGAAGACGGCGAGGGCAGCAGGTGGCCTAGGGCCTCAAGGGTATGCCAGGAGAGAGAGCATCTTTGACAAGTGTGCACGAGGGGCTCTGCGGGCCTGCCTCAGAGCTCTTGGAAGCTCCAGGTGAAGAGCTGCAAGTCAGCAACTGTGTAGACTCTCTTCCCAACACCGCATCTCCCAGAGCTCCTCCACACCCAGCGGACGGTCCCAGCAACAGCGTGCAGAGCTCCTTCACACCCAGTGGATGGTCCCAACAACAGTGTGCAGAGCTCCTCCACACCCAGTGGACGGTCCCAGCAACAGTGTGCAGAGCTCCTCCCACACCCAGCGGAAGGTCCCAGCAACAGTGTGCAGCAGCTCCCTTAGGAAACGTTTTGGAAAGCTGTCTGGTAAATGTCTTTACTTGTCTCAGCCTACTTGGCAATGACATAGGCATGATTTCTTTGCATTTATTATTCCTGATATAACAGTATGTGGAATAAAGAAGATACTCCTAAAACATGTCATGTTGCGAACAAAAAAGGTTATGTTTGTATTTTTAAACTAGAATTATTTTTTCAGGGTTGAAAATAGTATTTCCCAGAATGGGAGAAGATATTAATATTTCCCAAATACAAAACAGATGAAGGATTAAATACCTGCTATATAGAATGAACCTCAACCAATTAATAACAAAGATAACCCAATAGAAATACAGGCCAAGATTATGAAAGAGTGAGTCACCAAAGAGGAGACTCCGACAGACAAAGGACACATAATTCGGCAGAAATCAGAAAGACGTCAGTTGCGACAGGAGGTAGAATTTTAGACTCACTGGTGAAAGTCTGACAATCTTTAGTTACACAAGAGTGGGGAAACAAACTGACAGGCTGTGGCTGGGAGTGGAAATTAGCATGGTCACTCTCACATATGCCACTTTAAATTTACAGCTCAGAGAAACGCCTGAACATGTACAAAGGGAAATGTACAAGGATGCCCATAACACCATTGCTCATAATAGCCGAAAGGTGGAAAGATCCTAATTGTTCATCCTTATGGATACGGATATGGATGGATATGAATAATGGAAAGTGGGGAAAAAAAAGCAAATGAAGACAGATATGCTCATGATGTACATTTACAAAGCTTATAAGACAATAGTCTCTCTCTGTATATGTATTTCTCTGTGTGTATGTATATGTGTGTGTATGAAGCAAATATGTAAAAACATGACCTGGAAGAATACACAACAAACCATGATTGTGACTGCCTCTGGGAGGGGACTGAATTGGGAGGAGGTTCACAGGCTGTATCAGCAATGGGTACTTTCATTTGTTACAAAAATGTCTAAGGCAAATATGAAAAAATATTTGTTAATGGTCCGAGTATTTAATATTTGTATTTAAATAAACATCAATTTTTGTTGAGCAAAGAATAGATTCAACCAGATCCCAAAACAGACTTTCTCATAAGGTACGGAAGTAGTGGGTTAGAACAAAAGTAAATAGCTTTTATTAAAAAGCTATTAGAACAGAAAAAAAAGTAAAGTAAAAGTAAACAGTAAATAGACGTGGGCAACATAGAAAAATCAAATATCTGAATTTGCACAAATCCATCTGGAAACAACAGTGACATCCTGTGCAATGCAAGAGTACTCTACCTCAACTATCTGAAGAATTCACGGATAGGGAACTTCTGTTTCAAAATCAGAGAAACGCGAATAGGAAAGGCAAATTTAAGATATACTTATCTTTTTTTCTGTCCCTGGAGATGCATGATACAGGGTATCACTATGCAAGTGAAGTTCAATTTTCAGAGATAAGACAGTGGCTAAGAGCAAGTTTTCTGCACACTATTTTTATTCTTCTTGTTTTGACATCTTCCACCAGTATGACCAACGCCGATCCTCTGAATTCCTGAAGCTGCATGACAATTCTAGACAGAACAGCTCAGTTGCCAAGTTATGTGTGAAGTCTGAGGGAGCTAAAGCCACACAGTCTTTAAGTGTGTCCTGCAGGGACACAGAGGACTTCCAGTGAATGAAAAGATGTGGACAATCTGCTCACAACCCCCAGCCAGTTGGCTTCTAAACACAAATGTGAGCTTTCAATGACTACCCCACAACCCACGAAAGGAACTCTGATAAAAGGCTTGATGCAAGCAGCTTCCACCTCTCCCGCTTGCAGCCTGGGTGCTGGGGATGGATGAAGCTGGGCCCTGGGTTCTAGGGATGGATGTAGGGTCTGAGAGGGGAAGAAGCAACGAATGCAGTAGAAGAGGAACAGAGGAAAAGGGGGTGGAGATTGAGGAGCAAGAAAGGAAAATCAAGAGAGGACACCCAGGTCAGAGTCAGTGCTACCTGGGCTTCTTGTGGCTTTGGGGGCCCCACCCAGAACCGCACAGACCTCAGCTCCGGGGGCGCGGGGCTGGGTCGGCCCCAGGCACGTAGTCCTCGGGATTCTTCCTGTGTGCAGGAGGGAGTCTCCAAACAACCAAGTGAAAGACACAGCGCCAGGGTCAGAAACGGGGCTGGGCTTTGGGGGTGGCTGAAAGGAACTGACTGAAATTGCTAGATTTGACATGTAAATACATCAACCATAATACTGTTCCTTTCTTGGATGAATTTTTTTTAAAAAACCTTCATGATTTTTACACATGATTCATTACATGTCTTGTTATGAATATTCTGAATGGGCAAAAATTACGCCCAATATTTACATGAAATATATTAAAGCTCATTCATAAAAGTTTTTATAATTATAGCCTCCTTTTAAAGCACATTTTAACAACTTGCTCTGCTTATATATTGCAAGCGAAAATGAAGTGAATGAATCAAAATCTTACATTTATGCTTTGTTACACCACAAAATGGGAAGAAAAATTAGTAAACATCCAGCATATTATTGAGGATGAATGTTAATACGCTTTTGCTAAAATGTATGTATGATTTATGTCTATTTCATAATTTAAATTAGCTTCTCAATGATGCGTAGCTGCTGTCTTCTCTTTATCCATTTACCAATGCAATTTAATTTCAGGAAGAATCAAAGCATGTTTTCTAGGCTTGACTGAACGTCCTTAGGAAAAAATGTCCTCAAAGTGAGGAAAGATGACAGGCAGTTTCCACCTAAACCCACAGATTTTCATTCGCTATCTTAAAGGGCACTCAGTGTCATTTCCATCAAAATCCTCTCCTTAGAGATGGGTAAACAGTGCCACGGAGTCTTCAGCACACTGTAAAATAGGATACACAAGGCGATGTTGGGCATTCCTGAATGGCCAAAGGTAAAGGTTAGAGACCAATGGGAGCTGGAGTTTTTTTTTTTTTGTGGGACAGAGTCTCACTCTGTTGCTCAGGCTGGAGTGCAGTGGTATGATCTTGGCTCACTACAACCTCCGCCTCCTGGGTTGAAGAGATTCTCGTGCCTCAGCCTCCTGAGTAGCTGGTAGTACTGGTGTGCACCACCATGTCCGGCTAATTTTTTGTATTTTTAGTAGAGATGGGGGTTTTGCCATGTTGGCCAGGCTGGTCTCGAACTTCTGGCCTCAAGAGATCTTGAGATCTTCACGGCCTCCCAAAGTGCTGGGATTACAGGCATTAGCCACTGTACCCAGCCAAGCTGGATATTTTTACCTGGTCATGATAGGAAACATCTGCCTTTCAGTCACACTCATTCTTAAACACCTGTCATAAATTCAGAAGCAGGTGTTGTAAGAGGAGTCATTTTGAATCTATAATTCACACGGACCTCAGTAGGAAAAGAAACCAGAGCACTTGGTGCAGCTCTGCGCTTCAGGGTATCTGGTGGTTTCGATTAAGGCCTGGGTGCTCAATGACCTGAGTTTTCTGTTAGCAGCAGACAAAATGCCTAAAAAACCAGCTGTTCAGTCCCAGTTCCAGTCCCCGGCCCAGGCAGAGTCCCACAGACCTGGGTCCAGCCCCCTCCCGGGACTATGAACCACGTGGGAGGGCGGGGTTGGAGGCGATGCTCAGGCTGCAGTCAGGCAGAGGGAAGAGATGGTTTTATTTATGCTGGGATGGGGGAAAACAAGGCTGATCCGTGTAAGAAATAGGAAAACAGCTGTTTCTTGACTATGATAGCTACCAGGCATAACTGATTAAACAGAAACACCCTCAAACTTCCCCAATTAACAATGCCTTTAACCTTTCCATCTTTTCTTCACAACCTACCAAGTGACAGGCTCCCCATTCTTTTTGGGCTGGAAATTCGGTCTTACACGGAAAGGATGACCCTCAAATTGGCGATGAAGTGGAGACAAGAAAGGGACACGACAGAATCAGGGAGCCCAGTTAATTTACAAGGTAGAACAGTAGCCCTTGAACAACCAGCCATGGCTGTATCTCTCCAACTCATGAGCGGATGTGGGAACCACCTACGTGCGGACTGGACGGAACTTTGGGAGGGACGTAGACGAGACTTGCTCCGGGGGAGAGAGGATGGATAAAGCCCTGCTCCTCGAGGACAGTGCTCACGACCACCGAGCAGCTTCCAGGCTGGAGTGCAGGAGAAGAAATACCCCAGGGAAGAGGTAAAGACATCTTTATCCAACCCATGGCTGCAAAAGCCAGACTCCTGGGGACAGAAGGCCTGCTTGGCCAGCAACACCAGTGAGGGCCCTTCAGCAAGTTCCCGAGACTCCTCTGGCCCCACTTCCTCCACCTGTTGGCCAGGCCACGGCAGACAGAGCTCCTGAACACGCACCCTCAAGCGGTCCTGGCTTTGGTCTGTTCCTCCTGGTCATGTGGAAGGCCAGCAGGACTGGACAGGCCAGTGGGTGGGCAGGAAGTGTCACACATTAAGGACTGGCGTCTACGTCCCTGGATGACACAGAGTCCTACGTCCGAGAGTGATAGTGGTGTTGCTGGTCCTTCTTGACTCTGTGGCTACCTAGCTTGGTTGGTTCACTTCCATGAAATCAAGCCAGCTCCATCAAGACAATCTCTTTGATTTATGCCCTATTTTAGTTATTAAAAGTTACCCTTCCCATTTTTTCTTTTCCACAAGGGGCAAATTCCCTTAGTCAGAAGGAAGAAACAATTTTAATACCAGTGAGACTAAAGGTCAAAAAACACTTTATACTAAAAATGATAAAAATCTCCATCAATTCTGGGATAACTCAGAGTAATATGGACCAATTCCCACCCGTCCTACTTGGAGGAAGGTAAAGATGATAAAGGAGAGAGCATGGGGAATAAAGAAAGCCGGCGTCTACATTCGTTCCTATGCCCCTCCAAAGAAACAGAGCTGAGTTTTAACCAAAAAAACAACACACAAAGAAGTTCAAAGATTTGTTTTTACTTCTAGCCTTTTTAGTTCATCTATTTACCTACTAGTATCAACCAAGTTCAACAGAATGTTTATTTAAATTTTCTGAGACTTCTATAGGAATTATTATTTTATTATTAATCAGGCCTTTGCATCTCTTGTACCACTGGTTTTAAATATTTTCTACCTCCAATCAGGCTCTGCATTTCCTGACAACTAGGACCATTCTCTGTAGCTCCACTGCTGCAGCCAACAAATGCTGACAATCGAGCCTGCAAAATGCGGCAGTGCGAGACTTTCCCATGTTACTGATACATTCGGAAGAGAGTAAGAAAACCAGCAAATACAGTTGGTACTAGATAGCAGCCATTATTCCAAGCAACTTACACGTGACATCATTTGATCTTTAGGACAACCCAGGCAGCAAGGAGGATTGGCATCTCTGTTTTACCAATAAGGACACTGGGGCACAGAGATGTCAGATAACTCCTCCAAGGCTACGCGATTCAATGGGGGAAGCAGGATGTAACTGGGGATGCCTGACAACAGGGCGTGGGCTTTCAATAGCTGCTTACACTGCCCTCACAAGACATCCTGCCAGGACTGTTTTCTATTTAAGAACACATGAGAGGCTTCAAACATATTTATGAGGTTCTCCACCAAGAGACGCACACTGCACAAGGCTCCCAGTGCTGCAGAAGGCTCTCCGTAACCCGCCCTTCTCCCTTCCCAACTGGTGGTTTCTTGTCACTCTCCTAGAACTACCCTATGCTGTAGCCTAGTGTTTTCCAAACAATGGTCGTGACCGTGACCCAAAGGGTGAACCACAACCAGATTTTTAAAATAAATTAAATCAGAATAGAGACAAACGGAAAATGTCACGGCGTGTGCCATATGCACGGACACGTTTGGTTCCACCGCTCTGCATCTCTGTGCGCCAGGTCCCGATATGGGACGGCTCTTCCCTGTGGAGCGCAGCTCAGACGTCTACTACCCGGCCCCTGCACCAAATCATGCTGCCCTGACAGAGCAGGTGCTTGACACGTAGCTGCTAAATGTACAAACAGATGCACCAGGGAGCACCTCCAGGTCAGTGTTTCGGTAAATCGGAGTGGGAGCATTCTGTAAGTCAAGGCTTGTTGCTGGGTACTTATCTGATTTTTCAAGACTGGATAAATAAGGAAAACTGAGGCTACGAAATTATGTATAAATCAAAGCAAACCAGAGCGACACACAGACAAATGTACAAATATTAAATACCATGGCCTTACCCCTGCGCCCAGGGTACACGTGCGGGTAGTACTCGTAATAAAGATCTGGCTGATCAAGATTTCCGAAGGGTTCAAATTCCATCTCAGCATTCTGGAAAAGGCCCAACTTCACTAGTAGTGCCAGCCTGACAAACCAGAGCTAAAAACAAAATACAATGGAAACAATAGGTTATCTACATATATCCAGTTCAGAATTTGCTATTCCTTATGAGTTGGTGTTAGAGGTTAATTTCTCATATATTAAAATAAGGGCTAACCTAACTTTCTATCTTTGCATATTTACACAATCGTATTTAAAAAATTACTCTTGAAGCTGGGCATGATGCCTCATGCCTGCAGTTCCAGCTACTCAGGAGGCTGAGGTGGGAAGATTGCTTGAGCCCAGGAGTCTGAGTCCAGCCTGGGCAACATAGCGAGACCCTGTCTCTAAGAAGAAATTACTATTGAGCTTAATAACAATGTGAATGATTTTACATAATTGTTTACTCAATAAGTAAACAGTGCTTACTGAGCAGGTCTGTGTGCAAAGCACTGTGCTAGGTGTCATGAAAATGAAAAGGCACCAAAGGAATGCGCCACCTAGTGGAGGGCGGGGGAATGACGGCGGGAACGGGAGCAGGAAGGAGAGGAAGCGCAGGGATGGGTTGTGTTTGAGGGCAGCTCTCAGGGCTGCAGAATTTCAAGGGGCCACAGGCTAAGGAAGGGTCTGCTGGTTCAGGGAACGTAAGGACAAAGGTACAGAGTGGACAAAACACAACATACGAGAGAGCACAGTGTGCTCTCAGGGGTACATTCAGGAAAATGGTGGGAATTTGCATTAGACAGCTGCAGAGCCAGAGACTTAGGATTAAAAGGGTACCTTAGAAATGACCTAATTGGATCTGACTTTACTGATGAGAAGAATGAATTTCACTAAGTGTCCGCTGAAGGATGAACGGATAAAGGAACGTGGCATGACGCACAGTGGAATACCACTCAGCTTTCATGGAGGAAATCCCGTCGTTTGTGCTGTGGATGAGCCTAGGGGACATGACGTTAGACAAACAAGCCAGGCACAGAAAGACAAACACCGTGTGACCTCACTTACACATGGAATCTGAAAACACTGAACTCACAGAAGCAGAGTAGATGGCGGGTGCCGGGGCTGGGGGTGGGGAGGAGGGCCGGGCAGGGGAGGTTTGAGAGATGTTAGTCAAAGGAAACAAAATCCAGTGACGCAAGGAATAAGCTCAAGAGATCTATTGTAGACGTGGTGACACAGTTACAATGTATACTAAAAATTGCTAAGACAGATTTTCAGTGTTCTCATTACACACACACACACACACACACACACACACAAAGGCATGCGAGGCAATGCATGCGATTTAGCTTGATTTAACCATTCCATAGTGTACACATAGCCTGTCATGGTCTGAGGGTTTGCATACAACACGAGAAGATGAAATTTCACATGGTAGCCAATGGGAAACTATCCAGCTCTTGACTAGCTCCGTTTCAGACCTAGTTGGAAAGGAGGGTGGTTCACCCTCTTTAGGCAGCCTGGTGGTTCCTGGCTCTAGGGAGGTCACCATATTGGTGTTGAGCTAGTGCCAACACCTGATCAACAAAGTGCACTACGGCCCAGAAGCCCCAGGCCCAAGTGATCTTCCTGCCTCAGTCTCCCCAGTAGCTGGGACTACAGTCAATGCGCCACTGCGCCGGGCACAGTTTTCCAGCAGGAAAGTGAGATGATCAAAAGTGTGCTTTTTTGGAGGTAGTTTATGGAATGAATGTGAATAAAGAAACTTGAACTAAGTTCATAAAAGAGGCCAAAGCAACACTGCAATGAGAGCTCGAACTGTGGGTGGTGGTGGGTTGGAGAGAAATGATAGGAAAACAGCCTAAGATTTGGCAAACCAATGGATGGAGAGGTGATGGGGGAAAGTACATTTAAAGCTAGAGCGGCTCTTCTTGTCGGCTCTTGGGGGAAGAGAAAGAAGGAGAAGGAGCCTGCTGGAAATAGCTAAGCTGTCAGGGCTCCCCAGAGCTGCTCCTTTCAAAAGCTCATCACAGTTCTGAAGGATCTGGTGATCTGTTTAGTCCCGGGGGATTCCCATGTAAGCTAGAAGAACAGTTAAAAAACTCCCCAGGGAAAGGTAAGAATGTATCAACGTTTGCAGCTGTTCCTTCTTCTCAGATGAGTTTCCTTTTGTTCACAAGTCTATTTTGTGCATTCCCTTTTCTTTTTTCTTTTTTTTTAAATTTCAGAGCAAGTGATATACCACGAGGAGCAAATGGCACATGGACCCTCCGTCCTTGGGGTGGACAGAACCAACTGCTCCTGTCACTGTTTCCTACCGGGCCCAGACACGCCCCAGAGCCCCGCACAGGCCAGTTGCTACTGCCAGTCGTGAGGCGAACCCACCTGCTGACCCAAAGCCATGCCGGTTCCACCATGAGACTGAGTGTGGGCACTTGTGAGCGTGCTTCTGGGGCGCACAGGCATCCTGACGGGCCGAAGTGAGAATTCCAGTGCCCCAGTATAGTATATACAATATAATTAGGAGAGAAAGAAGCAGGATATGAAAACATACTTTTTGTTATTGGCATGAAAGGCCATGGTCCTGTCCATGTCCCCAGACTGTGATAAGCCAGGTTAAACTCCAGCACCTGAAAGGTGTTCTCACCTGCAGTGAATCTGTCGTGTGGCTGGTGAGCAGCCCGCTCTTGCCGTAGCCCTGGCCGTGGGCTGTGAGGAGACGTCCGCACAGGTCCACTGCTGCCCTCCAGTTTCTGCAGCTCTGCAAGACACGGCAGAACATGTGACCAAACACACATGCAAGGCATGGTGGAATCCATGACCCAAACGCATAGCCACTGGCCACAGCTGCTCACCTTGCTGGAAGCAGCGCCAGCCAGCCGTTAGTAATGGTGACAACGTCAGTGTGCTGACGGCACGGAGGGGCATGCCATTTGTCAACGCTGCACGTGTAATTAGGCAATAAGAGAGCCAAGCGTGAGGTACAGTTCAAGCCGATCAAATCATAAAAACATTACAATTCAACAACCGATAGAACATCGGGAAGAGGCTTTTTATTGGAAAGCTCCGCACATCTCTCAATCTATATGACTGGTTTCCTTTTTAGCAAGATTATCTTAAGATTTCTGTCAATTTAAAATCAATAAGGAAATTTTATGCTATGTGTTGGACATATTTATTTGTATCTGTAAGATTTGCATATGACTCTAAAATAACTGGCTTTATATGTTCATAATTTTAATTTATCAATATGAAAAAATCAATGAACTGGGTGAACACAACATGTTCCAGGCCCGTGTGGCAATGCACAGTATACTTTCACATCACTTAACGTTACGGCTTCAACATGGAAAGGCTGGCTGGTACTGACACACTGGCTGATTCGTACAGACTCTTGTGTTTATCTTTGCCCTTGTGCAATACAGAAAGGACAGCCATTAGGCAAATGAATGGGAAAATAAGATCAGAATGTTTAAACCTTTTAAGAAGCTAAAAGTGGATGCTCACTCTGTCTTTTCTCAATGTAACGGGCACTATCTTTGAATACGGTAGATGTCCTCATTTCTGCAGCCAGTCAATAAACATGCTTTAAGTACCTCCTGCCTGACAGAGACTGCAAGGCTGGCGGGGAGGTTAGTGAACGAGCACTCATTAGTGGTATGATCTAGCAAGGGAGACAGACAATTAAACAATATGTTTCTCAAGAATTAGCTAAATGATTTTGTGTGCATGCCAAGCGCTTCTCTGACAAGAAGTTTAGGAGTTTACATATTTTAAAAACGTGTGGTAGAGCCTGCCACACACTTCTTCTGTATACTAACTCACACACGCACTACTCCCTTTCCACGCCTCCTGCACTCCACGCCGGGACACAGAGAACTCAGGACCTGCTCATGAAACGCCTAGGAGGGCAATGAGTCTCAGCTTTGCACTACAGTTGTTCTGCAGTCCTTTATTTGGGCTTCCTCAGGCAGGAGCTAACGACCTGCTCCAATTCCAGCCACAGCGGCGGTGTGGGGGGCTGTGTTGAAGGCAGGAGAGTGGGGCTTGTGTCTTCCGGGGTTCTGACATGTGGCCTCACACTCACACTGCAGGCTCAGCAATGGCTGAGTTTACAGAGCTGAGGTCATCTGTCCCACCTCACAGATGTGACAATTAAAGAAGATACATGAAAGTGCTGAGCACAGTGCCAGGCAGGAGGCAGGCATTAAAAATGTGAACGATGCTGTTAAAAATTCCCAAACTGTTTCTTCATCAATCCAGAGTCAGCGTGTGCGTGCCTAGTGAAACTCTATGTGTAAGGAAAGGAACGGGTGCTGGGCCTTGAGCTTCAGACAGGCCAGGCTCTACGCCTGAGTAGCCGTGTGACCTGCTGCAAGCCACCAGCCGTCCCTGGGCTGCAGGCATCTCAGTTTCCTCCAGGTCTTCTGAGGGGTTGATAGTTGTTTTTTTTTTAAATGCTGAACATCCTACTGTCCACATTACCAGTGTGTTTACCCACTGACCTATCGAAGGACCCCTTGGTTGCCTCTAGTTTTTGGCAACTATGGATAAAGCTGGTATCAACATCTTTGGGCAGATTCTTGTGTGGATATAAGCATTCGGCATAACTGGGTGAAATATCCAGGAGCGTAATGCAGTAACTGGATTGCTGGGTTGTACCTAAGAGTATGTTTAGTGTTGTAGGAGGCCGCCAAGCTGTCTTCCTAAGTGGCCGTGCCATCTTGCCTTCCCTAGCAGTGAGGGGTCCCACGGCTGCACGTCCCGTGGCACTTGGTGTTGTCCATGCTATTTTTCAGCCACTCTAACTGGCATGCGTTTCACTCTCAGGTGAACTTTCCACCGTTCTCTCATGGAGTTTTTCCTTTCACTGTACCTGCCACAGCCTGACGGTGAGTACTGGCCTCCACGGCACCCACCAGCGAGCTGCAAATATTAGCAGGGCAACTCAAATGAGATTTCTTAAACTCTATCTTGTAGATTTTTTTTTTTTTTTTTTGGAAATGAGGACACCAGAGCGTACACAGTGCAGTTGGAGTCTGTGGTTTTCTTCACTAGCTGGTGTGCGGCCACTGGACCAAGTCAGAGAACCACTGATCGACGGTGAAGATGAGATCGGTGCCACGTTCCCCTAAACTGTCCAGACTACAGCAAGTAATACAGGATTTCTGTGTTCTGGTTGACAGTTCAGAAGTATTTTTAGATTGGTTACGATAATTTACTAAAACGATCTCCAAATGCCTTCTCTAGTCTAAATTCAATGCAATAATCACTTTATATAATACAAATGGCTCTGTATATTCTCTTTGAATTGCAAATGTGAAAGAGTGAGAGGGAAAGAGATTGTGCCAAGTCTGAACCAGTTCTATATATGCATCTAGGCAGATTCTGTATCCAGGGGCAACTAATAACTGCTCCCTTCCTGGTTCCCTAGGCCTAAGGCTCTGGCCTTTCCTGCTAGAAAGGCTGGGGCCCTCTTCCCTCAGGACATGACCTACAGTGAGGACAGGCAGGAGTTAATCAGGGAAGGGGAGGGGGCGGAGACCCTAGAAGAGGACAGAATGTGTGCAAAACAAGGCGAGAGCAGGCATGGGGGGCACAGGGAGCAGAGGGCAGGGTGCAGGGCCCGAGGGGATGCAGTAAGGACCAGCGGGCCGGAGGGAGGCGGTGGAGGAGGGGCCGAGCAGGTGTGGATGAGGAGAGGCTGGGGAAGCAGGTGAGGATGGGGTGGCACAGGAGGTGAGGCAGAGGAGGGTCGGGTGTGCTGGCCTTTGCAGGCTTCCAAGAGCACAGGCCACAGCAGTGTCGTGTCATCACATTTGAAGGCCCCTGTCTCCCTGCACTGATGGGGTGAACTTAAGGCGTCCGTGTAGATGTGAGTAAAGCTATGAGGATGTTCCAGCAGCTGGGCCTGGTGCTGGCAATCTGTGCACATCCTTTGGACGCCCCCCACCCCCTACTGCCTGAGTTGGTAGGCAGAGCTCACAGGAACCCAGAGCCCAGCCTCGTGTGCACCTGCACGGTGATAAGGTTCTGTGCTACCATGGAAGAGCTGGGCATTCACAGCAGAGCTGAGGAGCTGGACAGATACTGTATGGCCAGGAAGTCTACAATGTTTATTCTATGGTCTTTTACAGAAAACGCTGGCGGATCCCAGGTCTAGGCCCCTCGTGGCTCAGTAGTTCATTTCTGTTGACTTCAAGGAGGACTGTGGGCTGACTTCAGCCCGCGAGTGGCTTGCGTCTGATACCTGAGGACGAGGCACAGGAATGGAGATGCTCCTGTAGTCACGTGACAGAGAACTTTATGTGTATGGCATGCAGTGATAACAAAGCAGGGGCCTGCATTTGGCATGTTTTCCATTTTATTCTTTCATGACTGATTATTGTGAATTAGTTATTATTTATATTGATGGTGCAGAGTGGCAGAAGCAGGCGAGTATTTGTAGAGATATGGTTTTCCCATGTTGCCCAGGCTTGTCTTGAACTTCTGGGCTGAAGTGATCTACTCACCTCAGCCTCCCAGAGTGCTGGGATTATGGGATTACAGGCATTAGCCACTGTGCCTGCCACTATGACAATGTTTTTTTTTTTTTTTTTTTTTGAGACAGAGTCTCTATTGCCCAGGCTGGAGTGCGGTGGCACGATCTCGACTCGCTGCAATCTCCGCCTCCTGGGTTCAAGTGATTCTCTTGCCTCAACCTCCTGAGTAGCTGGGACTACAGGCGCCCGCCACCACGCCCGGCTAAAGTTTGTATTTTTAGTAGAGATGGGGTTTCGCCATGTTGGCCAGGCTGGTCTCGAGCTCCTGACCTCCGGTGATCTGCCTGCCTCGGCCTCCCAAAGTGCTGAGATTACAGGCGTGAGCCATCACGCCCGGCCAATGACCATTTTTAAAAATGAGAAACTTAAGGTTTTAATTCTCGTGGAAAGAAGAACAAAGAAGTTCGATGAGTAAATGTTGGCGGAATCTGCATTTCCTCATTCATTCACTCAGTGGCCATTTACTGACTGCCTGCTGTGAACCAGGCACTGTGCTAGGCTCGGGGGGACACAAGGCCGACGAAGAGGGCCAGGTCCCAGAAGCCAGGGCAAGTTTCCAACATCAGGTCACAATGGTGAGATTTCAGTTCCAGGCAAGAGGGGCAACTGGGTGCTTCTAAACAGAGAAATGTATTTTGAAATAAAATGTTTGGAAAACGAATCCAGCTGCAGCGTACAGACCGACTAGGGCAGTCTAAAGACTGCACGTGGTCAGACGCTGCATCACCTGGCCCGGCAGGAGGAGAGCAGCAGGCAGCGGGGGCGGTGGGGGGAGCCGTGGCTGCTCCCTAGAGGGTGAGAGAGACCCAGAAACAAACTAACCAATAAAACACTAACGTGGAAATCTGAGGGACAGCGCGAACCTGTCTCTACCCACCCAGGGCAGGCCGGACATGGAGACGCAGCAGGCAGATGAGCTGGGTTTTACAAAATGACAGAAGATATAAAAAATGACAAGATGGTGGAACAGTCACGTGAAAAGTGCCTGGTAAACCTGCAGATGGCAGGTTGTAGCTGAGGAGAGAAGACACTGGAGATGCAGGTTTGGGAGAAGCATGTGCCAGGGAGAGGTGACCCAGAGAGGGAGAGGAAGGCCTTCCTGAGAGGAGCGGGAGCAGGTACCACAGAGCATCTGCCCTGCAGCCCAGGAAGGCTGCCCAGCAGGGCACAGTGAAGGGGCAGGGGGAGGGCACAGTGAAGGGGCAGGGGGAGGGCACAGTGAAGGGGCAGGGGGAGGGCACAGTGAAGGGGCAGGGGGAGGGCAGTGAAGGGGCAGGGGGAGGGCACAGTGAAGGGGCAGGGGGAGGGCACAGTGAAGGGGCAGGGGGAGGGCAGTGATGGGGCAGGGGGAGGGCACAGTGAAGGGGCAGGGGGAGGGCACAGTGAAGGGGCAGGGGGAGCGCAGTGATGGGGCAGGGGGAGGGCACAGTGAAGGGGCAGGGGGAGGGCACAGTGAAGGGGCAGGGGAGGGCACAGTGAAGGGGCAGGGGGAGGGCATAGTGAAGGGGCAGGGGAGGGCACAGTGAAGGGGCAGGGGGAGGGCACAGTGAAGAGGCAGGGGGAGGGCAGTGAAGGGGCAGGGGGAGGGCACAGTGAAGGGGTAGGGGGAGGGCACAGTGAAGGGGTAGGGGTGTGCCTAGGAAGTGGCCTGGGGGCCCTGCAGTGCTTCTGCTCTCAGCTTCCAAGGACAGAACTGCCCCTGCGGACACACAGGAAAGCTCACAGAATGCCCCTGATGTTTCGGGGAAGGAATAAAGAAACCTACCTGTGGAAGTCACGGTGCGAATGCCTGTGAGGCGAAGCTGTTACAAGACAGCCCTTAAGGCAGGCTGGGCTGGTGGGGCAGGCTTAGCTCTCTGTTCATACTGATATTAACAGAAGCACCCAGTCACTCCCTCACTTAAGAAGCATCTACTAAGCACCTAAGAGGAGGTATGTCCTAAGTCAGGCAACAGGAGTACAAAGATGAATTTGGCATGAGGGACAGTCATACAGAACAAATGGCTACCAGTGCATCAAGACAGACACAGATGCTCCATCCATACCCACAGTAAGTTAGAAATATCTTGAGATGAAAGTAAGTGGGCCAGGCGTGGTGGCTCACGCCTGTAATCCCAGCACTTTGGGAGGCTGAGGGGGGCGGATCATGAGGTCAGGAGATCGAGACCATCCTGGCTAACACGGTGAAACCCCGCCTCTACTAAAAATACAAAAAATTAGCCAGGCGTGGTGGTGGGCGCCTGCAGTCCCAGCTACTTGGGAGGCTGAGGCAGGAGAATGGTGTGAACCTGCAAGGTGGAGCTTGCAGTGAGCTGAGATCGCACCACTGTACTCCAGCCTGGGCAACAGAGCGAGACTCTGCCTCAAAAAAAAAAAAAAGAAAAGAAGTGAATGCAGGCCAGGCACGATGGCTCACTTCTGTAACCCCAGCACTGTGGGAGGCTGAGCTGGGTGGATCACCTGGGATCAGGAGTTGGAGAGCAGCCTGGCCAACATGGTGAAATTCCAGTTCCACCAAAAATACAAAACTTAGCCAGATGTGGTGGTGAGCACCTGTAATCCCAGCTACTTGGGAGGCTGAGGCAGGAGAATCACTTAAACCTGGGAGAGAGGTTGCAGTGAGCGGAGATCGCACCACTGCACTCCAGCCTGGGCCACAGAGCCAAACTCTGTCTCAAAAGAAAAGAAAAGAAAAGAAAAGAAGTGAATGCACCATCTAACCTACTGAATGTCACAGCATAGCCTAGCCTACCTTAAACATGCTCACAACACTTACATTAGCCTGCAGTTGGGAAAATCAGCCAACACAAGGCCTGCTTTATAAAGTGTTGGACATTTCACGTCATTTCTTGAATTCACCGCGAGTGAGAAACAGAATGGCACGTGGGTGCTCACAGCACAGTTCCCACCGAAAGGGGAGCGCTTTTGCACCATCATAAAGTTGAAAAATCTTAAGTCAAACCACGGAGGTTGGGGACTGTCTGTACATACACACATATGCATAAACACAAGCAGCAGACCCTCTATCTGCCGGGGACCGGTTCCAGGACTCCTGGGATACCAAATCCATGACTGCTCAAGTCCTTGGTTGGTCCTCCGTATCTGCAGGTTCCACACGCGTGGATTCAACCAACCACAGCTGAAAGGTTGCTGTGCATACCTCACTGTGTTTCCCAACTGCGGGTGGTGGAATCTGTGGATGCGGAACCTGTAGATATGAAGGGCCAACGTACGTGATGTCCATAAGAAATACATACATGCACACATACGTGTGTTTATGAAATACGGACACTCCAGTGTGGGAGACACCGAGACCGGTGGCACAGGGGTGGGGAGTCTCGCACGATGAACAAGAGGAATGCACGTCAACGACGGGGAATGGTGTCCCTCGCGGGGCAGAGGCACAAGCGGCACGGCATGGACACGCTTGACAGCTCTGTGAGGACACTGCTGGCACACAGCTCTGTGAGGCACTGATGCCTGAGGATTCAGGAAACGGGCCGACACACGGCAGAGCACGTTCAAGGCACTGCACAGCGGGGACAGCTGGGGGATGGGGTCAGGGGGATGGTGGGGGTGAGGCTGAGCTGGAGCTGGAGCTAGAGGCTGGACCCCAGAGTGGCAGACCCCAGGGTGGCGGCAGGGGGGAGGACAAGAACCCGGGGGGCTTTGAAGGGAGAGAATGAATTCTAAGGACTAAATCCAGAGTGGAGTGACTGCTGCCAGGACCCCACTGCCATGCTTATCTGGATCACACGACGAAGTGAGATTTCTTCTGAGATCACACGTGCCTGGTTTGAGTGACTGGTTACGATGGGTACTGGCTGCCAAGTGGGTCACATTTCCCAAACTGAATGAGCTGAATCTGCAGTCCTACTGCTGATGGAAATATAATTAAATCACATATGCAACATACTATGTGCTAAAAATTAATTATATCCTTTGAAACCATTTAAATTTATGATAAAACATTTTAGATAGCTTAAAAATGTGTGAGGGGTACCTAGTTTTCTAATTCTTTGGGGGGTATTACGTGAATAAAAAGGATACTGAGCTGGCTTAGTGAACAAGGCACAAGGAAACAAGGCCTGAACTAGCACAGGAGGGGAGGGGCAGGGTGGAGGAGACAAACACTCATATGAATTATTTAGGAGGTAAAAGTCCTGGATTCTGGCCAGGGCAAATGGGTACTATCGTAAGCTAACTGAGAGGATACAGCAGAAACAGCAGGCTAAGGTGGCGGGTGCTGGTGAGATGATTACGCATACTGACACCTTTTAAACACTTACAGTACTGTCAGGCAGGTTAGCTGCTTCAACAGAGTTAGCTAACACCCCCATCTACCACCTCATCCCTGTGCACACTGTGGAATAGTACAAACAGTAAGTATGAAGTGAAAAAAGAAAGTCAACTGTGGACAATGGCACAGTATTCTCAGATGCATCCTTGTCGTCTTTTTTTAAAAAAACATACAGTGTCTTGTATCATTTACTCAAAACTTTCTTATATCCTCAAATATGTTCTTGGGACATGATTTATAATGGCTGCATGATATTCAATCACACTCACGTACACATTATTTGTTAATTTGATATTGAACGTGTGTCACCTTTTCAGAAACTATAAAACTGTTCACTAACCGAACACCACTCAACAAGAGCTGCTGGTGCTACGGAACTGGCCGAATGACACTCTATTCATGTTTTATCTAAAAGCTCTTCATCAAGGTTCTCTGGGATGACAATGAGTAATGAAGATAATGAGATAATCCTTTGCCACTACTATGACTAGCTGTCCCAGGATAAAAGAAACCAAGACCATATTTCCTTGAGTCCAAGGAGTCAACTTTTTTGACTATCACAAATGGAAGCAGTACAAAAAGCAACAGAAAAACCAGAGTCCTAAAGAAAGAGGGTATGCAGTGGTTAGACAAAGGAAACTGCCAGTTTTTATGAACAAAAGTTATAAACAGTTAAGAAGAGAAACTGTAAATAATAGTTTTTAAGTTCTACCAGTAACCCGGAGTTGTCCTTCTGCACTAAAAGTATTCAACTGTTTTCTTCTGGAAGGGTCTTTGGGAGCAAAGACCACCATTTATTTTGTATAATAAATGAACAAGATATCTGTACATGGCATATTTTCCTTACTTTTGTGGTAATACAACTCCTATTTATGTCCACTCACGGCTAAGTTGGGCCTTTTCAGGTTGTACTTATCAACTTATGTGCCTAGCTCTGTGTGAAAGGTATTCCTAATTTCATTGAAGTTGTGAGTGTGCTGACCAGGTCTAAAACAACAGAACAGGTCACAGGAAACACAATCATATCAATGATTCGGAACAGATGATGGCCCAGTCTTCAGCTGGCCACCCTGGAGTTGGAGATGACATGAATCCGTTCTAGATGAAGGTGTAGCTGGCCGCTCTGTGTCGCCGAGCCCTCACACGCCCCTGCTCCAGTCAGAGCTCACCTGCACTTGCTCATTGCAAGATGAGCACCCTCAAACCAACCTCAAACCTGATCTTTTTGTTTGTTTTTTGAGACGGAGTTTTGCTGTTGTCACCCAGGCTGGAGTGCGGTGGCGCGATCTTGGCTCACTGCAACCTCAGCCACCTGGGTTCAAGCAATTCGCCCGCCTCAGCCTCCTGAGTACTGGGATTACAGGCGCCCACCACCACACCCGGCTAATTTTTGTATTTTTAGTGGATATGGGGTTTCACCATGTTGGCCAGGCTGGTCTTAAAACTCCTGACCTCAGGTGATCCACCTGCCTCGGCCTCCCAAAGTGCTGGGATTAAAGGTGTGAGCCACCATGTCCAGCCTCAAACCTGATCTTAATGGTGCCTTTCCTGCTCATGGTGAAACCTTCCTATTCTTAATTCCTATTTCTCCTTTAGCTCCTTGGGGCAGTGGCCGCATCTAATGCATTGCTTTTTAATTTCTAAAAGCATTTCTTTAGTGTGGCACTTGGCATGCAAAAAAATTGTGGAACAGACAGTAAATTCATAGCACTACAAGAAGACAGTACAAGAATAAACTAATGCTTAATTAACCACACTAGTAATCAAAGAAATGCAAATTATAATTTACTAGTGAGTTGATCTTCACTAGCAAAACAAATAAAAAGCAAATGTCATTGTTAGCCTAAAAAAATTAGAATTTTTTTAAAAAAAGATACAAGTCAGGATAGGCAAGGAGATGCTACAGCCAGTGCACTCAGGTGCTGTGGAAAACATAACCTGGAATGACCTTCTGAACGACAATGGGGAGTATTTATGAACAGCCTTTGACTTCAGAATTCTCCTCCTAAGACTTATCCTAAAGAAACAATCACATATGTAGAATTCTGTATAAGACAGTTCATCTTAAGATTATTTACAATAACTTCAGATTATGTGGCTATTAAAATGTTTTTAAAGACCCTTTTATATGGGGAAATGCTAAATATATAATACATAATAAAAAGACACAAATTGATAGAAGCATATGAATTTTGTGCCTAAGCATATATACACAAACATGTATCTCCATCTTCATACATGCACACTATGTATAGTATAGATATGCACACACATACGTATAACACATACACTAAAATGTAAAAGGACAGTGGTTATATAAGCAATCTTTTTTTCAGTTTTTCTTTTCTCTTTTAGATACAGGAACTTGCTATTTGTGAAGGGAGGAAAAAAGAGTTTTGTGAATGAAAAAATAATGATGGATCAGCACTCATGCAGACAGCGCTTTGATGTCCTGGCCTGTCAGAAATCAACCGTGTGCATGTCACTTCTCTCCACACAGTGACGCCCTCAGTCTCTGTACCTAGAACAGTGCTTGACATGCAGGAACCAAATTCAGGCTGGTTGAAATAATACAGCATTTTCACAACAAGTATGGAAGGTGTAAGTTACTACTAAGTATAGCAGCTAAAGCATAAGCAAAGTTTTGGGTTTTTCTGAAAAACAAAAGGATTTTGATACAGTAGATATGGAATCTCCTGATGTTCAATTCTGTGATGCCACACAAAGCCCAGTGAACTCAATTTGTTTTTTATTTCATTTTATTTGTTTTTGAGATGGAGTCTCGCTCTGTGGCCAGGCTGAAGTGCAGTGGCGTGATCTTGGCTCACTGCAACCTCCGCCTCCTGGGTTCAAGCCATTCTCCTGCCTCAGCCTCCCGAGTAGCTGGGACTACAGGCGTGCACCACCACGCCCAGCTAATTTTTGTATTTTTACTAGAGACGGGGTTTCACCATGTTGGCCTGGATGGTCTTGATCTCTTGACCTCGTGATCTGCCTGCCTCGTCCTCCCAAAGTGCTGGGATTACAGGCATGAGCCACCACGCCTGGCCCTCAATTTGTTATCTATTTGATGGACCTCAAAGGCAATTTGAATTTGTGTGGGCACAAAAACATATCAACGGGAAGATCTGATTATGGATACTTACGTATTTTTTAAACAAGTAAGACATATTTTACAGTAAAGGCTTCCATCTCATTTTATACCCACTATGTATAGATACTCGCCACCAATCAAACATTTACATGTGTAATAAAATTATTTGCAAGGGCTTTGCAAACATAAAGTACTCCATAAATGATTAAAAATAGTAAAACATATCATATAAAAAGCCTTCAGCTTTTGCCATGATTTCATATTCTAAGACTTATTTTCTATGTCTCACACTAGATCACAACTATTAAAAATAAAGCAAATGCCTACCATCTTAATTATTCATTTCTTTGGGAAATGTAAATCTTTTAAAAAGTGGCTTCTTTCCTGACTGAAAATAGAAAGCAGAAATGTTTATGCTCTTGTTACGGTTTCTCCCAATATAATTTTTCCACAGATGACTGAATATGAAAGATTTACTTGGATAATTGCTGCTATTGATTAAGTGTGCACTATTAGAGTGAGCAATTTACTGGTTAATATCGATTGGTCTATAAATGACATGCAGTCATATCTACACAAACTTACACCAACCCGAGAGCCAATTTTCTAGGAGTCAGAACAACCCAATTCCCTGAGACGATAACACAAAAGAGCACGTGGCAGAGAGAGTCTGGGCAGCCCTTTCCACCTGCATCTCCCAGGTGGAGGCGCAGAGGGCTCGGCGCTGGCAGACCTGCTGGGGGACACGGAGTGGGGAGCAAAGGGGCAAGGCCCAGACCCAGCCTCACACCTCAGCTGGGGAGAGCCCCCACTGCAATTCAGGGCAGACGTGACTGAGAGAGCCCCTTCATCTCTAATTTAGATGTGGTGTGAGAGTCAGATGCATCAGTAGAGGGAATAGAAACAGGATTTTTTCATTTCTTCCCCTTTTTTTTTTTTTTTTTTTTTTTTTTTTAAAGACAAAGTCTTGCTTTGTTGCCCAGTCTGGAGTGCAGTGGTGCGATCAGGGCTCACTGCAGCCTCCACGGCCTGGGCTCTGGCAATCCTCCCACCTCAGCTTCCCGAGTAGCTGGGACTACAGGTGCGTGCCACCACATCAGGCTAATTTTTAAATTATCTGTAGATAAAGGGGTCTCACTATATTGCTCGGGCTGATCTTGAACTCCTAGACTCAACTGATTCTCCTACCTCAGCCTCCCAAAAGTGTTGGGATTGCAGGCATGAGCCATTGTGCCCAGCCAGATGATTTTCTTTGTATAATCATTTAGAAAAACATTAAAGGAAAAAAAGAGAAGAAAACACATTATTTACCATTTACAATTTATACTTTCCCAAATGGTGATTTTTTCTGATAAGAGAATATAAAATATTTGTCTATAGTTCCAGTTTACTTTGTATTTCAAAAACATTTCTAGGCACAGGAATATTTTTGTTCACACCAAAGGAGATGAACTGAGACCATAACTGTCTCTCCTCGCTGAGGTCAGGCTTTGCTATCATATCCTTTGTCGGGGGCCTGGCAGGACATGATGGCTACTGCATGGTCACAGGAGTTTCTGAAGAGAGTCTTAACTTTTTGCAAAGTTGTGAGCAAGGGACAGTGACGTGCCCAGGGCATGGCACCAGAGGGGACTGGGCTGCAAGACAGCTGTGGCAGCCTCAGGAAGAGGATCACAGCCGCCAGGAGACTGCCCCTGGCCGGGCAGGGCTCAGGAGCCACGGTGCACATAGCTCTGTGCCGCAGCGGGCCGCGCAGGGCAGGAAAGGAGCGTGTGTGGGAACAGGTGCACGTGTGGGATATCCAGGGCGGCACAGAGTGAGCTTGGTCAGGTCGCACTGTGCTGCCCGATCAACTGCATATAACATAATTCTCTTCTTTTGGATATTGAATATTAAGATTTTTAATAGAATTTTTGGCTAAGTAACATAAGTAATACAGCAGCAAACATTCTTGAATGTCTTTTTACACACATGTACAAGTTTTTCTAAAGTATATAATTGAAAGTGGGATTGTTGAGTCAAAAGTTATACAAAGCATGTACTTTATTGTTATTATTATTTTTTTTTAAATTTTTTTTGAGACAAGGTTTTACTGTGTCACCCAGGCAGGAGTGCTGTGGCCCGATCATGGCTTACTGCAGCCTCAACCTTCCAAGGCTCAGGTGATCCTCCTGCCTCAGCCCCACAAGTAGCTGGGACTACAGGCGTGTGCTACCACACCCAGCTAATTTTTGTACTTTTAGTAGAGGCGGGGTTTTGCCATGTTGCCCAGGCTGGTCTTGAACTCCTGGGCTCAAACGATCCACCCACCTTGGCCTCCCAAAGTGCTGGGATTACAGGTGTGAGCCACCACGCCCAGCTTTATTAGCTATTGTTAAATTGCTCTGCAAGACAATTCACGTTCGAATCAACAATGTGTGCTGCCTACCCTTACTAACTGGTGCTGCCAGTGTGATAGGCTTGTCCGCTTCCCTCCTCTTTAGTGTTTCTCCTGGTACAAGCCTCCAACTGGAGGCACGGTAGACATTTCCTTGGCCACACATGTCAAGCACACGTGTTTGGAGGTTTATTTTTACCAGCCTCGGCAGAGCACAGCCTCAGCATTCTGATCTTCAGACTTGTCCAAGAGGTGATGTGGAACTAGCAGAGCCAGGGCTCTTGTTTAATGGACAAATGCTGGAGAGGGGACGACCGGCCAGGAGGAACCAGCACATCCTTCCAAGGTGGGATGTGACTGTGGCTACTGTGAGAGCCAGAGCCAGTTCTTATGATCGCATGCCGTCTGCTATTTGAAATTATAATTGCTTATTTTCTTAGTGTGTTTTTTGCTATTTTTATCTTATTATTTTCCACCTTATTCCCCTTCCTGGTGGCCCTCCTCCATTTTCTTTTTCTTTTTTTTCTTTTTTTGAAACGGAGTCTTGCTCTGTCGCCCAGGCTGGAGTGCAGTGGCGTGATCTTGGCTCACTGCAAGCTCTGCCTCCCAGACCATTCTCCTGCCTCAGCCTCCCGGGTAGCTGGGACTACAGGCACCCGCCACCACGCCCGGCTAATTTTTTGTATTTTTAGTAGAGATGGGGTTTCACCGTGTTAGCCAGGATGGTCTCGATCTCCTGACCTCGTGATCTGCCCGCCTCGGCCTCCCCCCTCCTCTATTTTCAATGATAGATGTCAGAAATATGAAGCAAAGAAACTATTTTTAAAATCAGAATCTAAAGTATACCACATAAAACTTTAAACTTTGTGAAAGAAATCTTATGAAAATCTCATAATTACTGTACATGACATGTAAAATTCTAATAATGAAGTTAGTCTGATATGAGATAAAGATTTTAGATAAAAACTACTTTTACGTTTTTTTGCTAGGAGTACGATACAGGGTCTATTTGAAAAACTGAACGTAGGCATTACACAATTTCCAAATGATGAGAAAAATAGTCTAATAAAAATCACTCAAGTAACTAATGGCATGTACATAACTTTTCTCCATCTAAGACTCAAAGGGAATTATTACCTCTACATATGATACCATTAAAGTGATTAACACGTCCTTCTCCCAGGCTGTGACATCCATTTCCCTGTAAATTACAATCTTAGGAAACTCTGACATAACTTAGGGAAATAATTCAAAAACCCTTTCCTGGCTGCCTTAAAGACAACACGAATTATTTTAGGACACACTAGAATTAAAATACCAGGGCAAGGTAAAGATCCTTTCATAAATACATTTTTCACCTTACGTAAGCTCCCTTGTTAGGCCTGTTAATAAAATTTCTGATGGTCTCAAGTATTTCCAACGTATGAAACACATCAAACCATTGTATATATTTATTAATAACAGGAACGATCAAAGAGGGTAAAAAATAGCCTGTAGAAAAAATTAATTATAATTAACATGCATGGCTTTGTGTGTGATTTTTAAACCCATTATTATAAAGCCCTGTCATGCTGCCAGTTCAGTTCCTGCCTCAAGAGGATACATCACAGCAGCTTCCCCATGGCCAAACCAAGGGGCCACGCCCACACCCTTGGGAACAGAGCATGGGCCAGGGAAATGGCCACCCTGGAGATCCGTAACTGCATTAGCAAATTATAAAGGATACAGATACTTACAAATTAGCTGTTTTTTCCCCTTTAAAAAAGAGTATCTCCATCTCTCTCCTCTCCAAAGCTTTCTAATCATAGAAATAATTACAGAATCACTTTGGTAAAAGAAACTCAAAGAAGCATTCGACTGACATTGACTCACATTTAAACTTGGTGTGATGTGTGAAGGTAAGCAAGGGATGCTTGTTTACCTTTTTGAGGACACGCTTCTGTAAATACGGTAAAGAACGTGGGGAAGAAAGGCAATTTGGGGAGCATAGTTTCCAGTGGTTCACAGGCTACCAGAGGATTCAGACAGCAAACACCTACACCTAAGATAATTTCCTGCTTCTATTTTAGGAGAGGGTCTCTGCCTGGGTTTTTGCGCTTACTCCGAGTTAATGAGTACAGACCTGTGTGTGTATGTTGCGTGACCATGTGAGTGACAGTTCCACAGCTTGGGGAGCGTGGTGCAGAGGAAGGAGGAGAGGGAAGCGTCTCTGGGGAAGGTTTGGCTTCTCTGAGTCTGGAAGGGTCCTTCAGTCTCTGCAAGTCAGGGAACAGCTGGGAACTTTGCTCTGGGGCAAGAGGCCTGAGGGATTCATGCTGGAGCTCTCGGGATTCCCGCCAGTTACAGAAGCAGGGTTGTGGGAACTGGTATTCAAGATGTAGTACAAGCAGCTTCCCTATGGGAAGTGGATTCAGGGCATGAGGAGAGAAAAGAGAAACTTCACTGCCATGGGTTAGGAGTGCAGCTGAATTTGTGTCTGTGTCTGAAGACACTGATGAAGAATCATAAGAGTTACAATAAATTTGTGAATCTGGAATATATACTTCTTTTAAAAATAGTGTATGAGCTTCAAGTCAGCAATAAGTAAATTAAAAATAATAGAATAGCACTTCTAAATCTGAGTAAATCCCATAAATGGTTAAGAAGGCAGAACTTCACGGAGCAAGAGCACTAGCTTAGCAACCTTTATTGTTATTGCTGGAAAGAGAAGAGGCTTAATATGTGTTTGCTCAATGAATACACTAAGAAACACAAGTGAGAACTTGTTTGTTTGAATCCCATCAGATATAAGGTCTTCTCATGGGAAATCCTACCCCTGGATACAATCCAGTCCTAGAAGCTGTATTGAAAAGCGTAATTCCCACGGTGTGTAGATCCGACGGTTCAGAAATACTAAGTCATTTGGTGGGAGGTAGTCAATGAGCAAAACCAACACCAGCAACTGTGCTTTTTGCTGGGCTGTGCGGACTGTGTAAGGGACATGGGGCAGTAGGGATGGTACTGGTAACAGGAGCAAGGACATTTGTTTGGGGCCAACCTCTACACCTTTGTAGATCTTAGTGTTCTAATCTACAAAGCGGGCATTTTGGACTATGTTAGTTTTTCAAATTTTTAAATAGTAAAATTCATCCTCCTTTCCCCCCACCCCCCCAAAAAAAGACATCTCAAGAGAGACTTCTACATAAAGTAGACCCTGCTGAAATGCTCTGCCTGACACTGGCCCTACCAAGTCACCTCCGCAGGCCATGCCCAGTCACCCCAAGGTCCCTCCCTGGAACCCGAGGGTTCTCAGAATCACAGTTTGAAAATGTGCTGGATTCGATTTTCATTCCTTTCAAATCCTTCCTTTCCTTTTCTGTCATTGCAGAGGAAGAAATGTTCCATCTTTCTCCAGACTAATCTTCTTGTGGTTTCATCTCCTCACTCTTTGCGCCCCCTCCCCCGTAACCGCCCCCCACTCTATCCTTTTGTATGAGCTCCTTCTCTATTTCTTTAAACCCAACATTCTGACGCTACTTCTTTATCAAAAGAGTAGCTTACCGACTGGGGGTTCTCTTATCTATTCATTCCCTCATCCCTTTATTTACTCAAGAAGACGCCGTGTACCCATTCTGTGCCTGACCGTGCTGGGTCCTCAGATGCACTGGTGAACAAGACACGCTTCCTGACTGTCACGGTGTTTATTACAGATTTTTAATTTTTGTAGGTTGGCTCTGTCTCCCCCAAGTTACAGCATTTGTTATTGACACTGATGACATGTCACCTCCCAGTTCATGCATATAATGAAGTCAGGATAAAATCCAAGTAACTAAGGCTGCTTTGCCAATGTTCGGTACTTTCTCAAAAACAGGCTTTTTGGGCAAAACTCCAAAAAAAGATTTTTTTGGGAAAAAGATCAGGGATCAAAGGAAGTTAAAAATCAAGATCGAGAAGAATATAAGAAACTGACTTTTGAGTAAAATGGGGAGGATTCTATATTTTTTCCTTTAGGCTCTCTTAGGAAGCAAGAGATCTGCTGACAATAGAACACTAGAAAGTAGAAAGTCAAAGAGAAGTTTAAAATCAGAAGAGAGGGACTAGAAAATCCAGGAACCCAGGGCACGATGTCCCTGCGCGACCTCACAGCAGAGTACAGCCCCCACCCATGCTTCGGAAAGGCCCTCACACAACCGCGATCTGGGTCATCACAGCCGGGAGCCAGGCCCCAGGCAAAGGGGTTCCAGGTGGCCCGGTCAGCGTAGCAGGCAGTCCCCAATCCATACTGAACCCAGGAAAGCTTCTAAAGTGTCACAGAAGTCACAAGACCACACATAATAAGGATTTGTCTGAATTCAAGAGAACTAGTCAATTAAGGAAAAAATTTTGTTACTTTGTTAAATGCTCCTGTTAAAGATCAAGAAATCACTCCTCTCCTGGCTCAGGATTTCAGCCTCACAAACATCAGTCATTTCTGGCAGAATGGGGACAGGCTATACCTCACTTTCAAATACAGAGGCAGAGGTGATGTAACAAAAAAGGAACTGGGATTATTTTCTTCTGAACTTCACTGTAGTCTTCTTGCAAGTAAGTGATTTACATATTACTGTTTTCACACAAAAGACAGTTGCCTCTGAGCTGGGACTGAGCCACGCGCTACTCCAAAATAAACTTTAAAACATTCTCATTTTCTGTTTTAGTTCACAGGCTAACCTTCACCTGTCATTTCAATGGGCTGCAAAGTTTAATCCTCCAGAAATTTCTAAACTTCTCAACTATTATATCTTTAGGAACTAAAGTTTGCTTAAAATAGGTGAAATCTGGTCGGGTGCGGTGGCTCACGCCTATAATCCCAGCACTCTGGGAGGGTGAGGCAGGCGGATCACCTGAGGTCAGGAGTTCAAGACCAGCCTGGCCATGGTGAAACCCTGTCTCTACTAAAAATACAAAAAATTAGCCGGGTGTGGTGGTGCACGCCTGTAATCCCAGCTACTCGGGAAGCTGAGGCAGGAGAATCACTTGAACCCGGGAGGTGGAGGTTGCAGTGAGCTGAGATCACGCCATTGCACTCCAGCCTGGGCAACAAGAGTGAAACTCCATCTCAAAAAAAAAAAAAAAAAAATTGGTGAAATCTGAAGCCCGGTGCAGAAGAATTAGTAACAATTGAGAAAAACAAGATGGGGAACTATTAGAAAAATAAGTAAATTAGGAAATTCCATTCTCTTTTTTGAAAGTTGAAAGGTGAATACATGTCCTCCAGATTGTTCACCCAAATGGAGAGTGTCTGGACCATGTGCCGCTGAAATACAGTCAGGATAAGGGCGCATTTCAACATGAGTTTCAGACAGCCGGTGGGACTTATTCCCAAAATCAAGGACCTCACTCTCCAAACCCCTTCAAGAAAGTGTGCCCACTAACTTGACTGCATGCAGGCATGGGAGCATGGCTTTGCTAAGTCCACTCTAGGCAACCGTGTGGATGAGCTAGCAGAGCAATTCCACAGCCCCCTAAGGAGACAACACTGGGGAGCTGAGATTCGGTGTGAGATGGGGCTCTCATTTCAGAGTACTTACCCCATGGCTACCATAGGATTCCTGAAGGAAACATACGCGACAAACTTCCAATATCTTCTCCTTAATCTAGAAAAGCTACCCAACGCAATTACAGCTGTCTTTAAGATTATAAATTCATTGGAAACAAATCAACCTGTACAGCAATGGTGATCCAGTACTAATGTTTTTTTATTTTTATTTTTTTGAGACGGAGTCTCGCTCTGTAGCCGAGGCTGGAGTGGCAGTGGTGTGATCTCGGCTCACTGCAACCTCCACCTCCCGGGTCCCAGTTCAAGCGATTCTCCTGCCTCAGCCTCCTGAGTATCTGGGATTACAGGAACGCACCACCATGCCCAGCTAATTTTTGTATTTTTAGTAGAGATGGGGTTCACCATGTTGGCCAGGCTGGTCTTGAACTCCTGACCTTGTGATCTGCCCGCCTTGGCCTCCCAAAGTGCTGGGATTACAGGTGTGAGCCACTGCGCCCAGCCATGAATTTTAAAAACCTACTTATAGAATTCATGACAAAGCTTAAAAATGTTCAGAAATTCACCCATTCAATAATAAACTTTCTACACAAAATGCAGAAAATGCAATATATTTAAAAAATGAACACAAATCATTTATCTCTATTATATATGATGAAGCAAACTCAATCAAAGTATGCACTGCTTTGAGTAATTTGATCATTTCCAATAATGGCTTTTTAACTAATTAGGCTTAAAAGTATCCATGTATTAATATGATGCTTTTTGGTGCACAGGACTGGCATCTACTCCAACAAAATTCTACTTATGTGCAAGAGCTTTGAATAATATTCAAAATAATTGACTTCTAGAGAAAATATTATGAAGGCAGGCAGGACTTATCACAAAACAACACTGAAATCAAACACATTGTCACTTACGATTAGCTGTTTCAATCCAACAAAAGATTGTTCCACTGAGTCGGCATTTAGGACTTGTCTCTTTGCTGCAGCTTTTTCACCCAGAAAGCGAAGCATCAAGTCTTTAACTGCATCTCCCTGGGAAGAATAGAAGAAAAATATGTCAAGACAATAAAATGTCAACTAAACTCAGCTAACCAGAACCCATAACTAAACACAATTTCTTTTTTCTCCACTGGCTTGTGGAGGTAAAAGTAACGGTTATAGTATCGTAAAACTTCAATTAACCAGAAGCTAAATTAGCACAATCGTTAATAAAATGCATAATTTTAGAATTGCTCTTTATTCTTTTTATTTTAAAAATTATATCTTTATTCACCACTGATCAGAAAGCATGTTCTTTATTCTGAAGAGGAAACGGTAAGTCCTACCGCCTACTACCAGGCTTGTAGTGAGAGGCAAAGCCAAGCCAGCAGAGAGGCCTCAGGTGAGGGGCCTAGGGAGGCCCAGGAGCATGAAGGTGACACTGCTGGGGACCAGGGGCTGCACCCACAGTGGCCAGCCTCGCGCTGGTGCAGGCAGGCCTGAATAGTCTTCCCAAATCTCATCAATGCCTCCATGCTTGCCTGGACCTCCAGGAAAGCCTGGAGGGCTAGGGCTAAAGAAGTTAAATTACCAATGGCCCTCTCTTCAGTGCTGAGGTCACCAGCCAAGCCAAAGGAAAACTGAGACCCCCTTTCACAGCAGGTCCTCGGTAGCCTCGCTGAGCCAGGCCTTGCTCCAGGAGCTGCTGGGCGCACTTCATGCTGCAAGCCAGGGAAGAATCCAGTTGCCTCTGCACGGGACCGTTTCTACTCCTGACCTGACTCCTCTGATTAGAACGATCTTTAGACGGTGCTGAAGAACACTGGACGTGGAATCTGAAGCATGCCACTTGCTTTAAAGGGAAGACACAGAAGGGCAAGGGGAGGGAGAACAGGTGCTTTTGTGTGGCCTGGGGACAGAAGAGATGTGCCAATGACCTGCCCTGAGCAGGGAGCAATCTCACAGCTAGTGTCAAGCCCAGATGCTGGGCGAGCCAGCCTTCATGACCCTCGGGAGTCGGCACAGTTCAGGGGCCCCAGGGAAGGGCCTGAAGTTACCAAGTCTGTTGTATGGGGACAAACTAGTCATCCCAACAGTGCAGAGAAAACTGTCACAGTCCACAGGCCTCAGTGCTGTTTCGGTGGCTGCACCGCAGGCCGAGGGAGAGTCCAGGGTAAGTAAAGGCTGCTCACAGGACACGATGCTCTCCACGGGCGGCAGGAGACGCCTCTCACACACAGCTGGGACCAGGACACAGCCCTGGACCATCTCTCTCCTTTCTGGGGGTGCTGCTGACTGAGGAAAGGCACCTGGGAAGGGGCAGCAGCACTGAGGTCCCTGAAACACCTGAGGCAGGGGCAGCTGGGGGGATAGAGCAGCCCAGGGGGAAAGGGAAGCAGCGCTGAGGTCCCTGAAACGCCAGAGACAGTGAGTATCCTGGGAGGAGGAAGCAGTGGCTCTGAGGTCCCTGAAACGCCAGAGACAGTGAGTATCCTGGGAGGAGGAAGCAGTGGCTCTGAGGTCCCTGAAACGCCAGAGACAGTGAGCATCCTGGGAGGAGGAAGCAGTGGCTCTGAGGTCCCTGAAATGCCAGAGACAGTGAGCATCCTGGGAGGAGGAAGCAGTGGCTCTGAGGTCCCTGAAATGCCTGGAGACAGCAAGCAGCCGGAGCTGGCTGGATCTTCCCTGACACGTGCTCTGGGCGTCTGGCCCGCAGCAGCTGCTGACAGGGACACAGCACAAAGTCCCTGCAGTCTCTCGGGTGAGCAGAAGAAAGACTCAAACTAGGACAACCCCAAGATGGGGGGTGGAGAAAGCCAAGATCTCTCCATCTCAGCACAAAGCTGCCTCCCAGCCACAGAGAAGCTGATGCTCATGCTGCAGGCGGGCCACTGGGAGCACGCAGTGACTGAGGGTGCAGAGAAGCCTGCGTGCCCCCTGCCTGGACTTCACCGCTGGCTCAGATCTCTTCCTATTGTTCTCCTACCCTTTTTTTTTTGGCGGCGGGGCGGTGGCGGGGGGAGCGGGGGAAAGAAAAGCATAGAAGTTGTTTCTCCTAAGAAGCAAGGTTATTTCAATCTTTTGCTATCTTTCAAAATAGTGACACTTAAAAGAAGAACAGAATCTAGACCATGAGAGCAAGAGAATCAGAAAAGCTGCTGACATTGCTTCTCTGCTCTGCTGCCTCCCTTCTACCAGGAGAGATCAACAGCCTGCGGCAGAAGGGGCTGGGTGGCTCCAGGTCATAGGTCTGTCTCTTCCCTGGGTGCTAAACCTGGTGCTCGCAGAGGCCAGCCTCACGTTTTCTCACATTGAGGAAAAGACCTAGGGGCAGCAGTTGTATAATTTCTGCTTTCAGAGCATAAGGTGAAGTACTTCAAATACCAGATCCACAAAATCAGCTAACTGATCTAGCAGCAATAATTAAAAGGCAAAATAAAAGAGTTCAGACACAGGGCCCCATAAAGCTCTGCAAAAATGCAACTCGTCTCAGACAAAGAGCATCTCAGCCAGGGGGGCAGCGAGCTGGGTAAAGAGCAAAATCAAATTGTAATGCCAGGGACGGAGGGCCAATTCAACTCCTCCATCCCCACAACATTATCAATGAGACCATGCTGTGAAAATCTCTTGTCCTTAAAATTCTCTGTTAGTTAATATTTTAGCTACCACAGCAAGTTCCTGAGATACTAGCATATGCATGACTATCAAATATCCCACCAACAGAGGGCCAAGGATGTGACAAGCGTCTTAGGACAAACCTCGCCCTTGCTGTGTGGCTAACTGAAGGTGGTGACAGCGCAGGGAGGTGGAGACGCTTGTACTGCATCTCCTCTAGCCGTTACTGTGCAGGGGAGGTGGGAGGGGGAGGGAACTTCCCCCAGGGCTTTCTAGAGAGCTGTGCTACTACACCTGGGATGGAATCCAGCTAGAACCAATGATTCCTTCAGACCAGCAAGCCATTCAGTGAGGGTCTACTTTATCCAGGGCAAGGTTCAGGGAACACGAAGGAAACACATGAATATATCACAATCTGGGACTCATCGTGATGTCGCCACCCCATTCTCCTGGTCAGGTGCATTTATGGAGGAGCAAGTGGCTGTTCTCACGGCTGACAGGCGGTTAGGGCCTGGCTGCCTTTCCTGCAATGGGGGAATAGTCTCAGTAGTCCCTTCTTGATTTTGATGGTGAAAGACAAAACAGAAGCCAGAGCAGTGGACTGAAAGCGTATGGGCCTTACTGTCTGGGAAGCCCAAAGACACAAATGCTCACGGGGTAGCGCTGCTGAAAGGCAGCAGCCCCTGCACCTGGCACAGAACACGCTGAGCTTTCTGCCACATCGCCAATGCAGAAAGGTGCCTGTTTATCCTGGCAGGGTCTATCCTCTGATCCAGTGTTTGCTTACTCCAGGGAAAAATGAGACCACCTGAACAAAAAAACCACAACAATTAAAACCCAAACCCAAACTCAAGGATGTGGAGCAACTGGAACCCTCACACACCACATCATTGGTGGGGAGTCAACATGGAATAGCCATTTTAGAAAACTGTCTGGCGGGGCCTCAAAATGTTGAACAGAGTTACCACAGAATCCAGCAAGTCCACACCTAGCTATACATCCCAGATCACTGAGAACACATAGACACAAACGCCTGTGTGTGAATGTTCACAGTAGCATTACTCACAACAGCCAAAAGGTAGAAACAGCCCAAATGTCCACCAACTGATGAATGAATAAAAAGCAGCAGTAATTTGCTTCTGTCCATTTCAGGGTAACTGGGACTGGACTGTCTTGATGTGAACAACTGCAACATTGCTCAGAAGAAATCTAACAACTGTCTTCAGACACAGCAAAGGACTGTGACCCAACAGAAGGAAAACATGAGTTGAACTCTTGAACCCAATGGCACTTTTTGGACCACATTGCAGGAGGAGAATCCCAAGCAGGGTTTGGGACATCAAGGAGGTTAAGGCGGGTGGGCTGATGAGCTTGAGACTGTACTCAAATATGCTTTCCCAACATTCTTATTTTGCTAAATTATTAACAACAATGGGAGACAGAGAAAGTGTGAGAGTGTATGTGTCAGAAAGAATATACATTATCTCTATATAATAAGTTCCACCTACATAATCCTTTGTGGTTTATTCTAAAAACCCAGCTACAATTTATAACATAATTTACTAGAAAATGGTTTTGGAACATACTTACAAACTGGATAATTCTTATATCCAGAGATCTAGAAAGGAGGGAGCTAAGCAGAGAAAGGGTTTGTGTGGGAGCCCTTGAGTTTACTGCTGACACTCAGCTGTATGTGCAGAGAGTGCAGCTCTGAAGGCAGGAAAGGATGAGGTGCTGTGAGCTGACAAGCCCAGAGCTCACACAGGGCTGTGGGGTGTTGAGTGTGGGTCTGCCATGGACAGAGTCCTGTGAGCTGGCAAGCCCAGAGCTCACACAGGGCTGAAGGGTGCTGACTGTGGGTCTGCCATGTTTAGTGCTCTCACTGAACAGAAGGGGAATTCAGTACAGACTTCAGAAAGGTCACCCAAAAGTAGAAGCTACTGCTCTAAAGTCATTCTAAAAAGTCTAAAAACAAACATGAAACTAAATCTGTAAATAAGTTACTTGCTTGTCAGAATAAAGGGCAAGTCTTTTCAAAGGAAGATGAAAAAGCTAGACACACAACCTGAAATCCACAATGTCCACCTTCTAATAAAAAATTACTAGACATGTAAAACATGTGTCCCGTAACTAAGAGAAAAAGTACATAAAAATAGATGCAGATATTACATAGATAATGGAACTTTCAGATAAGAACTTTTCTTTTCTTTTCTTTCTTTCCTTTTTTTTTCTTTAAAGAGGCCTATGTTGCCCAGACTGGCCTCACACTCCTGGGCTCCAGTGATTCTCCTGCCTCAGCCTCCTGAGTAGCTGTGACTATGGGCACATGCCACCACACCCAGCTCAGAAGACAACTTTAAGGTGCCTCTTATAAATGTTCTCAAGAGTTTAAAGTAAAGCTTGAAAATGATAAAAGAAAAATGATACGAAAAAGAACCAAATAAAAATTCCAGAGGTAAAAAACATGGAAAAGTCACTGAATAGGATTAGCTGCAAACTAAAAAGTCTGAAGAAAAGATAAGTGAACTTAAGGACAGCAGTAGAAATTCTAAACTTAACCACAGAGAGAAAGACTGCAAAATAAAAACACAAAAACAGATCCTCAGTAGCTTCTGTGGCAATATGAAGCAGTAGGTATACCTGGAGTTTCCAGAAGTAGGAGAGAGAAAAAACACAGAAAATACCTGAAGAAATAATGACCCCAAATTTCCCCAAATTGACAAAAATGATAAAGTCTCAGATCCAAAACAGCCAATGAATGCCGAGCAAAATAAACATAAATCCCATGTGAAAGTACATCAGAACCAAACTGCTGAAAAACCAGGGATAAATCATAAAAGCACCCAGAGGAAAAATATACAATTAGGTACAGAGGAGCGAGGATAAGAATTACTACAGACTTCTCATCAGAAACTATGCAAGTCAAAAGACAGTGGGATGGCATCTTACAAGGTCTAAAAAGAAAAAAAAAAAAACCTGTCAACCTAGAATTCTACATACTGTAAATATGTTGTATATTTGGCAAAAATAAACTTTAATAACGAAGATGAGGCTGGGCATGGTGGCTCATGCCTGTAATCCCAGCACTTTGGGAGGCCAAGGTGGGCAGATCACTTGAGGTCATGAGTTCAAGACCAGCCTGGCCAATGTGGTGAAGCCCTGTCTCTACTAAAAATACAAGAACTAGCCAGGCGTGGTGGCTCACTCCTGTCATTCCAGCACTTTGGGAAGCTGAGGTGAGCAGATCACTTGATGTCAGGAGATTGAGACCAGCCTGACCAACATGGCAAAACCACGTGTCTACTAAAATTACAAAAATTAGCTGGGTGTCGTGGCACATGCCTATAATCCCAGCTACTCAGGAGGCTGAGGCAGGGGAATTGCTTGAGCCTGGGAGGTGGAGGTTGGAGTGAGCTGAGATTGTGCCACTGCACTCCAGCCTGAGTGACAGAGTGAGACTGTGTCTCAAGAAAAAAAAAAAAAAATTAGCTGGGCGTGGTGGTGCGTGCCTGTAGTCCCAGCTACTCTGGAGGGTGAGGCATGAGAATCACTTAAACCTGGGAGGCGGAGGTTGCAGTGAGCTGTGATTGTGAAACTGTACTCCAGCCTGGGCGACAGAGCAAGATTCTGTCTCAAAAAAAAAAAAAAAAAAAAGTAATAATTTTGAAACTAATAAAAGCTGCGAGAATCTGTAGCTAGTATACCTGCACCCCAAAATTAAAATTTCTGCCCTTCAAAAGACACCTAAGAAATTGCAAAAACAAGACATAGAATAGTAAAAAAAAAAAAAATTGCAACACATCTATTGTGTATGATAGCTCATTTCCAACCAGGATATTTACAGAATTCTTAAAACACAGTAACAATAAGACAAACATCCGAAGTTTGAAAGATGGAGAAAACGTTTGAAGAGATGCTCTATAAAGATATACAAACCGTCTACATATCAAAGGATTAATACATGAGATCCTTTGTATCAAGTAGTCTATATAACCTCAGTCATCAGAGAAATGCAAAAATCGAAAAAAGTTGACTATACCATGGATACAAAATAATTGGAACTCTCATACGCTGCTGACGGAAACATGAAATACTGTGCCCACTTTGGAAACTGTTCTATTTCTTATAGAGCTAAATGCACATTTATCGTAAGCCCCAGAAAGTATACTATTAAGTTTTTACCCAAGAGAAACGAAAATATATCCACAAAAAAGACTGTACTCAAATATGCTTTCCCAACATTATTTTGCTAAATTACTAATAACAGGATAGAGTGTGAGTGTGTGTGTGAGAGACAGAATATACAACATTATCTCTTTATAATAAGTTCCACCTAGAGAGCCCTTTGTGGTTTATTCTAAAAACTCCCCTACGATTTATAACATAATTTACTAGAAAATGGGTTTCGAACCTACTTACAAGCTGGATAATTCTTACATACGCAGCAGTGGGAATTCAGTTATCAGCAAAGGCTCAAGGCTGGCAGTAATTATGGATTCCAGATTCAAGACTTTTGGTGCTGGAAGGACTCACTGGAGGAGACTCTCAGCCATCCACCAATCTCTGATCTCCCCCCCCTTTTTTTTTTTAACCTCAGACAAAGTGCTGCTCTGTTGCGCAGGCTGGAATGCAATGGTGCAATCTCAGCTCACTGCAACCTCTGCTTCCTGGGTTCACGTGATTCTCCTGCCTCAGCCTCGCAAGTAGCTGGGACTACAGGCGTGCACCACCACGTCCGGCTGTTTTTTGTATTTTTAGTAGAGATGGGGTTTCACCGTGTTAGCCAGGGTGGTCTCGATCTCCTGACCTCATGATCCACCCACCTCGGACTCCCAAAGTGCTGGGATTACAGGTGTGAGCCACCATGCCCGGCCCTCCCCTTCTTCTAGTAACAGAACTTTGGTTTTGCCTGAGCACATGGTCGCCTACCTAAAGACTATTTTCAGCCTTCCTTGCATCTTGGTGTGGCCAAGTGACTAAACCCTAGGTAGTGGGATGTGAGTGGACACACTGTCTTCCAGATGACGTATCATAAAAGGAATACTGCAGAGCTCTCCAGCCTCTCCCTCTTCCAGATGGCTGGAAGACAGCAATGGGAAAAAGCTTCCTGGACTTGGTTGAGGAAGGTAGAGTCAATCCACAGTGCTGGCCCACATATCTCCAAAGTGTTCTACCACCTGGAAATAAACATGTATCCTATTCCAGCCACCATACCTTTGGCTTTCTTTGTTAATGCAGCTGAACCTACAGCGTAACTGACAGACTTACCAAAACCTTTCATTTTACAGAGAAGAAAATAGAGCCACAGATGTTCAATGAATTCCCTTAGGTTACACAGGTTATTGGCAAACCAACAATTTGAAACCAATTCTTCTAATTCAAGGCTCTTCCTAAGCTCACATACTGATCAGGGATATGTCTACGTATCAGGCAACTTCTGGGACCCTGGAGAAGACTGAGCTACTCACTCTTTATGGAACACTAAAGTTAAGCCATTTGATTTCCAGTTCTTTTTTTTTTTTTTTAAATGTGGGTAAATAGAAAAGGCATATTTTTAAATTTTAGAATATTTAGTTGACAAATACAAATTATATATATTCAAGGTATATATGATCATTTGTTATAAATAGACATTGTGTACTGAATTCCAAAGTCGAAATAATTAACACAACCGTCACTACCCATAGTTACTGTGTGTGTGTGTATATGTGTGAGGGTGGTGAGGACACTTAAAATCTGCTCTCATCAAATTTCAAGTAAACAACGCAGTATTACTAACTATAGTCACCATGTTAAATGTACATTCCATCCCCAGCATTCCTTCTTCTTGCATAAATGAAGCTCTGTACCCTTTGAGTAACATCTCCCCATGCCCCTCACACCCCCAGGCCCCAGCTTCTATGAGTCTGACTTCTGTAGATTCCACATGTAAATGAGATCACGTGGTATTCATCATTTTGTGTCTGGCTTATTTCACTTAACCTAATGTCCACCAGGTGCATGCATATAGTCACAAATGGCAAGGTTTCCCCTTGTTTTTTAAGGACTAAATAGAATTCCATTGTGTATATTTTCTTTTCTTTAAAAACATTTTTTTTTTTAAAAAGAGACAGGTCTTACTCTGTTATCCATGCTGGAGTGCAGTGGTGCCATCATAGCTCATTGCAGCTTTGAACACCATGGCTCAAGTGAGCCTCCTGCCTCAGCCTCCTGAGAAGTTGGGATTATGGGCGTGAGCCACTACATACCAAATTTTCTCTGTCCTCTCACCTGTCGATAGGCACTTAGGTTGATTCCCTATCTGGGCTACTGTATAATTCTGCAGTGAGCATGGAGCGCAGGCATCTCTCTGAGATCCCGATTTCAATTCCTTTGGATACATACCCAGAATGGGGGACTGTTAGATCATATGGTAGCTCCATTTTTAACTTTTTCGGGCACCTCCATGTTTTCCATAATGGCTGTATTAATTTACATTCCCACCAACAGTGCACAAGGGTCCCTTTCTCCACACCCTCACCAACTCTTGCTGTCTCCAGAGTTTTCGGTTAACAGCCATGATATCTCATTGTGATTTTGATTTGCATTTCCCTGATAATTAGTGCTGTTTCTAGTTCTTTGACTTAAACAGAGATCCTTCTGAGAGAAATACAATTAGTCATTTTCTATGGTAGGGAGAAATACAACATAAGACAAAGAGGCCAGAACTAAGGCAAAGAGGACCTGTGTTCTGGCACTGGCTCTGCAGTGTTGTGGCTGCATTATCTAGGGTAAACACGCCCATGGGACTCTGCCTGGATCTCTACTGAGCCACAGGACACTGAAATTATCCATTTGCAGGTCTGCCTTCCCTTGTCTAGGCCGTCTGTCCTGGTCTGGGCTGGCGGGTAGGCATTACACCTTCCTTTGTGTCAGGAGAGAGGATGCCTGGGACATGGCAGGCTTGCTGGTGAACACACAAGTCATTCGGATCTGTTTCCTCATCATAAAAGGAGAAACTGGACAGGACCAGAGACCTTTAAGCTTTTTTGAGGAACAGGTGTTTTCCATTCCTTGAAAGCTTTGAGCTCGCTGCAAGGTACTGAGTACTCTTAGCCCTACTCACTAAATGTCATATGCTCACCCCAGCCCTTTTGTCAACCAAAGTGAAACACCTCTCCCCCTTTCCAAATGTACCTAAGACCGTTGGACTGCAGCACCCAGTTGGGAAGCAATAGGTTAAGTCTTTCCTGTGGCAACCTTCAGATTTCCTCTGAGTTACAGTCAGAGGGAGAAGCAAACGGCAAGGCAAGCAACAGAGGGTTTGAAAGAAAGTGCTAAAGGCCAGACCCACAGATGTTAAAGGAATTTTACAGCAGAGAGGACAAAGACCCCGAGAGAGAAGGGAAGAAACATGGAGCAGAACATGAAAGCCATCTTGGGGGGACAGGATACAGAGACAAGACCAGGGAGTGGGAGTACAGGTAAGAATTCAGTGACAAATAAATCCAATCCCACACATCCAAATACCCCTGACATCAGAGTCCGGAATTGGTATTCATTAAAAAGATCCTGCAAAGGTTAAATTATGCTCAGTATATTCTGCCTAAGAGGGTAGAGAAGAATGCCTAGACCAATGCCTGGTCAAGAGTAAACACACAATAAGTATAGTAAATGAATATTAGTAAATTAGTCAATGAACATTCTGGAAAGACTGCCCGTAAAACACCCAAAATACGGATGTCTATAGGCTTACACTTCAGTTATCTGAAAAAATTAATTGGCTTCATTTCTCTAGTATGTCACTTTTCTTTTCCTGGAGAATTCACCACTCCTAGGTCTCAGCCATCTATCAATTCAATAGCAATAGTCACAGTCATACGATTGGCTTATTGGCTTACCTATTTGTGTTCAGGAGTGAGAGTGGAGTGGGTAAGTGGGTTCAGGAGTGGGTAAGTGGTTGCACTAAAGGGGGCTGTAGGTCCTTCTTTCAGTTTCAGGAAGACAGACACGCACAGGATCTGAGGCCAGTAACTGGGAGGTGGGGCGCCCCGTCATGTACAGTGCCATATGGAAACTACTAATCCTGTCCCACAATTTGGTTGCAATAAACTAAAACTGACATGCATATGATTTAATCTGATACATATGTATACATATATTTATAAAAATTTTATCATACTATGCATGCTACATGCTATCTTCTGTCCTGATTTTCAAATTTAACAGTATGAGATGAACCTCATTAAATATTCTGTTTTATATCTTTTTAAAAATAGATTTTACAATTTATTTATATTATTATTCACCAATGATCAGAGGAAGATTTTATTACTTAGAGGACTTTTAGGTTTGCTGCGAAATTAAGCGGGTATAGAGATCTTCCATATATTGCCTGTCCCCCTACACACACAGTCTTCCCCATGATCAACGCACCTCGCCAGAGTGGTCCACCTATTACAACTGATGAATCTACATGGACACATCATTGTCACCCAAAGTCTACAGCTTACATTAGGGTAGACTCTTGGTGTAGCACTTTCCATGGGTTTGGTAAAATAAATAACAACATGTACCCAGCATTAAAGTATCACACGGAATAGTTTCATTGCCTTAAAATCCTCTATGTTCCACCTGTTCATCCCTTCCTCCCCCTAACCCCTGGCATCATTTTAAAAACTTACATAAATATTCCATTGCAAAGATGAGGTGAGTCAAATGTATTCAAGCCTCCTAATAACGGGCTTTTAGATTATTTCAGATTCTTTGCAATTACAAACCACCCTGATAGACATCTCAACAGCTGGTATATGTATAGAAGTATGATTATGTCCTCACAATACATTCCTAAGAGTGGAATTTCTGGGTCAAAGAATATGCACATTTGATACGCATTTTAAAATTTACTTAAATATGTTTGTACTGATTTTGGTCCCATCTGGGCTGCCTTAGAGAGGCTATTTTCCCACACTTCAACAAACAGTAGATCATGATTGATAAATGGAAACGGAAATGACTCGAGTGTGATGGCAGCAGGAGGCAGACAAATCCTAGGCAGACAGGGGCGGTCCCCGGTGAAACCTGACTGGAACTGAAGACAGTTTAAAGCCTAGCTGCAAGTCCCGGATAAACCCACGTAAGGGACTGAGAACCTTTCGTCCCATGTGGAGCACTTTCCTCTGATTGATTACCCCTCTTCACCTATTTTACATATACCTACCCTTCCCCAACTGGTTTTTTCCACTGTCGTGCCCACCTTTGAGTGGTGACTTTGTTTTAGCCTTCTTTTTTGCATACTCACAATCAGCATGCACCCCTCCATTCTGAGCCCAAAAAAGCCCCTGAGCCAGCCACACTGGGAGAGACACCACCTGACTTTCGGTGGGGGACCACCCTCGCCTCCCCTCTCTGCTGAGAGCTGTTTTGTGCTCAATAAAACTCGTCCGCCCTCCTCACACTCTGGTTGTCGGCATAATCTCGTTCTTCTTGGAGGCAGGACAAGAACTCAGGACTCCGCGGAGTGCAGGTACCAAGACAGCAATAACACTGTAACCCTCCATCCCCCACCCCCTTCGGCTGCCCCACTCAACGGGAAGCAGTGGTCTGTTAATGCGCCCGTTTAGAGCCGTTAAGATGCCCGTTAGTCCGGCAGCAGATGCGGGTCGAAAAGAGCTGTGTGCACGCTGTAACATCCCCTCTCGGGCTTCGGGGTCGCGGTTGTTGCTCTTCGGGCGCCACGGTGTTCCCCTCGCCTGGACGCAGGAGTCCACTGTGGGAGTCACTTGCCACACGCCTGGTCCAGCTACAAGCCCCGTGTGAAGCCTGCTCCTATGCTGGCGGTTGGAGCAGCCCCCGGACCCCTACACTCAGTTGCTCGCACAACCCACCTGCTGGGGGCTGAGAGCACAGTCACCGAGGCCACGGGATATGCCAAAGCGCAAGCCAGGTGCGGCCCGGCAGGCCTAGTGGGCGAACCTGGGCCGAGAGAGGCCTGGGCAGGGGCATCGCCGACCACGGAGGTCTCCAGCTGGCAAAGCGGCACCGAAAAAAACCCTGCATCAATTGTCTTTCATTAGTAGTGAGATCGAACATTTGTATGTTACCATTTAGCTTAACATTTATATATTTCTGTGATTTGTTACTTTTTGGGTCACGCGTATTTTTCTTATTCAACCTATAAAAATTCTACATCGGGCACATTATATGTTACAGGAATATATTTTTCCATATTTTAAAGAAAGAAATGGATTTATTATTAACTGGAGTTCAAATGTCAAATGGATTACAGGACATGGAGAACTGACTGAGAGAATTACGGTAGAACTGTCTGCCTTGGTGGTATTTATTTCTACCTCTCTGAGTAGCAGTCCATTAAATATGTTCTGTTGGGGAAACCAACAGATCCCTAATTACCCAGGGACAGAGGAACACAGGCGCTCACAATGGGATGTTAGGAATTACTGAAAACAAGGCCTTCTCCTTCTCCATCCCTAAAGGGGCACTGTGCGTATCTCACAGACGCAGAGAGGAGGCACGGGCTGCGGAGGTGGGAGACCCGGGCTCACCTGGATGTTGTCGAACCTGAGGCCCGGCATGGTGAGGTTCTCCTTGTCCACGAACACGGCGCCGCGCTGCTGGGTGGCCACGGCCCGCAGGACTCCACGCGTAGCCTCGCCGGGAAGCCAGGCGTCGTTCCTCCGGTCCATCTCGCTCATGCTCAGGGCGGTGGCAAAGGGGTCGTCACTCCCTGCAAACACTGCCTGGATGTGCGCGAAAGGCTCTGGCGACGCCGGGGGCGCAGCTGCCTGGGGCCCTCGCATGGCCACGGGTTCGGGGCGCCCCTCGGTCCCGGGCACAGCGAGGGGAGGCGGGCTGGCGGGGGCCGGGGAGCCCGCGCCGGGATTGCTGACGGAAATGAAGGCGGAGGTAGTAAAGGAGTCGAAGAAGTCCGAGGCCAAGGAGTGGCTGGCGGCCGTGTCTCCGAAGAACGTGCTGAGGCTGGGGCTGGGCTGCACGACCTGGGGCGGTGTCCTGGCCGAGGCCTCGCTGGCGCCACCGAAGCTGGGCGACTTCACCATCTGCGGCTCGAAGCCGTCCCCGGAGGCTGGGGGCGCGCGCTGGCTGAAGATGGTGCACACCGGGACCGGCTCCGCAACGGGAGGCTCCTGCTCCGGGCGCGCGGCTTCGCTGCCTGGGACCTCGCGGGCCGCGTCCTGCCTCGGGGCCCCTCCGCTACTGGGTGCCGCGTCCTCGGGGGCACAGTCGCCGTCGGCCTCGCCGCTGGGACTCGGGGTGCCCGCGGGCTCCGGGCCTGGGTCGCCTTCCCCTCCGGGCTCAGCTTCGTCCCGCACTCGGCCCAGGTCGCCCGCGTCGCCCTCGCTGTTGGGGGAGTCAGAGATGAGGACGCTCTCCATCATGTGTTCGTTCAGCTTGTCCGCGAGAGGACTCGAGCCTTCCGATGCGGTCTCGTTCTCTTCGGATCCAAACTCATCTCCGCCAAGATCGATGGTTTCCTCCTGGAAGAGCAACCCCTGCTCCTCCGGAGGCGCGAGCTGAGGGGGGTGCGGGGCCTCCGGGGCCGGGGTCTCCTCGCCGCCGCCAGCGTCCTCCATGACCCTGAAAGCAAAGACAGAGAGAAGGCCCCTGAGCGTGATCTTCATTCACCTCAACCGAAAAATGAGTATTGCTTATAGATTCAAATGACGCAGACTTCCATTTCTCCAGCTTCTTATCCATGTGCTTTTGATTATGGTAAAATACACATAAAATTGACCACCTTAAGTTCAGTAGTGTTAAGTACATCTACATTTCTGTGCAACCAATCTCCAGAACACTTTTTATCTTGCAAAACTAAAATTCCATCCCCATTAAACATTCCCCCGTATACCCATCTCCCCCGCCTAGAGCATCCACCATTCTACTATAAAATAAGTGGAATCACCCGATAACTGTCTTCCTGTGACTGGCTGATTTTACTCAGTATAAAGTCCTCAAGGGCTATTTATGCTACAGCTTGGTCAGAGTTTCCTTCCTTTTTATGGATGAAAAATATTCCATGGTATGCATACACTACATTTTGTTTATCCAGCTATCTGTTGTTGAACACGTGGGTTGCTCCCATCTTTTAGCTATTGTGGATGCTGCTGCAATGAACGTGGCTGTACAAACAGCTCTTTGAGACCCTGCTTTCAATCATTTTGGGTAAATACCTAGAAGGAACTGCTGGATTATATGGTAATTCTATTTTTAATTTTTTTGAGGCACCAAAAAACTGTTTTTCATAGTGGCTGAACCGTTTGTCATTCCCACCAACAGTGCACAAGCCTTGGAATTCACATCCTTGCCAACACTTGTTATTTTGTTTTTATTTCATAGTAGCCATTCCAGTAGGTGTGAGGTTCCAGCCATATAAACACTACTTCATTCTGAGAGTCAGCTAAGTCCCTCCTCTTCCATGAAGCCCTCCCAAGACTCTTCAATTTGTAATAGTCTCTTGACTTCCCCATGCCGTCCGCCCCTACCCCCGCCCCACGCCCCAGCTCATATTATCTGCCTGACTCTGGAAATCTGATACAGTGCGAATGACATGAAAAATTTAAACAGTAAGAAAACAGCACACTCACTAAGCACTGATGGCTGAAGCTGACAACACAACTAGCTAACATTTATCCGCACATACTATGCCCCTGGCTATATATACATATGCCTGTGTGATTCTCAGAACACCCCTCGAGACAGCTGCTATCACTGTCTTCGTTTCGCAGATGAGGACACTGAGGCCTTGGGAGGCTATGTAAGCCGAAATCACACCGCTAGTGAGTGGGGAAACCAGGACCAGCCAAAGAATGAGACAAAGAGCTCAAACTGTAAAAAAGTATTTGTTCTTTTTCTTGAAAAACTTTTACTTTATGTAGTTTTACTCTCATAGTGAACAAATTCAAGTTAAGGAAATCTAAGAGACTATGATAAAAGATAAGGGATTTTTTTCAGAATAAAACAACACGTACCTTTTTTACTTAAAAAATGACACTTAGCTGATCTCTAGATAAGACTACCCTTTTCTCACTGTCAACACTTCCATCATAGTATTCCCAATGAGTCAGCCTTCCCAAAACATTATTTTAAAGTACATAATCCAAGTTATACATTTTGAAGAAGTTTCCGGTTCAGCCTGGTCAGCTACTAATTCCCTTATACATTCATCCAATAATTGTTAAGTATAAATGAATAAAAAATCCAATGAAAAGGAGTAAAACGTTTTTTTTCCTGCCATGTTTCACCGGGAGCCCGAAGAACAAATTGCCCTAGAACCCCAAAGGGGGAGCCCCCTGTGCATGGTAAGGCTGCTCCTTCGGGTCCTTCCTGTGCAGGGATAGAGGCCGGGCACAAGGAGCAAACAGGCAGCATGAGGCAGTGCCCCCTCTGAAGTCTCCCAGCAGGACTTGAAGGCACTAGCGTGGTCTGCGTATTTTATTTTAGAAATAAGAATTGATTTCGATATAAGCTAATGATGAGAGAAAGGGATCTTCCCTCCGTCTCATCTACCCTCAGCCCTAACAAAATTCTAGGTTCTAAAGCTAATTCTGATTCAATCTCACAGATTTTAAAAGTTTTATTGCCTTTGTGAAGAAACTTTTTAAAGAAACAATTCTTACTATTGTGAAGATGAAGCTGCTTTAAACCTGTAAGATTTAGGGAAATCTGTTTATCAGAGATATAATAACAAAAAACATCGCCTAGAAAAACCACCAAAATAATAAAAATTAAGGTAAAATGCTTCTAAATTATAAAGCTTAAAAACTTTATAAATTGTAAATTAAGGAGAACTGATAAAATGGGAATGTCCAAAATTTTCATTAATACCTGCAAACCACTTTTGAGAAGAGAAGAAAATAAAAAAATAAATTTTATTCTTAAGTAAATACCAAAGTAATAAAAAGCCCTAATAATTTAGGGCAAGGATGATCACTTTTGCTTTCACACAAATAAAATCTAGATGCAGGAAAATGCTTGTAAGTAAGGATCTGAGGGTTTCTTCTCTAGAAAATCAAGAGGAATGCTCAAATAAAAATGATATAAAACGTGATTTAGATGATGCTTTTATGAATGGGAAGACATACATATATTATAAAGCTACATCTATATAAATTATATACATAAGATTTTGTGAGAATGGACATATAATTTGTAGCAAAATAGCTTCTTCACTTCAAGGGTTTCCTTACTCTAATCTTATTCCAATGTAAGGTTCAAATGCAAAGCAGACACTAGTAATAACCATGTATATATGACGAGATAGTTCTATAACCATAAAAAAAGTATAACCAGTAGTTAAGTCTTCCTACAAAGAAAATATAGGGTCCAGAGGGTTTACCAGTGAATTCTACCAAAGATTCCGTACAGATAATTCCTACAGTACAAAAATTCTTGCAGAGAAGAAAAAAGACACATGACCCAATTCACTTTATAAGGCTAATATAACCTTGAGACCAAAATTTGACAAGGCCATACTAAAAGGGAAGCTATCATCTCACTCATGAACACACATGCAAAAATCTTGAAATATTAGCTAACTGAATCAGCAATGTATTTATTTTCTACCAAACTCAGGTAATCCCAGAAATGTACTGTTGGTTTAATGCGATAGATTAAATAAAAGTACATGACTATCTCAATAGATGCACAAGAAAGTATCTAATAAAATTCAGCATCTGCTCAAGATAAAACCTGTCAGCAAACTAGCAACAGAAAGTAACTTCCTTAATGCAATCAAAGGTATCTACCAAAAACCTAAAGGAAACCTCAAATTAACAGTGAAACGTTTAAAGCATTCTCTTTAAAAGTAGAAAAAAGATAAAGATGTCCTCTTCAACATTTTTATGCTGCCTAATACTGGAGTCCTCGGGCAGGATTAAGGCAAGAAAAATAACTAAAAGCTACAATAAAAACTGAAAAGAAAAAAATACAAACCTTCATTCTTCGTGTATGATTATTTATGTAGAATACATCAAAAATCTATGGTATAAAGACTGAAATATTGGGCCAGGCACGGTGGTTCAGGCCTGTAATCCTAGCAATTTGGGAGGCCGAGGAGGGTGGATCACCTGAGGTCAGAAGTTCAAGACCAGCCTGGTCAACATGGTGAAACACTGTCTCTACTAAATATACAAAAATTAGCCAGGTGTGGTGGAGGGCGCCTGTAATCCCAGCTACTTGGGATACTGAGGCAGGAAAATCACTTGAACCCAGGAGGCGGAGGTTGCAGTGAGCCGAGATCGCACCACTGTGCTCCAGCCTGGGCAACAGCAGCGAAACTTCATCTCAAAAAAAAAAAAAAAAAAAAAAAAAAAAAAAAAAAAAAAAACAAGACTGAACTATCACAAGGGAATATGTAGCACACATCAAAGGAAGAGACGATTTTCCTTGAGTGATGTGTAGACAAATCATGCAGCTGGGAAAAAATAAACTTGGAATCTTGTCTCACCACAGACACAGTATCAATCTCAGGGACGTTAAAAACTTAACTGTGAAGGCCGGGTGCGGTGGCTCACGCCTGTAATCCCAGCACTTTCGGAGGCCGGGGCGGGCGTATCACGAGGTCAGGAGTTCAAGATGAGCCTGGCCGACATGGTAAAACCCCGTCTCTACTAAAAATACAAAAATTAGCCAGGTGTGGTGGCGGGCACCTGTAATCCCAGCTACTCTGCTACTCGGGAGGCTGAGGCAGGAGAATCGCTTGAACCCAGGAGGCAGAGGTTGTAGTGAGCCAAGATTGAGGCACGACATTCCAGCCTGGGTGACAGAGAAAGACTCCGTCTCGGGCGGGGCGGGGGTGGGGGATCAAAAATTAACTGTGAAAGGCAAAACTTCAAAACTTTCAGAAGAAAATATAAGAGAATATATTTTCAGAGTAGGCAAAGCCTCTTAAACTAGGCATAATCAGTACAAACCATAAAGGGAAAATGGATACATCTGCTATATTAAAATGGAAAGTTCTATCATTAAAAACCTAAAAAAAGTGAAACAAACAAATGTAACTGAGAAAGGATTAACACGAAGAATACATAAAGAATCCCTACAAATTAATAAAAGCACACTAAATGATCCATTAGAAAAATAAGCAACAGAGCTGAAAGAGGTATACCTTTGAACATCCATGTTGAGAAACCACTTGGTATTATCTAGTAAAGTTTAAAAAGCACATTATCTTATCACTTTGATAACTATACATCTTGATTTTTCCCAGAACAATTCAATTTTTCACCCATGGTTTAAGTTATTTCTATTATTTTATTAGTATTATTATTTTATGAGACATAGTCTGGCTCTGTCACCCTGGCGGGAGTGCAATGGGACGATGATGGCTTACTGCAGCCTCGATCTTCTGGGCTCAAGCCCATCCTCCTGCCTCAGCCTCTGGAGTAGCTGGGACTACAGGTGTGCACCACCACACTCAGCTATTTTTGTATTTTTTGTAGAGATGGGGACTCAATATGTTGGCCAGGCTGGTCTCAAACTTCTGAGCTCAAGTGATCCTCCTGCCTTGGCCTCCCAAAGTGCTGAGATTACAGGCGTGAGCCACGTGCTTCGCCTCAGTAAAATCATTAAGTGTCTCCTTTCACTCTTAAAGGAGTCTTGGTTGAGACAATAAATATGTGGTCGTAGTACCTAGGACCTAGCAATTCCACTGCTAGATACCTATCATGGAGGAATTCCTGTACATGAGCAGTGTAAGCTATGATGCTGAATTTCATAAATAACACATCAAAATACCTTTCTTCTAAAGTCCTAAAAGAAAAAGTAGGCTGGGCGTGGTGGCTCACATCTGTAATCCTAGCACTTTGGGAGGCCGAGGCAGGCGGACCACGAGGTCAGGAGATCAAGACCATACCGGCTAACATAGTGAAATGCTGTCTCTATTAAAATACAAAAAATTAGCCAGGCATGGTGGCGGGCGCCTGTAGTCTCAGCTACTTGGGAGGCTGAGGCAGCAGAATCACTTGAACCCAGGAGGCGGAGGTTGCAGTGAGCCAAGATCGTGCCACTGCACTCCAGCCTGGCGGCAGAATAAGACTCCATCTCAAAAAAAAAAAAAAAAAAAAAAAGTGGAAATAAACACTGCCTGTAGACACAATAATAAGTAAATAAGTAGACTGTGGTATACTAGGACATAAAATATTAAAATAGTGGTGAAAATCAGTGAACTCTTCCATATCTAACATATAAATTATGTTTGGATCTCACAAATACAATTTTGCACAAAGAATGAGTAGAAAAATAAACAGCATGACTCTGTATATTCAAAAACATGTAAATTAAACAAAAGTGTTGAATCCAAACACTTTTTCTGTGTTAGGAACACAAACATATTTGGTCAAACTACAAAGAAAAGCCAGGATATAGTAACAGCCACTTTAGTGAGGGAGGGGTGGAAGGTGATGGCAGGAGAGCTTGACTGGGGAGGGACACACGGAAGTTTCAACGCACTGGGAAATGGTCCCCATCTTATGCTGGTAATGGAAGACTGGGTTGACTTGATCTTTAAATCTCACATGTGTGTTACGGGTAGTCTTTATAGTTCATAATTAAAAATGGAAAAACACAAGTATCTGTTCTTGATTTGTACGTGATAGAAATCTTTACTCCCTCCTATCATTGGCTTTATTTTTATTAAACTATAAATAGGATTTTAAGCTTACATAAGCTTACAGAAGCTTTACATCACAGTGCAGCAAAGAAATCTGACTTTCTCCTTGTCCAGTTGAGGGCTTTGCACAAGAATGTGATTAATTAATTGTTTAAAATTTTTTTAAATATTAAATTTAAGTAATTCTGTATTTGAGAAATAAAAAGTTCCTAACAACATTTAAAACTTGGTTTCTCAGGTTCATTTCCTGGACACAGACACTCTGTAAACATATCTTTTACCAAATTGCAGTCATGTAAAATTTCCTTCCATAAGGGCACGAGGGTGTGTAGTGGAAATCTAGGTGGCACGTATTAACAGAAGTCTCCATGTAATGAACACTCACTACAGATCAAGCATTTTACCTTATTATTTAATACTCATCCTAAACTTTTGAAGCATTATTATTACCTCCATCATACAGCAGAGAAGGCCAAGTGATTTGCCTAACATCACACTGACAGTACCTGATGGTGACAGGCTACCCACACAGCGCTTTCTGCCAATACTCTTTTCTTTGTGCTGGTCACCTCTCAGCTCCTCTTGCAAGGTTGCCAGGCAGGGGTGGGCAGAAAGAGCTCTGAAGGCAGTGTCTCAATAACTGTGTTGAGTCTTAGCTTCCCGACCAAGTGAAGTAACCTCTGAAAATCTTGATCTTTTAGATGGTACATCAGAATAAAGAGGATTAAATAGTGGCACCCCTGCATAGGCATCTTTTAAAGTGTGAAGAGCTGCACAGACACAAGCATAGTAATTATCATTTTAATGATAAAGCAGAGTGGCAACACCCAGTTTAGTAACTGTGAAGAAGATCCCATCAGATATCACAAAATGTAAGAACTGAATGAGTAACACTGTGTAATATTTCATTTGCTTTTCCCCTGTCCCTCTCCCACCCCAATCCCAAGACGGGACTGGCTCATTATCCGCCACTATCTTCTGAATTTGCGAACAGTGACTGAATCCAAAGACACCATATCTTCAAGTAGCCATTAAAAAGTACAAACCGTAGGTCCAAGAAAATTTTTCCTTGGGGCTACACTGTTTCGTAGTGAAGAGTGAAAAAATGACACGTTAAAACACATCTTTGACCCTAACGCTTTCTGTTGAATAAACGCTTTTTCGGTCTTCACAGTAAATATACTCTACAATTAGTATGTGTAGCAACAGCGGACGTTTACACAGTGACTCAAATGCTTTTACACTGCATTGCAGCCTCACAATGCTGAGTTTGGCAGGGCAGGTCATTAGTAACCTCTTTCCGCGGGAGGGTGAATTAAGTCTAAGGGAAGTTAAGGGGCTTGCTGGGGGCCTGGCTGGCACCAAGCCTGGAACTGGGGGTCTCGGGGACGCCTGGGCGCGCGCCAGCGGGTAGTTTCCCACACGCTTCGCAGCAGCTTCCCCTTCCCGCAAACTCCGCGGGCTGCAGAGACGCTTCCAGCCCTCTGCAGACGTGGAGAGCAAGGGCCGCGGCGACGTGGAGCCTGGCACAAGGCCCGCGGAGCACACACGCCCTTGGGTGGCAGGCGACCCCGCGCCCGGACCCCACGCCCACTCTAGCATCGGTCCCAGAGAAGGTCCCTCCGGGCTGAGGCCAAAGCCAGTGTGCTCCCTCCCCGAGGTGGCGCTACACGGTCCCATCCCCTCTGGACTGCCGAGGCCCTGATCCTCACCTGCCACCCGCCCACTGGAGCTGGGCTAAGGGGTCACCTGCGGCCGTGACCAAGGTCCGTGAGGAAGGTGACAGAAGCCGGGAATCGGAGAGGAACTGGCACCCCCGGGGAGCTCTGTACGCCTGCGCGTGCCGGGCCGCGGCGCGCCTAGTTCTGCTCAGGCCCGATGCAGGAACCCGAGGCCCTGCCCCCAGGCCGGAAATGGGGTTCGTTTCCGGTTCGTCTGCTGTGGGCGGGGCCTGGAGCCCTAGGTGTGAACGCGCACAGGCAACCAGGAGCCGGTAGTTGAGGGGAGCGGACCCTGTACTTGGAAATGGGAACGGAGACTCCACTCCACCTAGCCTGATTCTGTCACTCAGAGGCAATAGGCAAGCCTGTGGCAGATGGGGCGGGTGAAAGGGAGTCGCTTAGGCTATTTTTATTGACCAGCATATCCTAGAAATCAGTGTTTCTATGGATTTGTCTTTGTGTTTATCTGTATTTTGTAAGTTTCTTACCATGCACCTGCAGTACTTGTATAATAAAATTAATGATAAAGATATCAGTGATAGATGGGTGGGTTTAATCCCGAAGTATGAAGGCCCTCTTAGCTCCGCAAGTTAATATCGGCAAACAGAGTGGTTGAATAGGATGATTCTCATGTCTGGGCCATTGCTTACTTGATTTCTTTCTTTCTTGTTTTTGCTTACTTGATTTCTTTCTTTTCTTTTCTTTTTTTTTGACCGACTCTGGCTCTGTCGCCCAGGCTGGAGTGCAGTGGCGCGATCTCGGTTCACTGCAACCTCCGCCTCCCGGGTTCAAGCGATTCTCCTGCCTCAGCCTCCCGAGTAGCTGGGATTACAGGCGCGTGCCACCACGCTGGGCTAAGTTTCGTATTTTTAGTAGAGACGGGGTTTCACTGTGTTGGCCAGGCAGGTCTCGAACTGACCTTGTGATCCACCCTCCTCAGCCTCCCAAAATGCTGGGGTTACAAGCGTGAGCCACCGCGCCCGGCCTGCTCATTTGATTTCTCATGTAATCTCTAAAATTTCATACACTCAACAGATACTCATCCAGCCTTAACTCAATACCACGCGCCTTGCCCAACTGAGCAAAACGAGACCCAACCATTTCCGTCACGGAGATCAATAAAGGGTAGAGGGGAAAGCTAATCACAGAAATGGAGGAAAGGTGCGTGGTCCTGGAAGCCCCGGTGGAACCAGGCTAGCGGCGTGGTTCAGCTATGATGTATTTTGGAGTCCTTGCGATGCCATTTCTGCTGGCCCAAGGCCAGGGCAGGCACTTTGAGCAGGATGCGAAAGAGGGGCAGTCTCTCCACCACAAGTCTTTAGTCTTTGGAGACCTCTAGGAACCCCAGGGCCTTCCCTTCCGACTCCCATTCGGAGGCATATGCAGTCCAGGACCACCAGTGGTGCGGTGCCGGCTTTCATAACCCCATCCTTGGTAGTGCTTTCTTTGCCACACAGTGCTGGGCACCTGCAGAAATGCATTAGGCATGGCCCTGACTTAGGGCACCTTGGGCCGAACCTAAGGGAGTCAGCTCAGGTGCCCATCCTGGCTACCCAATGGACCAATGAGCGCTGCGACTGTGTTACTCAACTTTGCAGCGTCTCATCGGTAAAATGGAAGTGTAACAGCTTATTCATAGGGTTGGATGAAGCTCCTTATGGCAGTGCGTGTGAAGCGCTGGCCCAGCGCTCAGGAACGCCAAGTACATACAAATGACAATACATGGCGGCGCCCAACTACGGCGTGAGCGATTCTTAGATGCGATGGCTAGCTAAGGCTAATCGCCGCTTGCTCCCGACGGCCTGCGCTCGGAGCCGGCCTCCACCCACAGCCGGCCTCCGCGGCCCGCTCCGCCCACCAACTTATTTCCTCTGGGCCGGGTTCTCACCTCCAGGAGTCCCCGCGCTGAGAGCCCGGATGTGAGCCCAAGTGGCCATGCGCACAAGCCAGCGCCGCTGCCATTGGTCGCTGGTGAGGAACAGATTGATGACACATCCGAAAAATAGGAAGTGGCCACTACGGAAGCTGTTCTGGGCCAGAAAGACTTCCAGTTTGGAGTCGTTTGCTGCGGGGAGGGAATGAATGGGCGCTGGGAACACGCCCGCGAGGTGGGGACGCGCCGGCCGTAGCGAGGTCCTTAGCGTGTGAGTGGCCGGGGTCGGGTCGCTTCCCCGCAGCATGGAGGACGATGCACCAGTGATCTACGGGCTGGAGTTCCAGGTGGGTCACTGGGAGGGCGGCAGGTGCTGCTCGGCCTGGCTGTTGATAGCATGCGCGGTCCCATGGTGACTTCGGTTTGCAGATCTCCCACCAGCCCTGCAAGGACCCGTGTCTGTTCCCTAGTTCCCATTTTGCAGAGAAGTAAACTGAGGCTTTAGGAGGTTAAACGGTTGTACTGGATAACAGGGTTGGCCACAGCCGGCCTGCCTCCTTCCCCTTCACATCCTGTCCCGAACATGACTTCTGACCTGGAAGTTATCACTCACTTTGGTGGACTCATTTATTTACACGCCCACCTTTTCCTCTAGAATTTGAGTTCCTGAAGGTAGGAACTGTATGTTGTTTAAAATAAAAATGTTTGATTTTGAAACAATTTAAAGTATTTAGAAGAGTTGTAAAAATACATAGAAAGTTCTTCTTTACCCTCCACCCAGCTTCCCTTAATGTTAACACTTTACATAACCATCGTACATTTATCACAGCTTAGAAATTAACATTGGTACACTAATATTCAGTAAACCACAGACTGTCTTCGGATTCAACTGTTTTCACACTAGTTTTTTACCTTGTATTTTCCAGTGCCTTTTCATGACTGTCACATAGTAGGTGTTCAACAAATGACTATGAACCGAATGAGCCCCCAGAGCATAAGCAATGCACATGGTAGTTCAGGACAGCAAGAAAGCTGCCGTGGATAGAGTAAATGCGTCAGGGGGAATGAGGTAGGGGATGAGATGAGCGGGGGAGGAAGATGAGGATTGTGTAGGGCCTGTTAGAGCCCTGTCCTGGTTTTCATCTATTCAAGTAGCTTTTGAGAATGTGTTATGCCTAAAGCACTGAGGGACAGATAGAGAGATAGAAACACAGTTCACTGCCATATGAAATACTTGATACATAATTTTGTGCAGCAGTATGTGTTAAAGATATAAATGATGTCTGCTTTTTTTTTTTTTTTTTGAGATGGAGTCTTGCTCCGTTGCCCAGGCTAGAGTGCAGTGGCGTGACCTCGGCTCACTGCAACCTCCGCCTCCCGGGTTTAAGTGATTCTCCTGCCTCAACCTCCCAAGTAGCTGGGATTACAGGCACCCGCCACCACGCCCGACTAATTTTTGTATTTTTAGTAGATACGGGGTTTCACCATCTTGGCCTGGCTGGTTTTGAACTCCTGACCTTGTGATCTGCCTGCCTCAGCCTCCCAAAGTGTTGGGATTACAGGCGTGAGCCACCGCACCTGGCCAATGTCTGTTTTTAAGTAGGTTACAGTCAGAGAGGCAGCAGTGTTAGTAGAATAACATATGCCACCCAGACACCTAAGTTTTAAATCCTGCCTCTAGCACTTATTAACTATGTGACCTTGGGCCTCGGTTTCCTTGCCAATAAAATATGCATCTCCCTCCCCCCCACCTCATGGCTGTTATGAAATTAAATGAGTTAATACACTTAATTGAATCACGTAGAACAGTGCCTGGTGCATAGTGTGTTCAATAATTGTTGTTCTAATTGTTATAATGAGAGAAAATTCCTTTTTTTTCCTTTGTAGAAATGGGGTTTCGCCATGTTGCCCAGGCTGGTCTCACACTCCTGAGCTCAAGTGATCTGCCCTCCTTGGCCTCCCAAAGTGCTGGGATTATAGTCATGAGCCACCGCACCCTGCCTAAGACAAAATTCTTACAAATAAATTTTATACAGGGCAGCAGTTAAGTGTCCTGTATAATAAACTGTGCTATAGGATTTGACCAGTGGCTATATCACATTCACAAGACTGATAGCTTAACTACCAGTGATTTAGCTCTGGACTATGTGTCAGACACTCTGCTTAGCACTGTACAAATATTTCATTTAATTCTCACAGCAATCATTATTGGTAGGTGTTATTGTTCCTGTTTTACGGATGAAGAGACAGCCTCAGAGAGAATAGTTACCTGTCCAAGGCCACTTAACTAGTAAATGATAGACCTTGGATTCTGACCTACTTAGACTTTCAACCCAAACTGACCTCGAGTCCCCTTACCTGCTAAGTTCTACTGCTTTCTCTTTAACTAGATACACATAGGGATACACAGGGAGAGACCACATGGGTAGATAGAAGGTTCTATAATCTTGTACTACCTGAAGATGCATACTCTGCCAGTGCTACTTAATTTAACTTCTTGATCTCCTTAAGAAATCTCTCAAAAAACCCAGAGGATTTTATCTTCAGTATTGTATCTTTGAGGTTAACTGAAATGTTATTTTCTTTTTTTTCTCTCTTTTTTTTTTAAATTATTATTATATTTTAAGTTTTAAGGTACATGTGCACAATGTGCCAGTTAGTTACATATGTATACATGTGCCATGCTGGTGTGCTGCACCCATTAACTCGTCATTCAGCATTAGGTATATCTCCTAATGCTATCCCTCCCCCCTCCCCCCACCCCACAACAGTCCCCAGAGTGTGATGTTCCCCTTCCTGTGTCCATGTGTTCTCATTGTTCAATTCCCATCTGTGAGTGAGAACATGCAGTGTTTGGTTTTTTGTCCTTGCGACAGTTTACTGAGAATGATGATTTCCAATTTCATCCACGTCCCTACAAAGGACATGAACTCATCATTTTTTATGGCTGCATAGTATTCCATGGTGTATATGTGCCACATTTTCTTAATCCAGTCTATCATTGTTGGACATTTGGGTTGGTTCCAAGTCTTTGCTATTGTGAATAGTGCCGCAATAAACATACGTGTGCATGTGTCTTTATAGCAGCATGATTTATAGTCCTTTGGGTATATACCCAGTAATGGGATGGCTGGGTCAAATGGTATTTCTGGTTCTAGATCCCTGAGGAATCGCCACACTGACTTCCACAATGGTTGAACTAGTTTACAGTCCCACCAACAGTGTAAAAGTGTTCCTATTTCTCCACATCCTCTCCAGCACCTGTTGTTTCCTGACTTTTTAATGATTGCCATTCTAACTGGTGTGAGATGGTATCTCATTGTGGTTTTGATTTGCATTTCTCTGATGGCCAGTGATGATGAGCATTTTTTCATGTGTCTTTTGGCTGCATAAATGTCTTCTTTTGAGAAGTGTCTGCTCATATCCTTTGCCCACTTTTTGATGGGGTTTTTTGTTTTTTTCTTGTAAATTTGTTTGAGTTCATTGTAGATTCTGGATATTAGCCCTTTGTCAGATGAGCAGGTTGTGAAAATTTTCTCCCATTTTGTAGGTTGCCTGTTCACTCTGTTGGTAGTTTCTTTTGCTGTACAGAAGCTCTTTAGTTTAATGAGATCCCATTTGTCAATTTTGGCTTTTGTTGGCATTGCTTTTGGTGTTTTAGACATGAAGTCCTTGCCCATGCCTATGTCCTGAATGGTAATGCCTAGGTTTTCTTCTAGGGTTCTTATGGTTTTAGGTCTAACGTTTAAGTCTTTATTCCATCTTGAATTAATTTTTGTATAAGGTGTAAGGAAGGGATCCAGTTTCAGCTTTCTACATATGGCTAGCCAGTTTTCCCAGCACCATTTATTAAATAGGGAATCCTTTCCCCATTGCTTGTTTTTGTCAGGTTTGTCAAAGATCAGATAGTTGTAGATATGCGGCATTATTTCTGAGGGCTCTGTTCTGTTCCATTGATCTGTATCTCTGTTTTGGTACCAGTAACATGCTGTTTTGGTTACTGTAGCCTTGTAGTATAGTTTGAAGTCAGGTAGCGTGATGCCTCCAGCTTTGTTCTTTTGGCTTAGGATTGACTTGGCGATGAGGGCTCTTTTTTGGTTCCATATGAACTTTAAAGTAGTTTTTTCTAATTCTGTGAAGAAAGTCATTGGTAGCTTGATGGGGATGGCATTGAATCTATAAATTACCTTGGGCAGTATGGCCATTTTCACGATATTGATTCTTCCTACCCATGAGCATGGAATGTTCTTCCATTTGTTTGTATTCTCTTCTATTTCATTGAGCAGTGGTTTGTAGTTCTCCTTGAAGAGGTCCTTCATGTGCCTTGCAAGTTGGATTCCTAGGTATTTTATTCTCTTTGAAGCAATTGTGAATGGGAGTTCACTTATGATTTGGCTCTCTGTTTGTCTGTTATTGGTGTATAAGAATGCTTGTGATTTTTGTACATTGATTTTGTATCCTGAGACTTTGCTGAAGTTGCTTATCAGCTTAAGGAGATTTTGGGCTGAGACAATGGGGTTTTCTAGATATACAATCATGTCGTCTGCAAACAGGGACAATTTGACTTCCTCTTTTCCTAATCGAATAGCCTTTATTTCCTTCTGCCTAATTGCCCTGGCCAGAACTTCCAACACTATGTTGAATAGGAGTGGTGAGAGAGGGCATCCCTGTCTTGTGCCAGTTTTCAAAGGGAATGCTTCCAGTTTTTGCCCATTCAGTATGATATTGGCTGTGGGTTTGTCATAGATAGCTCTTATTATTTTGAGATACTTCCCATCAATACCTAATTTATTGAGAGTTTTTAGCATGAAGCGTTGTTGAATTTTGTCAAAGGCCTTTTCTGCATCTATTGAGATAATCATATGGTTTTTGTCTTTGGTTCTGTTTATATGCTGGATTACATTTATTGATTTGCGTAGATTGAACCAGCCTTGTATCCCAGGGATGAAGCCCGCTTGATCATGGTGGATAAGCTTTTTGATGTGCTGCTGGATTCAGTTTGCCAGTATTTTATTGAGGATTTTTGCATCAATGTTCATCAAGGATATTGGTCTAAAATTCTCTTTTTTGGTTGTGTCTCTGCCCGGCTTTGGTATCAGGATGATGCTGGCCTAATAAAATGAGTTAGGGAGGATTCCCTCTTTTTCTATTGATTGGAATAGTTTCAGAAGGAATGGTACCAGTTCCTCCTTATACCTCTGGTAGAATTCGGCTGTGAATCCATCTGGTCCTGGACTCTTTTTGGTTGGTAAGCTATTGATTATTGCCACAATTTCAGATCCTATTATTGGTCTATTCAGAGATTCAACTTCTTCCTGGTTTAGTCTTGGGAGAGTGTATGTGTTGAGGAATTTATCCATTTCTTCTAGATTTTCTAGTTTATTTGCGTAGAGGTGTTGGTAGTATTCTCTGATGGTAGTTTGTATTTCTGTGGGATTGGTGGTGATATCCCCTTCGTCATTTTTTATTGCGTCTATTTGATTCTTCTCTTTTTTTCTTTATTAGTCTTGCTAGCGGTCTATCAATTTTGTTGATCCTTTCAAAAAACCAGCTCCTGGATTCATTAATTTTTTGAAGGGTTTTTTGTGTCTCTATTTCCTTCAGTTCTGCTCTGATTTTAGTTATTTCTTGCCTTCTGCTAGCTTTTGAATGTGTTTGCTCTTGCTTTTCTAGTTCTTTTAATTGTGATGTTAGGTGTCAATTTTGGATCTTTCCTGCTTTCTCTTGTGGGCATTTAGTGCTATAAATTTCCCTCTACACACTGCTTTGAATGTGTCCCAGAGATTCTGGTATGTTGTGTCTTTGTTCTCATTGGTTTCAAAGAACATCTTTATTTCTGCCTTCATTTCATTATGTACCCAGTAGTCATTCAGGAGCAGGTTGTTCAGTTTCCATGTAGTTGAGCGGTTTTGAATGAGTTTCTTAATCCTGAGTTCTAGTTTGATTGCACTGTTGTCTGAGAGATAGTTTGTTATAATTTCTGTTCTTTTACATTTGCTGAGGAGAGCTTTACTTCCAACTATGTGGTCAATTTTGGAATAGGTGTGGCGTGGTGCTGAAAAAAATGTATATTCTGTTGATTTGGGGTGGGGAGTTCTGTAGATATCTATTAGGTCCGCTTGGTGCAGAGCTGAGTTCAATTCCTGGGTATCCTTTTTAACTTTCTGTGTCGTTGATCTGTCTAATGTTGACAGTGGGGTGTTAAAGTCTCCCATTATTATTGTGTGGGAGTCTAAGTCTCTTTGTAGGTCACTCAGGACTTACTTTATGAATCTGGGTGCTCCTGTATTGGGTGCATATATATTTAGGATAGTTAGCTCTTGTTGTTGAATTGATCCCTTTACCCTTAAGTAATGGGCTTCTTTGTCTCTTTTGATCTTTGTTGGTTTAAAGTGTGTTTTATCAGAGACTAGGATTGCAACCCCTGCCTTTTTTTGTTTTCCATTTGCTTGGTAGATCTTCCTCCATCCTTTTATTTTGAGCCTATGTGTGTCTCTGCACGTGAGATGGGCTTCCTGAATACAGCACACTGATGGGTCTTGACTCTTTATCCAATTTGCCAGTCTGTGTCTTTTAATTGGAGCATTTAGTGCATTTACATTTAAGGTTAATATTATGTGTGAATTTGATCCTGTCATGCTGTTAGCTGGTTATTTTGCTTGTTAGTTGATGCAGTTTCTTCCTAATGTCGATGGTCTTTACATTTTGGCATGAGTTTGCAGCGGCTGGTACGGTTATGCCTTTCCATGTTTAGTGCTTCCTTCAGGAGCTCTTTTAGGGCAGGCCTGGTGGTGGCAAAACCTCTCAGCATTTGCTTGTCTGTAAAGTATTTTATTTCTCCTTCACTTATGAAGCTTAATTTGGCTGGATATGAAATTCTGGGTTGAAAATTATTTTCTTTAAGAATGTTGAATATTGGCCCCTACTCTCTCCTGGCTTGTAGAGTTTCTGCCGAGAGATCCGCTGTTAGTCTGATGGGCTTCCCTTTGTGGGTAACCCGACCTTTCTCTCTGGCTGCGCTTAACATTTTTTCCTTCATTTCAACTTTGGTGAATCTGACAATTATGTGTCTTGGAGTTGCTCTTCTCGAGGAGTATCTTTGTGGCATTCTCTGTATTTCCTGAATCTGAATGTTGGCTTGCCTTGCTAGATTGGGGAAGTTCTCCTGGATAATATCCTGCAGAGTGTTTTCCAACTTGGTTCCATTCTCCCCATCACTTTCAGGTACACCAATCAGGTGCAGATTTGGTCTTTTCACATAGTCCCATATTTCTTGGAGGCTTTGTTCATTTCTTTTTATTCTTTTTTCTCTAAACTTCCCTTCTCGCTTCATTTCATTCATTTCATCTTCCATCACTGATACCCTTTCTTCCAGTTGATCGCATCGGCTCCTGAGGCTTCTGCATTCTTCACATAGTTCTCGAGCCTTGGCTTTCAGCTCCATCAGCTCCTTTAAGCACTTCTCTGTATTGGTTATTCTAGTTATACATTCGTCTAAATTTTTTTCAAAGTTTTCAACTTCTTTGCCTTTGGTTTGAATTTCCTCCTGTAGCTCGGAGTAGTTTGATCGTCTGAAGCCTTCTTCTCTCAACTCGTCAAAGTCATTCTCCGTCCAGCTTTGTTCCGTTGCTGGTGAGGGACTGCGTTCCTTTGGAGGAGGAGAAGCGCTCTGCTTTTTAGAGTTTCCAGTTTTTCTGCTCTGTTTTTTCCCCATCTTTGTGGTTTTATCTACTTTTGGTCTTTGATGATGATGATGTACAGATGGGTTTTTGGTTGGATGTCCTTTCTGTTTGTTAGTTTTCCTTCTAACAGACAGGACCCTCAGCTGCAGGTCTGTTGGAGTTTGCTAGAGGTCCACTCCAGACCCTGTTTGCCTGGGTATCAGCAGCGGTGTCTGCAGAACCGCGGATTTTCGTGATCCGCGAATGTTGCTGTATGATCGTTCCTCTGGAAGTTTTGTCTCAGAGGAGTACCCGGCCGTGTGAGGTGTCAGTCTGCCCCTACGGGGGGGGTGCCTCCCAGTTAGGCTGCTCGGGGGTCAGGGGTCAAGGACCCACTTGAGGAGGCAGTCTGCCCGTTCTCAGATCTCCAGCTGCGTGCTGGGAGAACCACTGCTCTCTTCAAAGCTGTCAGACAGGGACATTTAAGTCTGCAGAGGTTACTGCTGTCTTTTTGTTTGTCTGTGCCCTGCCCCCAGAGGTGGAGCCTACAGAGGCAGGCAGGCCTCCTTGAGCTGTGGTGCGCTCCACCCAGTTCGAGCTTCCCGGCTGCTTTGTTTACCTAAGCAATCCTGGGCAATGGCGGGCGCCCCTCCCCCAGCCTCGCTGCCACCTTGCAGTTTGATCTCAGACTGCTGTGCTAGCAATCAGCGAGACTCCGTGGGCATAGGACCCTCCGAGCCAGGTGTGGGATATAATCTCCTGGTGCGCTGTTTCCTAAGCCCGTCGGAAAAGCGCAGTATTTGGGTGGGAGTGGCTCAATTTTCCAGGTGTTGTCTGTCACCCCTTTCCTTGACCAGGAAAGGGAACTCCCTGACCCCTTGCACTTCCCGAGTGAGGCAATGCCTCGCCCTGCTTCGGCTTGCGCACGGTTCGCTGCACCCACTGACCTGCGCCCACTGTCTGGCACTCCCTAGTGAGATGAACCCGGTACCTCATATGGAAATGCAGAAATCACCCGTCTTCTGCGTTGCTCACGCTGGGAGCTCTAGACCGGAGCTGTTCCTAGTCGGCCATCTTGGCTCCTCCCTGAAATATTATTTTCTGAGGTTTGAAAAATGAATGAAATTGATTCTCTAAGGTAGTCAAATATATTATTGGATTTTCTTCTTTATCTTAAAAGAAGTAGCTGACTTTTGCTACTTGGATTTTATCGGATAGTATCATGGACCAAGACTTTCTTAAGTTTGAAGAACCATCATTGCAGTAAACAAGAAAACTGAAAAGGATAGTGTTTTTTTTTGTTTGTTTGTCAGTGACATTCAAATCCCATGGAGAACACTTTACATGAAAGGATAGAGATCTGATCGTTGACCGCTGAGTGAAGGTAATGACACTTGAAAGATAAAGGGCAGTACTGCAACTGCAAATAAAAGACCAACACGGAGGGTCGTTAAGATCGCAAAATGCTGAGCAAATTCATGGTAATGATTCTGGATTTTTTTATAATTATATTTGAAATGCATGAAATTTCAAATGATATTTGAAATGCTTTTGCACACTTTTAGTTTACTGCTCAGTAGAAATCCATTTTCTCAATATGAGTTTAATGAATACTTGTCAGTTAACACAACAGTAGTTCTTTGTGACTATCTCAAAGTGCATACAAACAGTATGACTTCTCTCCTGCAATCATGTTTCTTTGAACTTTTGACATTAATAGATCTTCTTTGTTGTGTGGGTCAAATCTCCATGTGGCAAACTTGCCTTGTGATGGGAACAGTGAACCTCTAGGCAGTGGTGGCTCTGCCCATGTGTAGGTCTGGGGGCAGGCATGTGACTAAGATGGACCAGCGGCAAGCAGGGCCTGCAGGTGTGGGCAGAGTGAGGGCTACATCTGCCAACTCCTATTTGAGCCCACTGCTGCCAAGTGAGCTGGGCCAGACCAGAAAGGACGGTCGGGGTGGGAAGGTGGGTGACAATGATGACTTGGGCTTGTTTCAAGTTGCTTTCCCTTCGGTTTACCACCAAAACCAGGAAGCAAGCAGGGCAGGTTGTAAGCCACACAAGGATATGCGTGCCTCCTTTCTGTTCTGGGAGGTTCTCCTGGAGTCCTGAGATCAGTGCAGTCAGGTCAGAGGGGCAAAGAGACTGTGGGCTTTTGGCTTTTTGTGCCATCAGTCTGAGGGACAGATGGACCAGGCCAGCGCTTCAGGGTCTGCCTGTTGCCAAGTGAGGAAAGACTTTTGAAATGGAAGATGGAGATTAAATTTTCTTTTCTTTTTTCTTTTTTTGAGACAGAGTCGCTCTGTCACCCGGGCTGGAGTGCAGTGGCGCGATCTCAACTCACTGCAAGCTCCGCCTCCCGGGTTCACGCCATTCTCCTGCCTCAGCCTCCTGAGTAGCTGGGTCTACAGGCGCCTGCCACCGCGCCTGGCTAATTTTTTGTATTTTTAGAGAGGGGGTTTCAGGGTGTTAGCCAGGATGGTCTCGATCTCCTGACCTTGTGATCCGTCTGCCTTGGCCTCCCAAAGTGCTGGGATTACAGGTGTGAGCCCCCGCACCCAGCCGAGAGATTAAGTTTTCAAATGCCTTTTTATATCCATGGAATTGATAATTTGGTTTTAGGATTTTTCTCTTTTGATCTCTTTGGTCAGTTACATTAATAGCTTTTTAAATATTGGCCCAGCGTTTGCATCCTTAGAAAGAATTCCACTTGATTGTGGAATAGTCCTCTGCTGGATTCGGTTTACGAGTCATTTACTGAAAATTTTCACGTTAATATCTGTGTATTTTCTTCGTTGAGTTTTGTTTCACTGCTATGCTGGCTGCATAAAAAGCACTTGGGAATTTTCCTTCTGTTTCTGTGTTGGAAACAACTGAAGGTAATATTGGTGTTGCCTGCTCCTAAGGTGTGGTGCTGTTACAGTGTTGACTTGTTAATCTGTGGTAACTAGTTGTTCAGATTTCTTGTCTTTCTTTTCTGATCAGTTTTGGTAACTTACATTTTCCTGGAAAATTCATCATTCATTCAGTGAACAAATATTTATTCCCTGCAATAAGGCACTATTATGTGCCTGGAACACAGCATAGGAGGAAACAGACAAAATCCCAGCCCTCGTGGATTTACCCACCCAAGACGCACCCTTGCAGAGGCATTTCTGTAGAGGAGTGAAGTCTCTGAGAATTGAGGATTTGTCTTTTAGGTTGTTCCCTTTTTTTTTTTTTTAATTTCATCAGTTGAATTTATTTTCGTTTATTTTTAATTTATTTTTATTTTTACTTATTTTTTGGGACAGAGTCTCGCTGTGTGGCCCAGACTGGAGTACAGTGGCGCAATCTTGGCTCACTGCAACCTCCACCTCCCAGGTTCAAGTGATTCTCCTGCCTCAGCCTCCTGAGTAGCTGGGTGTGTGCCACCACACCTGGCTAATTTTTGTATTTTTAGTAGAGATGGGGTTTCACCACGTTGGTCAGGCTGGTCTCGAACTCCTGACCTCGTGTTCCGTCTGCCTTGGCATCCCAAAGTGCTGGGATTACAGGCGTGAGCCACCGCGCCCGGCCAGTTGAAAATTTTAATACAAAAAATTCAAAACAATTTCCTTTCATTTGCTCAGCATTTTTCTATCTTAATTACCCTCTATGTTGGTCTTTTTTTATTTGCAGTTGCTTAAATTATTTGTTTCCATTCTTTTTATTAATACAAGCATTTTAAACACATGGATTTTCTTGTGAACACTCACTTCTTGATTTTATTGTTTTGTGGATGTTTTGCAGCTTTGAATTTAATTTTGAATTTCAGGTCAAATTTCTTTTTTGTCCTCGGATTCACTGGAGAGACCCTTCTCAATTCTGTCCCTGTCACCTGCTGTGTTTTGGGGGTTGTCTGTCTTTGTGTCCTTTCCACTGCAGACTTCCTTCCTGTGCTGGAAGTTTTAATTTCCGTCTATTTGTCTTGGGTTGTCTTGCCATATCTTCTTTGAGTTCTGCTTTGCATTTTTCTCTTTTACTTTTCTTTTCTTTTTTCTTTTGAAACAAGTTTTTGCTGTCACCCAGGCTGGAGTGCAGTGGTACAATCTCAGCTCACTGCAACCTCTGCCTCCTGGGTTCAAGCGATTCTCCTGCTTCAGCCTCCCAGGTAGCTGGGATTACAGGTGCATGCCACCATACCCAGCTAATTTTTGTATTTTTCGTAGAGACAGGGTTTTGCCATGTTGGCCAGGCTGGTCTCGAACTCCTGACCTCAAGTGATCCGCCCACCTGGACTTCCCAAAGTGCTGGAATTACAAGTGTGAGCCACCATGCCGGGCCTCTTTTTAAAAAGCTTTTTCTCTCGGACGGGGTGGCTGGCCGGGCGGGGGGCTGACCCCCCCACCTCCCTCCCGGACTGGGCGGCTGGCCGGGCGGGGGGCTGACTCCCCCACCTGAGAAATCGGATGGTTGCCGTGTCTGTGTAGAAAGAGGTAGACATGGGAGACTTTTCATTTTGTTCTGTACTAAGAAAAATTCTTATCCTGTTGATCTGTGACCTTACCCCCAACCCTGTGCTCTCTGAAACATGTGCTGTGTCCACTCAGGGTTAAATGGATTAAGGGCGGTGCAAGATGTGCTTTGTTAAACAGATGCTTGAAGGCAGCAGGCTCGTTAAGAGTCATCACCACTCCCTAATCTCAAGTACCCAGGGACACAAACACTGCGGAAGGCCGCAGGGTCCTCTGCCTAGGAAAACCAGAGACCTTTGTTCACTTGTTTATCTGCTGACCTTCCCTCCACTATTGTCCTATGACCCTGCCAAATCCCCCTCTGCGAGAAACACCCAAGAATGATCAATAAAAATAAATTAAAAAAAAAAAAAAGCTTTTTCTGAGACAAGGTCTTGCTCTGTTGACCAGGCTGTAGTGCAGTAGTGCGATCGTGGCTCATGGCAGCCTGGAACTCTTGGGCTCAAGCTCTCTCCCGGCTTCAGCCTCCCAAGTAGCCGAGACTACAAGCCTAGCTCATTTATTATTTATTTATTTATCTCTATCTATCTAATCTATATAGTCAATCACTTAATCAATCAATGAGATGGGGGGTCTCATCATATTGTCAGGCTGGTCTTGAACTTTTGGGCTCAAGCAATCTTTCCGCCTTGGCCTCTTACAGTTGTGGAATTATAGTCTTGAGCCACCACACCCAGCTTCTTTTTTTTTTTTAATTAAAACAATTTTTTAAATTGATGCATATTAAATGTATATAGTTTCAGGGTATATATGATAAGTTAATACATTTATATGATGGTAAAAATCAAATCAGTGTATCTGAGATATCCATCACCTTAAATATTTGTTTTTTCTTTATGTCAGAACCATTCAAATTATTCTCTTTTAGCTATTTTGAAATGTACGATAGACTGTTGTAAACTGTAGTCAACCTGCTGATATACCAAACACTATGTCTTATTTCCTCTATCCAACTGTATATTTGTACCTATTAACCAACTTTTCTTCATCCAAGCCACCCTGCTATTTTTCTCAGTCTCTGGTGACCATCAGTCTACTCCATTTTCAGAAGATCTACTTTTTGTTTTTAGCTCCCACAGATGACTGAAAACATGTGTTGTCTTTCTATGCTTGGCTTAGTTCACTTAACATAATGACCTCCATTTTGCTGCTAATGACAAGATTTCATTCTTTTTTTTTTTCTTTCTTTTTTTTTTGAGACAGGGAGGGTCTCACTCTGTCACCCAGGCTGGAGTGCAGTGGTACAATCTCGGCTCACTGCACCCTCTGCCTCCCAGGCTCAATTGATCCTCCCACCTCAGGCCCTAGAGTGGCTGGGACTACAGGTGTGCATCATCACACCAGGTTAATTTTTTTTTTGTATTTTTTGTAGAGATGGGATTTCATCATGTTGCCCAGGCTGGTCTCAAACTCCTGAGCTCAAGCAATCCTCCTGCCTTGGCTTCCCAAAGTGCGGGGATTATAGGCATGAGCCACTGTCCATGGCAATTTTATTCTTTTTTATGGCTGAGTAATATTTCACTGTGTATGTATAGCACATTTTCTTTATCCATTCATCTGTTGATGGGCACTTAGGTTGATTCCATGTCTTGGCTATTGTGAACAATGCTGCAGTATACCCACGGGTGCAGGTATCTCTTCAACATACTGATTTCCTTTCCTTTGAATATCTACCCAGTAGTGGGATTGCTGGATGATGTGGTAGCTCTATTTTTAGTTTTTTGAGGAGACGCCATACTCTTCTTCATAATGACTGTACTAATTTATATTCCCATCAATAGTGTATGAGGGCTCCCTCTCTCTACATCCTTGCCAGCATCTGCTATTTTCTGCCTTTTTAATAAAAATTATTCTATCTGGGGTGAAATGAAATCTCATTATGGTTTTGATTTGCATTTCTCTGACAGTTAGTGATGTTGGGCATGTTTTCATAGACCTGTTGGCCATTTGTGCGTCTTCTTTTGAGAAATGTCTATTCAGATCTTTTGCCCATTTTTTAATTGATTTATTTTGGTGTTTTTTTTTTTTTTTGCTGTTGAGTTGTCTGAGCTTCTTATCTGTTGTGGTTATTAATCGCCTGACAGATGGATATTTGCAAATCTTTACCCCATTCTGTGTCTTCTTTTCTTTTCTTATATATTTATGTTTTTGAGGCACGGTCTCACTCTGTCAAGCAGGCTGGAGTGCAGGGGTGCAGTCTCTGCTCATTGCAGCCTTGGCACTCAAGCCTCCCACCTCAGCCTCCTGAGCAGTTGGGACTACAGGCGCACACCTCCACACTTGGCTGACTTTTATATTTTATGTAGAGACGGGATTTCACCTTGTTGCCCAGGCTGGTCCCAAACTCTTGAGCTCAAGCCATTTGCCCACCTTGGCCTCCGTCAGTATTGGGATTATAGGCATGAGCCACCATGCTTGGCTGCTTTTCTTCTCTTCCCTGTTTTTAGAAAGATGATTCCTTCATTAAGTTTTATGATTTTTGTTGATATGTTTGATTACAATTTTCAGCCATCATGTGTCAATACTTCCCGGTTTGTGTTTTCCATCCTTTGATGTCTTTTTTTGTTTTTCTTCCCTGCCCGTCTCCCTTTGTAGTGCCTTTGTTTGGCACCTGTGCTCGTTTCTTTTGATCGCTGGTCTTTTCATGGTGAATCTTTTCCTGGTCCAGCAGGATCTGTATGTGGAGCTGGGCCCGGCCCCCATCGCAGGCTGGCAGGAATGCTGACGACATAGTGTTGTGTTTGTGAGGAAATTCTTTGAGCTGTCATTTACCCCAAGCCCAAGGAGAAGGGCAGATGCAGGCCGCCCAGGATGCAACACCTCTCCCCTTAGCTTGAAGAGCCAGAAACAGCTTCCTGAGAAGACACCAGGCAGCCCTGCCTGCCCTACTCTCCTTCCTACCATGTGTATGGGAAGTACCTGCCCCCAGCCTGGGCACCTGTTGCTGTTGTCCCCTCCAGGGTTTCAGCATTGCTTCCAGGGCATGCATGTGGTCTAGGGACTGCTCCCTGGGGCGTGCGGGGCTGTGGCTCCCCCAGCCTGCCTCCAGCACCTGCTCCTTCCTGACCTCAGCAGCCAATGCCCTCTGTCTTCAGATACTATGCCTTTGGATTATAGATGTTTCTAAGTTTCACTGTAGATGGAGTTTATATTTCTGTTTTTTCTTCTCCTTTTTTTTTTTTTTTGAGACAGAGTCTCGCTCTGTCACCCAGGCTGGAGTGCAGTGGGGTGATCTCCTTCTTCCTGCTTTTGTGTGATTTCCCAGAGTCTGACAGGAAAGAAATGAAGCCTTCAGCCCACCGCTTAAAACCTGAAGTCCAGATTTGACTTGATAAAGTAGCTTTTGTGGCAAGGTTTAGGGTAAAAACTGGAACATGGACTCAGTCAGGAAAATTGGTTAAGAGGTTGTTAAAATGTAATTTAAGCACCGAATGGGGAGAGGAGGGTGGGGATGGAGAGCGCTGGAAAAGCCAGAGCCCAGGTATTGGGTGTGGGGCTGGGAGGGAGGGGCTCACCCCCATGTGTATGAATGAATGGGGCAGGCTGGAGGGAGGGGCACATCCCCCTGTGTATGAATGGGGCAGGCTGTGGGGAAGGGGCTCACCCCTGTGTGTATGAATGGGGCAGGCTGGGAGTGAGGGGCTCATCCCCGTGTGATGAAAGGGGCTGGTGGGACTGGGGAGGGACAGGGACCAGAACGGTAGTTGAGGTCCAAGCTTAGTTGAGTGGACGTGCCCAGGGGCGCTTAGTGCGGGTCTGGCTCGGGCAGTTTAGGATGTGCCTGGGCACCAGATTCGCATTTGGAAAGCATGGGCCTAACTTACAGAAAAGGGAGCATGCCAAAGAGGAAGGTGTGGATGAGAAAAGTCAGAATCGAACTCCAGAAGCAAAAATGTAGGTGAAGGGAGAAAGAAGAGCAGGAGGCGATTGGGAAGGCCTTGCAGGGTGTGCAGATGGTGGAGGTGCCCGTGTGAGGGAGTCCAAGGGCTTGGGCAGGGTCAGATGGTGGAGGTGCCCGTGTGAGGGAGTCCAAGGGCTTGGGCAGGGTCAGATGGTGGAGGTGCCCGTGTGAGGGAGTCCAAGGGCTTGGGCAGGGTCAGAGGGTGGAGGTGCCCGTGTGAGGGAGTCCAAGGGCAGGATTGGGGCTGGAGGCGGCTGTTGGGTCTGACAGTTGGGTGACTCTGATGACTGAGTGGAGGTCAGGTCAGCACAGGGTGAGGAACTGGGCGCAGCTGGCTGGAAGGGCTGGAAGAGCACTCCTCGCCTGCTTACCCATTGTTACATCTGCTGTGAGTGGAAGGACAGAGATAGGGCAGTAGTTTGGGAGGGACATCAAGTCAAAGACAGTTTTTTTTTTTTTCCAAGGAGAAAGGGACATGTGAGCTGTTAACTAAGAAGCCAGAGAAGAGAGAGAGGTGAGAGCAGAATGGCTGCTATGGGGGTTTCCTGGAAGCCAGAGATGGCTCTGTTTCCTTGGGGACCTGTGAAGTGAGTTCTTTCCTTGCAGCTTAGGGGGTTGGGCTTGCACCAGGGGCTTGCAAAGAGATTACAGGTAATATCTGCCCCAGGCAATACAAAATGGAGGAGGTGAGGGTGGAATGAAAGCCCCTTAGCTACGTGGAAAGGCTTGGACTTCAACGGGTAAGTGCAGGAGCCAATGAATGAATGTGTGTTAGGGCTTCTGGGCTCTCAGAAATAGAGCATCATCACCTCAGTTCTCCTGGAGGGTTTATTTTCCTTTTAATGCACTTCAATTCTTTGACTGCATTTTTTCTTTTGGGTGTAGGAGATGAGAAATGGGTATTTAGGTAACACAGAATGGGGAAGTTAGGACTTTGCCCCCTTTCCTTCTTTTCCTTTTTTTCTTCTCTTCTCTTCCTCCCTCCTCCCTTCTCCTCCCCTTCCTTCCCCCTCCCCTTTCCCCATACTTTCCTCTTCCTGAGGGTCATCCTGGTGATTGGTGAGCAGCGCTTTGTAGCGGTCCTTTCTGGAGGGAGACTCTCAGTGTAGGAGAGCAGGTTCATCTGCTCCTGGCCTGTGTCTGCCCTGCTTCAAGCTGAAGCCCCTCTCCACCTGCCCTCCTTAAACCTTCTAAGTGGAGAATTCTGATAGCAAAGCTTTAATGGACACGGTTTGCTACCTGTTTCTGGAAACCACTTACTTGCTTAACCTAGTAAGCAAATGAATACAGTTTTGAGTTTCCCAAGGGAATGGTGTGTGCTCAGTTAATATGTCTAGGTACTGATATTTCTACCTACTCTAAGTAGTTGTAAGGTTCCTGATGATTCTTTCCTGCTACGATCCTGAACTCTCAGCATTTCCAATTCCTTTGCCTGGTTTGGTTCCCTACAGGGTGGTGGCAGACTAGAAATTTGGCTTTGTGAGAAAAATGCCTTGGCCTTTCTTTCTTTCTTTCTTTTTTTTTTTTTTGAGATGGAGTCTCACTCTTGTCGCCTAGGCTGGAGTGCAATGGCACGATCTAGGTTCACTGCAACTTCTGCCTCCCTGGTTCAAGCAATTCTCCTGCCTTAGCCTCTTGAGTAGCTGAGATTACAGGCGCTCACCACCACGCCCAGCTAAGTTTTGTGTTTTTAGTAGAGATGGGTTTTCACCATGTTGGCCAGGCTGGTCTCGAACTCCTGACCTCAGGTGATCTGCTCGCCTCGGCCTCCCAAAGTGTTGGGATTACAGGCGTGAGCCACTGTGCCTAGACTCGCCTTGGCCTTTCTTTATAAGAACTGGGGAAAATACACAGAATTTTTAGTATAAAGGGACCTGTGTTCCAGCTTCTACCAAATGTGCCATTTGTGTTGCCAGCTACCCTACTTTACCATGAGAGAGCCATAGCCGGGCTGAACGTTGGGAGTGTGGGTTCTTTTTCCCCTTTGGTAGCTTTGAGGCAGAGGCGAAGTCACATGACCTTGCTCGTCCTCAGTTTATGTACTAAATGGGAATAATCTGCATCCTGTCTTCTGTGCACTTCATTGAATTATGAGGATGAACCAAGACAGAATGTGTGAAAATGTTTTTTGACATATTATACTATAAAAATTTGATCTTTTGTAATAAGGTCATTGGAACACCTGTAAAACGATCATTCTGACTAGACTTAGTGGTCATTTTATCATTACTTTAATCAAAGAGGTAGAATTATACACTTGGAGATCTGTCACCAGAATGGCCCAAATTAAATAATTTTTGGAAAGCTCTTAAATTAAACTTTTTATTTCACTGTGATTTTTAAAGATACATTTTAGATAGGTCTATACAAATGATTCTCCACTTCCATTTTTTTTTAAAGAAGTGTCTTTTCTTGTATGAGCTTGAATAAGATAGTTTCAAATTTGCAATGCTTTTCCAAAACTGCAACCTCTTCACTCTGTCTGAAACAGATGATCTATTTAGACTTGTTTTTCTGCCTGCTTACCATGATTCCTCTCCAGGTATGCAGCTCTCGGCTCTGCAAATTGCTTTAGAGTGGAGTAAATTGAATACCGGTTCATTGTTGTCACTCAAGCAGCTTCTGCATTTTCTGACTTGCCCTTCATTTTTCAGTATAGTAGCCACTGATACAATTTACTTATTTTTGGTTTTCTTCTATTTTAAAGTGATGGCATTTAATCCTGCCTTCTGTCTAACTTTGAGCTCCTGGGTTCATTTTGATAAATGTTAATATGTTGTTATTATGGTCTGTGCCAGTGTTTTTGATACTTAATCGTCTATCATCTTGTCTTTTAATCTTTTTGAGTGTTTGTCTCCTCTCTCCTAATGAGAGTCCAAGTTTCCTGAGGGCAGAGGTGGCACCTCATACCTCTTTGATGCCTCCACAGCACCTGCCACTAGGCAACCCTTCATCACTGACTTGAGGCATAGACAAGCTTTTCTGTGGAAAATAATCATTCCCTTTGAGGTGGGTCCTCTCCTGGGTGCTATTTTTGGGGGCTTTTGGGCTTTTTAACGTCTAGGGTGATAACACAGTCCTGCATTTGAAAATCTTGGGGTTCTTGTCTGAAGGTGGACCTGTCCCGGTGTTCTCTCTCCTGACCTGGGGCTCAGCCTTGGAGTAGTCAGGGCTTTGTCTTTCAGGAATGGCTTGCCCTCCTCCTCATCAGAGTCATCTTTCTCCAAGCCAGAGCTGTTTAAATTGGATAGCGTCAGAGGCTCTGTGACTTGCTGATAATTATATGCAAAATTTTCTGTGCATATATGCACCTTTTTGGCAGAAGGCCTATAACTTTATGAGTCTAAAGCTCCAAAAATTGTCCAGGGAAGTTGCAGCAGAGGGTAGAGGAATACCGACAGTGGGACCCTTAAATGTATCTTGAAGAGTTGAATTGGCTCACACAGATATTTTCTCCAGGTGTCTAATCATGGGAATGTTGCTCTAGACATGTGTATTCTCGGTTTTATTGAAATGTATTTTAGCTGTTGAAGTTTTGTGCTGCTATTTTGGGAAGGTTGGGAACATAGATAATATTGGTTATGTTTTCTAAGAACAGTTCATGAAATTGTTCTCTCTCAACTTTTTTGCAGTGGACACCCAAGAGATGTCCTTGTTTTGCTCTAGTTGTGGAAACCAAGTCAAAACTAGGCAGACTAAATGGTCAGGGCAACCGTTCACTTGTTTCTCTTAACTGGTTTTGAAAGAAATGAATCAAAACACCAGAAAGAACACGTAAGAGTTGGATGTGACTGCCGAGGAGGTGGGAAGTGGGTGTCAGGTGTATTCGGAGCTCCGTATGGGAAGGGGGCATGACCGAATGGGGGCATTTAGTGAGCTGTAGGATGCAGGGTTAGTTTCCTGTTGCTGCCATAACAAATTCCCATAAACGTAGTGGCTCAAAATAACATAATTTTATTATTTTACGGTTCTGTAAGTCAGAAACCCAAAATGAATCTCCCTGGGCTAAAGTCAAGACATAAGTAGGTCTCTGTTACTTCCTGGAGGCACTAGGGGAGAATCTGTGTCTTCACCTTTTTTAACTTTCAGAGGCACCCACATTCCTTGGCTCACGGACTCTGTTAAAAGAAAAACTTCAGCTGAATTAAATTTAAAGGAGTTTAATTGAACAATGATCAATTCGTGAATTGGGCAGCCCCCAGAATCACAGCAGATTCAGAGAGACTCCAGGGATGCCTTGTGGTCAGGACAAATTTATAAACAAATAAAGGGAAGTGACATACAGAAATGGGAAGTGAGGTGCAGAAACAGCTGGATGGGTTACAGGCTGGCATTTGCCTTATTTGAACACAGTTTGAACACTCAGCAGTGTATGAGTGGTTGAAGTATGGCTGCTGGGATTGGCCAAGACTCAGTTGTTACAGGTGCATACTCCTAAGTTAGGTTCTCAATCTTGTCTGCATATTAAGGTAGGTTATGTTTCATCCACAAGGACTCAAATATAGAAGCAGGGAGTCCTTCTCAGGCCATATTTAGTTTGCTTTAACAACTCTCATTCATCTCTAAATCCAGCAACAGCCACTGGGTCCTCCTCACAGCTGCCATTGTTACTGGTGGAGGGTGTCCAGGTTCTTGGCATCTTGAGCAAAGAACTGGACAAAACAAAGTGAGGAAAGAATGAAGCAACAAATGCAGAGAGTTACTGAAAATGAAAGTACGCTCCATGGGGTGGGATTGGGCCGAGCAGCTGCTCAAGGGCCCTGAATGCAGAATCTTCTCAGGTCCAAATACCTGCTGGAGGTTTCCCATTGGCCACTTGGTGTTTACCCCATGTAAATGAAGTGATGGCCCACAATCAGTGTGATTGGTTGTAGAAAGCAACCAATCAGAGCAACCAATCAGAGGCTACAGTGAAGTTACAAAGTTACAGCTTTATGCAAACATCTGATTAGTTGCAAAAAGCAACCAATCAGAGGTACTTTCAATTTCCCTACTGCCATGCAGAAAAGGTGAGGGTTTGCAAAGGGTGTAGCCTCTGGTCCTTTTGTTACTTGGGTGGGGAAAATTAGCGTTTTCCTTTCAGTTTAGTTCTAGGAAGTCAGGGTGAATTGGCCTTAGGCCCTGCCTCCAGACCCTGTTCTCCTGCCTCACCACCTCTCTGATTCTCTTTTCTGTGGTCACATTTCTCTGGGGCTACAGCCAGGGAAGGTTTTCTGATTTCAGTGACCCATGCGATTAAATAATCCAGGAGAGCCTCCTCATCTCAAGGTCCTTAATCTAAGCACATCAGCAGAGTCCCTTTACCGCGTAAGTTCACATTCACAGGTTCTGGGGATTAGAATGTGGATATGGATGGAGGGCCATTATTATGCTGGCCACGGGAACTTGATCCAGGTGCAGTTAATGCTTGTCCTAAAACAGATGGATTTGAATTTATAAGCCTGCAGTGCTAGTCACAGCTCTAGTAACCAGTTGTACAACTTTTTCCTCTAAGCCTCAGATTCATCACCTGAGATCTTAGTTTTATCTTCTAATTATTAAACATATTAACCATAGCTATTGCAATTCAGGCTGTTGTATACAGCCTACGTTTCTCTTTCAGGAAATCCAGCCACTTCTGAGATTGCTGGGGGCTGATAGCTCTCAGCTGGGCCCTGCTCCAGGAATTGCCCTCAGCTGAACAGAGGCACTTTGCGCAAGGTCACACCCCTCCTCAGGAAAAGCCTGCATCCAGTGACTGACCCATGGGGGTAGGGGTTGGGTGGTATAAAACCCCGGCCATCTGGCCTTAACTCTGAAGGGCCGTCCGGCTCCAGAGCTCCCCATTGGATTGGCTGAGACCTCCATTGCAGATGTGATGCATTTCATCTTCTCCCTCAGCCCAGCCCTTCCTCCTTCACCCCAACATGGAATAGTTCCCAAGAGCACTCGCTAGTAAGTCTCCTTTAGATACCGTTAGAACTTTAGAGCTTGCTTCCCAGGGACCCTGTTTGAATCCTCGGTAGCCGTTTTTCTGTTGGTTGTTGTTTCTTTTGGTTTTTGATCATGTGGTTTTGTTTTATTGTATGACTGGCTATTTTAATTATTTATTCATTTTATTTTATTTTATTTTATTTTATTTAGACAGGGTCTTGTTCGGTCACCCAGGCTAGAGTGCAGTGGTTTGATCATGGCTTATGTAACCTCAAACTCCTGGGCTCGAGTGATCCTCCTGCCCCAGCCTCTTGAGCAGCTAAGTCAACAGGCACGAGCCACCATTCCCAGATGATTTTTACAATTTATTTTGCAGAGATAGAGTCTTGCTATATTGCCCAGATTGGTTGGCCAGAACTCCTGGCCTCAAGTGATCTTACTGCCTCAGGCTCCCAAAGTGCTGAGATTAGAGGTGTGAGCCACCATGCTTGGCCTTATGACTGGCTATTTTTGATTAAATGTTGAACATTTTTCAGTGTCAGATTTTAGACTTGGGATGTTATCTTCCTCCAGAGGACTGACTTCTGGCAGGAGGCTGGCTAGCCTAAGAGCACTGGCCTGCTCCAATCAGGATTGAGATGACTTGGAGCTTTAGCCTGTGCAGGTTGGTCTGATTCTCATTTGCCTTCACTCCTGGGCTGTACACCTGTGGGGTTAGTGCTTTACAGGCTCTTCTCCCAGGTGGGCCCTGTGCTTGGGTTTTTGTGCCCTGAGCTCCACGAGTCTGTCAAAGCTCTCGTCAGCATCAGCCTATCAGCCAGGCTTTCCAGACTGGCAGGTGCCTTTAGGTGAAGCGTGACCAGGTGCTGGGCTTCCCCCCTAGGCTTCCTCCTGTCCTGGATCTTGGCATTTCTTTGTTGCCTTGGTAGTTATCTGAGGCTGTGAAACAGATTCAGGTTATTCTTTTAGTTTTTCTAGTTGTTATCTGCAGAAGAGTTGGTTTAAACCCCCTACTCTGCTATTGCTGGAAGCTATTTTCTGCTGTATTGTTGAAGTATAATTTGTTTAACCAGTCTTTTACTGTTGAAATAATAGTTTTACTAAAAATTAATTTAAACATTGATGTGTAGATAATTTACATCTTTATTACTTAATTTTGTACCCATTTACAATGATTTCCATATGCAAATTTGAAGTGGAATTGTGTTGAAAGTGTGCAAAAGTCAAAGGCATTTAATACATATTTCTAAATTGCTTTCCAGACACTCTGTACTAATTTATACTTTATCAACAGTAGATGAGATAAACTGCCTTTTTAAATCTAACTTCATAATCTCTATTAAATCTAACTTCATAAATGTGCATGTGTTTTTCTTCCCTCCTGCAGGCACGTGCCTTAACACCTCAAACTGCAGAAACAGATGCCATTCGGTTTTTGGTTGGGACGCAGTCTCTTAAATATGATAATCAGGTAACTATTTTTGACAAATGTATACATGATAATTACTAAGCCTATTCTTAGTTTTATAACCATTTTGCTCTGATTTTCCAGCAACATTTGAGAAATTAATGCCACATAAACAAAATAAAACTTTCATTTGGATTTAAGTCTATCTTCAAATCAAAGAATATTATCCATCTATATGTATCGACTGTGTTCAGTAATTTAAACTTCCTCTGTTTGGCATGACTTCCGTAGTCTTGTTTGGCTCTTGTGGTTATATAGATTTGGCTTTATGAGCAATTGAGAAGCAAGGATATGTGGTCACCACTACCCCTTCTTCTTGGCCTGTGGATTCCTTCTTTAATTGCTCATAGAACTCTTTCTAGGTGAGTGTGGGGTGTGTCACAACCTCATCCCTACTTGACCCAGGCCACTTGATCTGTCACTGCCCCTTGATCCAGGTGGGGATACAGATGGGACCCTTTGGTGTTCTGGTCACTGTAGCGGACACTTAGGAGATCGGATTCGGTTCATGGCCTGGCAGTAACCACGTGACCTTGAGCACACGGATTCCCCTTGCTGGACTCCATTTTCTTATTGCTAAAGTGGAGATTAAAATGAGATGCCGTGGTGATTGCAAAGATGTGCATTGTCTTTGACACTGGGAAAATGTGCGGGAGGCCATGTCAGACATGGTCTAGGGCTTCTGTCCGGCTTATCTGATCACACAGGGGAAATGGCATTCAAATAGCTGTCGAAGAATACGCAGGCCTGGATAGGATGTAGTGAAACTGTCACTCTCGTATGTCGATAAAGATTTAAAGTCAGCATAGTCATTGGCAACTAGTTCAGTGATACATCCTTAGAGCTTCATAAATAAATGTTTATATACTTAATCTGTAATTCCTGTATCCCAAACCTAGGAAAAATCATTATACACGAAGAATATTAATTATAATGATACTTATAGTTATAAAAACTTACAAGCAATCAGAATATCAAAATGCGTGAATGTTAGGTTGAACAATATGAAATTGCCACTTGTAATGGCAGATTCATACACTTCCCTCAGGTTGAATCTGGTTACTCACAGTGAATAGTATTCCCTTATTACACTCATTAAAAGTTATAGACTCCTAAGAAACATGACAACTTAAGAATCGTTAGATGATTTGGTGGGATGTTAAAATTGTGCTTACAGTATGATCAACGTGGTGTAAAAAAGCAAAGTGCACAATTGAATCTCTTCTTAGAATAAAGACTGGAAGGAAATAGGCCAAAAAGGACTAAAAATTGAGCCAAGGGTTATCTTCAGATGCTTTTCACAGGGGATGTGTTCCAAGACCACCCAGCGGATGCCAGGAAACCTTGGTGAGTACTGAACCCTAAACATATCATGCTTTTTCCTATACTTACATATAGGTAAAGTTTAAGGTATAAGTTAGGCACAACAAAAGCTTAACAACATAACTAATAAAAACACAATGATTATTAGTTATGAAAGTTATATGAATATGGTCTCTGTCTGTCAGAACACCTTACTGTACTATACTCACCCTTCTTCTGGTTTTTGTTTTTTTGAGACAGAGTTTCACTCTGTTGCCCAGGCTAGAGTGCAATGGCACGATCTCAGCTCACTGCAACCTCCGCCTCCCAGGTTGAAGTGATTCTCCTGCCTCAGCCTCCTGAGTGGCTGGGATTACAGGCATGCACCACCACGCCCAGCTAATTTTTGTATTTTTAGTAGAGACGGGGTTTCACCACGTTGGCCAGGCTGGTCTCAAACTCCTGACCTCAGGTTATCTGCTGGCCTCAGCCTCCCAAAGTGTTGGGATTACAGGCGTGAGCCACTGCGCCCAGCCACTCATCCTTTTTCTTGAGAAGATGTGCAATAATATAAGGCCTGTGTGATGAGATGAAGTGAGGGGAATGACATAGGCATTGTGATGTAGCGTTAGGCTATTACTGACCTTCAGAGGATATGTCAACAGCAGGAGTATCTGTTTTGGGTGATCTGGATCATCAAGCCATAAGGTGTTGATGGTTGGATGTCAGGAACAGACAGTGTGGGTGGCTCAGGGGCAGGTAGCTTCTGTAGCATGGATATGCTGATCAAAGGTGTCGGGAACAGACAGTGTGGTTGGCTCAGGGGCAGGTAGCTTCTGTAGCATGGATATGCTGATCAAAGGTGTCGGGAACAGACAGTGTGGATGGCTCAGGGGCAGGTAGCTTCTGTAGCATGGATATGCTGATCAAAGGTGTCCGGAACAGACAGTGTGGGTGGCTCAGGGGCAGGTCGCTTCTGTAGCATGGATATGCTGATCAAAGGTGTCGGGAACAGACAGTATGGATGGCTCAGGGGCAGGTCGCTTCTGTAGCATGGATATGCTGATCAAAGGTGTCCGGAACAGACAGTGTGGGTGGCTCAGGGGCAGGTCGCTTCTGTAGCATGGATATGCTGATCAAAGGTGTCCGGAACAGACAGTGTGGGTGGCTCAGGGGCAGGTCGCTTCTGTAGCATGGATATGCTGATCAAAGGTGTCCGGAACAGACAGTGTGGGTGGCTCAGGGGCAGGTAGCTTCTGTAGCATGGATATGCTGATCAAAGGGATGACTCACGTTTCGGGTGGGATGGAGTGGGATGGCTCCAGACTTCACCACACTACTCAGAATGGTATGTGATTTAGACTTATGAATTGCTTATTTCTGGAATTTTTCATTTAATATTTTTGTGTTACACTTGACCACAGGTAACTGAAACCTGAGAAAGCAAAACCTCAAATTGGGATGAGGTGGGGGCAACATCTATTCAGGATGTAAAATTCTTTTCTTTCTAATGTTTTGTTTTCCGAATGTGTATGTATGTATGTGTGTTACTTTTCTACTGGAAAAAATATAAGAAGGGAATTACTTATTTATAAAAATAGTTACCAGTGGCCACCTGAAAAGGAAGGAGGACCCACCATGAAGATGGCCTGTGGTTTCAGGGATGGTGCCTACAGGGGAGTTGGGGAGTAAAACCCACATGGGAGATAGTGGCACAGAGATAGGATGGGAGGCACGCCAGTCTGCCTTCCAAATGCAGCTTCAGAAAGCAGAAGTCAGCAGAAACCCAGGAATTCAACACAAAATGGGGCCATGGAAAGCATGATAGTTATGAGTAAATTACTGTGTACCTGCTCTTAGCCAGAATGTAGTAATGGCATTTCCATTTGGTAATGACATTAATGAAGAACCATTGGTACCAAAGTTATCAAAATAGAAGAAATAAGAAGAGGCCAGGTGTGGTCGCTCACGCATGTAATCCCAGCACTTCAGGAGGCCAAGGCGGGTGGATCACTTGAGATGAAGAGTTCAAGACCAGCCTGGCCAACATGGTGAAACCCTGTCTCTACTAAAAATACAAAAATTAGCTGGGTGTGGTGGCACGCACCTGTAATCCCAGCTACTTGGAAGGCTGAGGCATGAGAATCACTTGACAACTGGGAAGATGGAGGTTGCAGTGAGCCGAGATCGCACCACTGCACTCCAGGCTGGGTGACAGAGCGAGACTCTGTCTAAAAAAAAAAAAATCGCCCAAAATGACAGAAAGTGTTTTAATCTACCTTAATTTGTTTTTTTTTTTTTTTTTGGAACGAAGTAACATTCAATTAATTATTTTAAAGAAGCTTTCCAGTTTTTCTGTCTCCTTTCTTCTAAATTGAAGAGTTCTGATAATTACTCAGATTAGTTTGCCAGGATCTTATTTTTTTGAGTCAACAGTATGTTTTATTACATACCTCATGTATTTCCACACTTGCCTGCAGTTGTCTGTGTGTGAATCCGTATGGTAGGTATGAAGCTGTGTTTTTGACTTGCTGGTTTTGTCTTTCTGTTTCTGGTAAAGGCATGTGACATTGTTGAGCTGTTCATTCATTCATCCACTCAACAAATGCTTACTTCATAGAATAACAGAACTCTTTAATTCCTCTTTTTTATGTGCTGGGTACACAAAACCTGAACAGATATTCGTGTCCTGAGTTCAGTGTTTAGTGAAATGGTGAAATGGACAAGCAGTTATTCATAGTACTATTAGTATTACCATCTGGTATATTTTGGCCCTGTGTCCATACCCAAATCTCATGTTAAATTGTAATCCCCAGTTTTGAGGGAGGGGCCTGGTTGGAGGTGATTGGATCATGGGCGTGGATTCCCCCCTTGATGTTCTCGTGACAGTGAGTGAGTTATCACAGGTCTGATTGTTTGAAAGGGTGTGGCACATCCCCCTTCATGCTCTCTCCTATTGCCATGTGAAGATGTGCCTGCTTCCCATTCACCCTTCTGCTGTGATAGTAAGTTGCCTTAGGCCTCTCCAGCCATGTCCCCTGTATAGCCTGTGGCACTGTGAGTCAATTAAACCTCTTTTCTTTATAAACTACCCAGTATCAGGTAGTTTTTTTTTTTTTTTTTTTTTTTTTTTGAGACAGAGTCTTACTCTCTCACCCAGGCTGGAGTGCAGTGGCGTGATCTCGGCTCACTGCAACCTCTGCCTCCCAGGTTCAAGCGATTCTCCTGCCTCAGACTCCCAAGCGATTACAGGCACAGGCCACCACGCCCAGCTAATTTTTATATTTTTAGTAGAGACAGGGTTTTGCCATGTTTACCAGGCTGGTCTCAAACTCCTGACTTCAGGTGATCTGCCCGCCTTGGCCTCCCAAAGTGCTGGGATTACAGGCGTGAGCCACCGTACCTGGCCTCAGGTAGTTCTTTATAGCAGTGTGAGAACAGACTAATACACCATCTCACAGTATTCTCTGTGTCCCCATCTTGCAGTGTGCTTTCTGGCCCTGTCTTGCAGCATCCTCCCTGTCCCCATCTCCCAGCATGCTCCCTGTCCCCATCTCACAGCGTCCTCCCTGTCCCCATCTCCCAGCATGCTCCCTGTCCCTGTCTCCCAGCATGCTCCCTGTCCCTGTCTCCCGGCGTCCTCCCTGTCCCCGTCTCCTGGCATGCTCCCTGTCCCTGTCCCTGTCTGGCAGCATCCTCCCTGTCCTGGTCTCCCAGCGTCCTCCTTATCCCCGTCTTGTGGTGGTATTGTGCAGTTCTTTGGCTGCTGTTTGCCCTGGGTCTGTTTGGAGCCTCCCTGGAGCTGGCTGTGTGGGCGGTGCTGGCACCGTGATCAGTAAAGCAGTCCCTGCGCTCACACTCTTCCCAGGGCTCACAGTTGGCTGAGGCTTGTGGAGTCGGGGAGGTGGGTGAGTGGCTGGAGGAGGCAGCTGGTACTGGAGCAGGGCCGGTTAGGGCTGGTTCCCACATGCTGCCTCAGTCAGCAGAACAGGTTTTCTGGTGAGGCAGGTGGCCCCACGCAGTGTGGAGCTGGTGCGTGGCAGAATCGGGACTGAAACCTGCATGTCTGCCTCTCTCTGCTCGCTTCCCTCTCCTTTGAATTTGCAGTTCAGCTCTGAGGCATGTGCCATGGGTATGCTCTTGCACCTGAAGTGTACACTTTTGTACAGACACACGTGGAAAGGGTGCACCCGTGCTGTTGCCATGCCGTGTCTCTGGGGTGAGATGTCCTGAAAATCAGGACAGCTCCATCCTGAACAGCCTGGGCCCCATGGTTCCGGCTGCGAGCAGCCCGCCTGTGCGCATGTGCACAGACCAGGAGAGACGCCGGGAAGGCTCCACTGGCTGTGGACTGCAGCCCTGCCCCTGCCTTCTGTGACAACGGAGTCTGGTCTCCTCCTGCACAGTCGGAAGCCGCCATCCCTCACTCTGGAGCTCCAGCTCTCCTGGGGAGTGGTGGCTGGGAAGGGTTAATAGCTCCTGGTGTTGCCTCAGGTCCTCGCTCCTTTCAGTCGTTGATTCCCTGGAAAATGCCCGGTACCTGCATCGTTACTGCATAATGCAGCTGCGCTATCTTTCTGAAAATGTGGGGACTGTCACAGTTGCTGACTTTCCTCTGAGGGATGAACTGATTTGTGTCTGTTTCCTCCTGTGGGACAGGACTCTGTCATAGCTCCCTGTGCTTAGGCGGGACAAGGATTTCTGGGGTCCTTGCTCGCTTTCTGGGGTTCTCCTTTGAGGAGGAGCTGGAGTTCTTCCTGGGGGGTGTGATCATGGCTTAGCATGGGCAGGGATGAGGAACCGCGACCTGAGGCCTGTAAGTGCTTCTGCATTTCCCACAGACTTTCCCTGTATATTGGTGCCCCCCTCTTTCTCATGTAGATAAGAGATGAGTCTTAATCTTCCTCTGGAGACCTCTGGGAGTGCCATGGTGACAGAGAGGACCGGCTTTGCCTCTTCTAACATGGAAGCATTGCCCCGGTGACCAGGGTCCTCGTCAGTGAAAAGACTGATGTCACAGAAGGGCAGCGACAGAGCAGCTCGTTTCCTCCCCTGGCTAACGTCTTAGTTTCTCAGCTAAGCTGCGCGGTTCTGCATCTGGTTCTGCATCTGTTTTGATTCGTGATAGCTTTGTTCCTGCAGCGCCTCTGATTGGTGACAACTTTGTTCCTGCAGCCCCCCCGCCTGCAAGTCCTGTTCTCACCTGTGCTCAGAATCACCAGGGTGCTTGGTCAACATTCAGATTCCCAGCCCCACTCTAGGCTAACTGAGCCTTGATTTCTTCCCCGCTGCTCCTGCTCTTTCCTCCCTCACCCTTCTCTCTTCCTTTAATGGTAAAAGGACCTAGTTGCCCACTGAAGCATCACAGGGTAGCCTGGCTTCCTTTCGATGAGGCCTGATCCAGAGGCTCCAGCCTGTCACTAAGCGTCCCTGACTCGCATTTCTGTTTCTTACTGTCTTCAGTGTGAACTTCATCTTCAGGGGTCCTGTATTTTTAGGGTACATCCCTAGATGGTCTGCCATACTTGGAAATTCTTTAATTGTTTTTTTCCAGCTTTCAAGTTCAGATCTAACATACAAAGTGCTCTCTGATATTCCCCTTTTCCCTCACTCTTGAAGAATCAGTTTGACCCTGTATCAGTCTGTTTTCATGCTGCTGATAAAGACATACCCGAGACGGGAAAGAAAAAGAGGTTTAATGGACTCACAGTTCCACATGGCTGGGGAGGCCTCACAATCATGGTGGAAGGCAAGGAGGAGCAAGTCACATCTTACGTGGATGGCGGCAGGCAAAGAGAGCTTGTGCAGGGAAACTCCACCTTATAAAACCATCAGATCTCATGAGACTTATTCACTATTAGGAGAACAGCATGGGAAAGAACTGCCCCCATGATTCGATTGTCTCCCACCAGGTTCGTCCCACAACACATGGGAATTCAAGATGAGATTTGGGTGGGGACATAGTCAAACCATATCACACCCTCAGGTCTGTTGGTGTATTAGGCCATTCTTGCATTGCTATGTAGAAATACCCGAGACTGGGTAATTCATGAAGAAAAGAGGTTTCATGGTTCTGCAGGCCATACAGGAAGCATGGCTCTGGCATCTGCTTCTGCGACGGCCTCAGGAAGCTTCCAGTCACGGTGGAAGGCGAAGTGGGAGCAGGCACATCACATGGCGAGGGCGGGAGCAAAGAGTGAGGGGGAGTGCCACATGCTTCAATGGCCAGATATCAGAAGAACTCGCTATCATGAAGACAGCACCCAGCCATGAGGCATCTGTCCCCAGGATCTAAACACCTCCTAACCAGGCCCTGCCTCCAGCACTGGGGATTACAATTCAACATGAGATTTCGAAAGGGACAAATTTCCAAACTATGTCAGGTGACATTCCTGCAAGTGTTCAGCTGGAAGGGCTCTTTGGGTTTGAGGAGAAATTTATGATTTTTGTCCAAGGTTTTTGAGTCCTGATCTCTCCTACAAACAGCTTCTATCGTCTTTTCTGTGAAGTCTTTCCTTTTCTGCCCCCTTTTCAATTCCTGAGCTGGAACTAATTGATGCCTTTTCTCTAGTCTTGTCTGTCTTTGTGTATGCATGCCTCTAAAATAAGTCTTCATGTTATAGGATTCCTGTTACTTCTATTGTGTATTTATTTTTCTCCAAATTCCTTGACACCTTGCGATCCCTGACACATATTGTGAGGCCAAGGACCATTCACTGCTGTGTCCTTTCGATGCCTGGTGCTGAGCAGGTTGTTGGATGGATGTATTTTAAGGAAAGTCACAAACTTTTGTAAGAATTAGTTCTACTGCAGCAAATATACTCACTTTTCACAAGTAAACCTTGTGATGTTCTATTGGGCATCTATTACATTTTCAGACAAACATTGGCTTTCTGTCTAGAGAAGTCACGCTATCCAGAAACCCCATGCCTGGCCATCCACTTCCGGGATTTTGCTGCAAATTCCATCAGATTCCCTGGTGTCCATATCAACGAGCATTGGGTCAAAACCCACAGCCAGTTTCGTCTATCCCACCAGAGTCACAAGGAGTCAATGCCCAGAATCTCCCATGGGCCCTGCTGCCGCCCTTGGGCCAGCTCCCGAGTGGTGGCCCTCCCGCATGGGCCTATGCTCGGTTTGTGGGGTGTAGGGGGTGGGCAGGGTGTCTGTCACTACTTCGGATGAACAAAACATGCTGGGAGAAGTGGTGTGGACTCTGGATCATAGGGTTTCCCCAGTCATCTGTTTCATAAGGGTTTCCTTAACGCATTTCTCTGGCACGGTGGTGGTGGTGGTGGTGGTTTTCACTGGACTTCTGTACCAAGAGCAAGTCATATGTGTGCACCAGTATAAACCAAGAGAAAGATTAACATGGTGCCCTATTTCCCTCTTCTGTGTGCACCAAGCTAGATCTAGGGAAAGATAAGCGTGGTGCCCCGGGGCCGCATTCCCTTCCTACATGTGCATCCGTGTAAAGAGAAACAGAAGTGTAGTGCCACGGTGCCACCTCCCACTGTGCACTTTCTTTTTTATTTTCTTCTGTGAATTGTACCCCACTTTGCTTTCTGAGAATTTTGGTCTCACTATATATATACATATTTTTCTTACTTTTTCTTTTTTTTTTTCCAGACAGAGTCTCGCTCTATTGCCTAGGCTGGAGTGCCGTGGTGTGACCTCAGCTTACTAAAACCTCTGCCTCCCAGTTTCAAGTGATTCTCCTGCCTCGGCCTCCTGAATAGCGGGGATCACAGGCGTGCACCACCATGCCCGGCTAATTTTTATATTTTTAGTAGAGACGGGGTTTCACCGTGTTGGCCAGGCTAGTCTTGAACTCCTGACCTCAGGTGATCCACCCACCTCACCATCTCAGGTGATCCACAGTCCCAAAGTGCTGGGGTTATAGGTGTGAGCCACTGCACCTGGCCTGGTCTCAATATATTGATTATGCCCCAATAATTTTTTTTTTATAGAGTTCTACTTGTATCTTTCTGATTTTTAGAGTGAGAGGCAGCTCCCCACTGGAAGGAAGAGCCGGTACTTCAGCCCCGTTCTCTGCTACCAGAAGCAGCTGGTGGCATTCCAGTGACCCAGTTAGGTTCCAGCCTCCCCCGCAGCCCTTGACCACGCACTGCACAGGCTGTGTCACTTTCTGCACAGTTCTGAGCAACGTGCTTCTGGGGCACAGGGAGCTTCTGGAATGTGGAGTCTTTTTTCTCTCCCACTGCCGAGTGTACTGTTTGGGCTTCATGGGCAAGGGCTATTAATACCCTATGCTTTAATTGCCTAAGAGAGAAGTATTAATATGTTTAGGGAAATGCTGGTTATTGTATGGGGCTCATAAGCACTGGAAAAAGAGTTATTAAGTATGTTAGATTTTCCAGTGCTTATGGGCCTGGCCTGGCCAATATGATGAAACCCTGTCTCTACTAAAAATACAAAAATTAGCTGGGCGTGGTGGTGCCTGCCTGTAGTTGCAACTACTCAGGAGGCTGAGGCAGGAGAATCATTTGAACTGGGGAGGTGGAGGTTGCAGTGAGCCGAGATCGCACCACTGGACTCCAGCCTGGGAGACAGAGTAAGACTCTGTCTCAAAAAAAAAAAAAAAAAAAAAAAAAAGAACCAGAACCAGTATATGTTTCTATTAGAACAAAGGGATCTTAGAGATGTAGTTTCCTAAATGTACAAATGCTGAGAGGGGCCCAGATATACAAAGAGCCCAGAAAGGGTTAGTGACTTGCCCAGGGTCACACAGCCAGGAATGGCAGAATCCAAATGAGAAACCAGGTCTCTTGATTGGCAGGTCACGTTCATGTCAGCACTGAGCTGAAGCGTGAAGCCGACTAGAGTAGAAACTGTGTTTTCAGAGTCACATGCTGTAACCAGGGGTAAAGAAAAGCAGCGATATGGGCCCATGGCTTGTTCTGTCCAGGATCTGGTCACAGGCAGTATTCAGTATTCTGCATAACTCTTAAGGAATTGCCATTGGGCAGGTGGGTTTTAGTCATGGATGACGTGGCAGGGACGGTGTCTCCTGTCATCTGCCTGGTGGCCGTCAGGGTGAGAGCTGGGGGGTTTGCCATCAGCGGCCGAGGGAATCTCCTGCCTCTGGGGAAGCCATTGGATCATTCACTTTCCCTAGGCGGGTGCCTCTTGATTTTTTAATATCCAGTCTTATTTATATGTGGTATTTTTTGTTTTTATTTTTTTCTGTAGAGATGGGATCTTGCCATGTTGCCCAGGCTTGTCTTGACCTCCTGGGCTCAAGCCATCCTCCTCCTGCCTCAGCGCTGCAAAGTGCTGGGATCACAAGTGTGAGCCACCGTGCCTGGCCCTTTTTTTGTTTTTTCAATTCTCAAGAGTTTTTAAACTTTCAGTTTAGAAGCGCAGATGAAATGGACAGTGCGATGGCCTCAGCTCTGTACTCAGCAGCCTGGCCCTGCAGCTCTGTACTCGGTGGCCCGGCCCCACAGCTCTGTACTCGGCAGCCTGGCCCTGGGCTGTGGCCACACAGCATTTCTCTCCAAGCCCCGATTCTTGCAGAAAAGGAGGGAGAGGTGATTAAGTTCATCTTCATGGACTTCCTAATACATTTTTATAACTCTTTATTCTAAATCTTTACAGTGTCACCTATAGCCTTAGCCCAGCACTGGTAAAATCAACTTTAAAAATTTTAATGATGATTCAAAATACATGAGTTTGATCTTTATCATAAACGATTAACACATTAAAAAATCCAATGTGGCTTGAAAAGTTTAAAGTAACATTTAAGTACTGCTCACAGGGCGACCGCCTTTGCAGACCTGCCTAGCTGGTGTTAATGGGTCTTTCTTTTGGGCCCTGGTAATCTTTTGCACTCACCTTAGTTACGGTGTTTCTTTCTCGCATTGCTTGTTTTCGGAGCCGGCCTGTACCTGCGT